>NC_000003.12:43949393-44252424 GCF_000001405.40 Homo sapiens | reverse complement strand
ACGGTTACTGGCAGATCAATTTCTATTTCAAATATCACTATGACAAAAGATATATTAAGAGAGTTTAGGAAGATTAAGCAGGAGCTCATTACAATAATTTAGGAGAAAAATAAGAACATAGAATTTAGAGGAAGGAACAGCCATGAGAGATATTGAGGTAATAACATGAACAGAACTAAGTGACTCAATAGAGAACTGAGGGATGCTTCTGTGGCCTCTAATTATCCTGAAAGTTCCATTCATAAATAGGTACAACAAGTATATTAGCTTAATTTCCAAGTATTAAGATAGTATTTATAATACTGCTAGTATAATTTATATAGGTATGGGAAACTTTTTACTATGAAAATAGCTAACTTACAAGGAAGGTAAAATTACATATGCAAACTCTTGTAAGAAACAGTTTATTTTTGTTTGGAATTTGAGAGACAAAAAGTTAAATTCACCTGGGTGAAAAAAAAATCATAAAGTGAGAAAAATTGTAACTTATACAAATATTTTACAGTTTTGCATTGGTGGAGTGTAGTCACAGTTCTGAATTGGTGAAATAGAAAAGGGAAAAATGAAGGGAAGAACAACGAAAGGAGATAAAAGAGATTTGGATGAGGCTACAGAAATACAGATAAGCAAAGAGAAGATCTAAGTAAAAAGGAGAGGAGAGAGTAAGACAGGTTTAAGCCAAATCTGAAGAGCCATACAGATTACCTCAAGCTTATTCTCTACCAGAGCACTTTTCATGTGGATAATGAAATCTATTTAGTGGGTCCCAACCAAGAAATTTTTTAATGAAATTGAATATGAAATATGAGACTATATCTGTTGTAGTAAGGAAAATAATTGTTTTCGTAAACCTATAATTTCCTATCTTTATAAATGTGTACCAGATTGTAATATAAAACAGATCTTTATTGTGGGTAATTGGCAAAATAGCTGGAAGATGATTGCTTTAGAATAATTACTATCAGAAACTGTTTGAAAACTATTGCCCAAGGAAAAAGTTTAGGGCTTAGCATAGTGGCTCACACCTATAATCCCCACAATTTGGGAGGCTGATGTGGGAGGATTGCTTGAGTCCAGGAATTCAAGACCAGGTTGGGCAACACAGTGAGATTCAGTCTCTACAAAAAGAGAAAAACATTAGCCAGGTGTGGCGGCATGCACCTGTAGCCCCAGCTACTTGGAAGGCTGAGGTGTGAGCATCGTTTGAGCCTGGTAGGTAGAGGCTGCAGTGAGCCATGATGGCATCACTGCACTCCAGCCTGGGCAACAAAGCAAGACCCTTTCTCTCTCAAAGAAAAAAAAAAGAGAGAAAAAAATTCAGAATGTCACTGCCTCCTTTTGAGATGCTAATTGTGGTCAGTACTCATTTATTTACAAATACCCATATTCTGTTTCTGGATAGGACTGCTACAAATTTACTGGGGCAATTATTATGCAAGTAGTAGTGGCCCTAGGCAGAGAAATATTATGGTATCCAATTCATCAAGGCAGGGGTTCCCTAGCCTGATGCCACACTATACTGTTAGGTCTCCTGATATTACAAATGTTCAATCACGTACAATACTGTTTATTCCAGCAAAGACAAAGACTAGTTTACGTGGCCTGAAAGAGAAAAGAAAAAAAATCAGAATAATGTTTCTTCATAGTCCCCACCTGCTACTTTAAAGAGGAAGCAGAGATGAGAAGAAAGGGACCTAAAGTGAAATAATGTTCTGCGGTAGTTTGCAGAGTAATTGAATTAAATATATAGGAAGAACCAAAATGCCGCTCTTCCAGTGTGCTGTTTTGCAGAGCAGGGACAGACTCTGGAGCAGGTTGCCTTGAGTTCAGATGTCAGCTCTGATACTTGCAAGCTGAGTCCTTTAGAAAGTTAATCATTTTGATTTAAGTATAAAAATAGAGTTTCAACCTCAGAATTTTTTCACTAAATAAAATAAGTAATGTATCTAGCACAGGGTAGACATTAAATATCAGTTCTTATGATTAAAATTTAATAAAAATTTAATAATTTTTATACAAATTTAATAAAAATTTGCAGTAAAGTTAGAGCACATTAGATTCTCAGCGGAATGGGACAATAAAGAAAAGTAAGTTTCTTAAAAGACAATGAATCTCAATATATAAGGGAGAGAAAAAATGATTTTTATTTTTGGTGGAAACCTGTTTTTTTTTTTTTTTTTTGTCATTTCATGGTAAAATTGGTAATAAGACTACTCTACTCTAGAAGTCCTCTCTTGGGGAACAAACTGGGATTAAGTCAGACTCTGAGAAAGTAAGTTACTTGAGACAGGATATAATTTGCCCGGCATAGATCCAGTCTATGCATGGGTCTAATGAGACTCAAATGCCTGGGCAAAAGTGGTAGGCTTTTATTTTCTGTGGATTGATATCAGATATTTATCCCTCAGAAGTTATTATTTACTGGCTCCAGAATCTACAATGGCTGCCTATGGATTTGAGACCAAGTTGTGAAGGTGGTAAATAACTGATCCCCACTGATCACCAACATCAATTCCATACTGAATTCAAATTTTTGTGCCTAACTTTCCAACCTCCTTAATCTAGCATCACCCTACTTATAAAATCTTATTTCCCACTATTGTTCAATGTCTACTTGCTTAAGAAAGAAAGGATTCACTGTCTCCATTTACATGTAATCTAATTCAAGTGCTTCAGAAATGGCCTGCGATATTCTCAAATAGGAATTGAAACCTTAATTCTCTTTCCCATCTCAATATATGAGGGACTGGACTTGCAAATGAAGGTAAATAAGACATGGACATTTCTTACCCTTAAGAAATCCAACAGTTTAGCAAGTGAGAGATTAAATTATTCCACCATGAAATCAATGCCACTACTGAGGTAGCATAAGGTGCTATGGGAATGCATAAGGGATTCTACCTCTGCCTGATGGAATCAGGAAAACCTTTAACCTTCTGTACACAATCATGTTTATATGTACTTTTACCTTTCTGCCCACATATTCCTCATTATTTCTCCTTCCCGACCAAACTTCTTTCCTTCTTCTTTGTTAATCTAAAATCCAAACTTCAAGGATCAATACAAATTTTTGCTTTTCCAAGATTTCTTTCATTCTTCTCTTTTCTAAACTCCTACTACTCTTAGTACTTCAGTTTATATACTTTTGTTTAAAACACATTAGTCCCCCACTCCTCCCCCTTCCCCCCAACTATATAGTAATTCCCCTGAATTTTTGGCAGACTCTTAAAATCTCAACAATCCACTGTATGGTATCATTCAACTGATATTTTAGCATATAATAATCCTATGTTCTAGTACAGATTAACTGTCCAGCACTGACTATTATGGAAATCCTCAGATCATTTCCAATGATACAGGCTATTTCAAACGTTTTACCAATTTCAGCCATTACACATTTCCAAGCACATCAGTTCAAGTTTTAGTGAATGAGCTCTAGTATGCTTCTAATGTTTTAGATTTTAATATGGGCTTTCCCCACTGTGGAGACTAAAAACAAATAAGCATTCTATCATGACTTAGACACCTTCCAAATTCTCCCCAATCTGGTCTGAGAATACTTTCCCCAGTGATTAAGTCAGCTCAAGTTTGTCTACTTGTTTTACCAAAAGGGGCAGTCCAGAGTTTCTGACAATATATGGGCCTCACCCTTTCATCTTCTACTTTTATTCCTGTAAAATAAAAACTCATTCCAGCAGCCTTCAGCCTCTCAGTGTCTTAGAAGGGAGAAAATGGAGCATAAGAACTAGTAACTGACTGGTAAAAGGGACATAGCTGAAATTTCAAATTATATTTTAAGCTTCATTTAGTTCTAGAACCATTAACAAGTTTCTGTGCAACTACTGATAGATTCTCTGGTTATCAGGTCTTCATTTTTCCCTGTTAAGGTTTATCCTAGCACTGTGGATGACTACAAAACTAGTATTTCCAGTGCAGAACAAATATAAAAATATTAAAATAATACTAAGAAAATGTTTAAGTTTGTTTAAAAACAGAAACTTTAGAAGTAGATAAAAGGCAAAGAAGAGCCAATAAAAGTATAACTGGTGCTTTTGAAGTGAAGAAAAATGAAGTTCAAAGATAGTAACAAAAAAGCTATCTGAAATAAACACTTGATACTGCACACCAAAATGGCTAACGTTGTCTCAGGAAAAAGTGATATATAATTACCATTCCCAAGGTGGAAAACAAGAAGAAAAAATAAGGGCAGCTTAAAGTGGAGCAGTGGGAGTATTAGTTTGGCCTCAAAGTTTTTTACTACAACACATAATGTCAGAAAGCAGGAGAGCAATGTCTATATAATTGTGAGGGGGAAATATGTAAACTAAGAATTTTACACACAGACAACCTGCTCTTAGACAAATAATTCTCATGCACCCAAGATTTTAGGGAACACAGTAATCGTGAACTCTTTAAAAATTTCTTTGCTCTGAAATCTAGCCAACTAAGCGATGAATCAAAATAGTCAAGATTAGGCCAGGCACGGTGGCTCATGCCTGTAATCCCAGCACTTTGGGAGGCCAAGGCAGGCAGATCACTTGACATCAGGAGTTGGAGACCAGCCTGGCCAACATGGTGAAACCCTGTCTACTAAAAGTACAAAAAAAATTAGCCAGGAGTGGTGGCATGTGCCTGTAATCCCTGCTACTCAGGAGGCCAGGGCAGGAGAATTGCTTGAACCTGGGAGGCATAGGTTGCAGTGAGCCGAGATCCGCCACTGCACTCCAGCCTGGGTGACAGAGCAAGACTCCCTCTCAAAAAAATAACAAAAATAGTCAAGATTAGAGGAAAGTAAATAGGACTGGTGGTAGGGACTGAACCAATTTAAATAGAGTACTAATAATGAGAATCATTGGAGTTCAGGTTATTGAAGGAATGTACATGGCACAAGGCTTAGTAATATAAAATAAACTTTAAACAAAAATGTGGGGTAGGCTATATTAGGAGAAAAAGTGTGTAGAAATATGTTCATCTTTCATATTAAGAAAGCAAACACTGCTGTCTAAAGTTAGAAAACAATTTTTATAAGTGAAGCTAAAACTCAAACTTTTAGACAAGTTTCCTTATTAACTTGAGAGAGAACTTCAAGAAACTAATTTCTTGTGGTAAAGAAATATATTAATTCAGCAATCCATTTCATTCCACTTTGATTTCTCTGCCTCTTCTGGTTAAGTGTAAATGAAATTTTCTTTAGCATTTTTACTAAAAAATGGCATGATCCAATTTTTCTAATATTATATCCACTTATATGTATAGACAAATGTCTGAAATGATGCATACAAATAGCAATTAATTTGTTATTTGGGTGGTGGATTTCCCCCCCAACACCGCTTTTTACTTTAATGAAAATGTATCATGTTTTAAAATCAGCCATTATTCTTTAAAAAAAGAATAAAGAACAAAGGTCCTGCACTTTAATTCACAACATGTATCTCTTTCTAAATTTGGCTTAGCTCACTGTCAACATCTTGTCACTCAACAGAGAAGTTTGCTCTTGAATGCAGAATTTACTCTGATTTTCCTTTGTATTCCTCCAAGGAAGTATGGTATAACAGTTAAAAATGCCCAAACCTTTTCTATTCATTATTTAATTTAATCCTCACAACCCTGAGGCAAGTACTTTCCCTTTTTACAGAAAGATGAAATAATTTGCCTAAAAGGTCACATAGTTGTTAGGTGGTAACAAGAAGATTCAAAAACCAAGGTCAGACTACAAAGACAATCACTAGGTTTAGAGTAAGACAGGGCTAGGTTCAAATCCAGATTCTGTTACTAGGAGTGTGATCTTGGGCAAGTGACAAATTTGTCTTCATTTTTTTCCATCTTCAAAACAGGCAGATTACCAGGCTACCTCATTACATGGTTAAAAAAATCAATAAAACTCTTGGTTCTCCATTTGGCACATAGACAGCATTATATTTGGTGATAAGTTTCAAGTTCTTATAACAATAAGACCATCAAGAAGAGTATGATACCACAAAGGTAACTGCAAATAAATGGCAGAGAAACTTAAGTCATGTACCACTGAATCTTAATGAAAAGTGTTTTCATTTTTCTTTGAGTCTATTCACAAAATATTATGATATTCAGGTATTATATAAATAACGGCTTCAGGAATTATAAAATTAAGTAAAATATGACATAATATTAAATCAATTTGGGGCCAAACAGAATAGATTAAGTTCCTGAGCATGAAGGTTACTACTTGGCCCCATTTAAAGTTGCATTGGGCAAACTAGTCCTATTTGAGGGAAAAAATCATCATTTAAAACCATTGCCTTAAAAGTAAAACCACGAATAAATTTTATGCTGTTTATCTCTGAAAATTAGTTTAACTTTTGACTCTACTTTCAAGCCCTAATTACTTCAAATAAAAATTTCCAAGGCGTCTCTGTCCCCTGAAAAATGAACTTTTTATCGAACAAGGAGGCTATAGAAAATGGATTAAAATAGATAGCACTGATCTTAATAAGTAACCTGGCTGAAGTAAAAGTTTATCTGTGTATTTATAATAATTAAAGAACATTTGAAAATAAACTTAACTTTTGAAAGAAGCAATCTCCATCACTTAAAAAGCCACTCTATGGGCTGGGTGCGGTGGCTCACGCCTGTAATCCCAGCACTTTGGGAGGCTGAGGCGGGTGGATCACGAGGTCAGGAGATCAAGACCATCCTGGCTAACACAGTGAAACCCCGTGTCTACTAAAAATACAAAAACAAATTAGCCGGGCATGGTGGTGGGTGCCTGTAGTCCCAGCTACTTGGGAGGCTGAGGCAGGAGAATGGGGTGAACCTGGGAGGCAGAGCTTGCAGTGAGCTGAGATTGCGCCACTGCACTCCAGCCTGGGTGACAGAGCGAGACTCCGTTAAAAAAAAAAAAAAAAAAAAAAAAAAGCCACTCTATGAACCATAAATTCTGAACAGCTAATCTTTTCTATCTTCCAAGATACATATAATTCATTATTTTGACTCTAAGTTTTAGCATAATGACATTTCCAGGTATCAGCAGTAATAATGGTATATAACATTTAATAAATAATTGGGTTAAAAAATAATGGAGCTTCAATATCACTGAATACATTAGTGAAACTTAAGAGACTGCTTTTCTAACCCCCAACAATCTGCACTAAAAGGAATACTTGAACATGCATACCTTAAGTCATCACTTGGTTCTTTTTTTACTGGAGTTTCCATGTACTTGGAGTCTGTTGATTGGTGCTCTCCAGCAACATTGGGCTCCTGGCTTATCTTTGGGACCTCAGAAGTAAATGAGAGCTCCCCTTCATTGGAGACTCCAAAGAGGTCTGGGTCATCTTGAATTACATCAATTAAGAGGACGTCATCTTCATATGCTTTAAGAATATCTGGAAACCCTACCTCTGAAAAATTCTTAGTTATTTTTCTACCCCTAACTTCACTGGACACTGGTCGGAATGTTTCTTGTTCATTACAGCAGAAGGAAGGACTTTTCTCTACATACCCAGGATCACAAGAAAAAGCATTATTTTCAACTGTGAGAGAAGCAACTTCTTTATTAGAAACAATATTGCCTGGTTCAGAGACGTGATTAGATGGTTTGCTATTGTTACCTTGCTTTGTAAAGCTTGGAGAAATACTATAGGATTTCTTATTGTAGAATGAGTCAGAACTAGCTTGCACTGGAGTTACACTATTTCGTATGCTCAAAGTTTGAGGTCCTAACATCATCATGGAGACATTTTCTTTACTCCTGTTCTGTCTTACGTCTGCTCCAGATAAATTGTCCAGAAGTTCTAGAGGACTGTAAGCTTCTCTCTCTGATGACTTGGCATTTACTTCTTTTCTTTTTTCTGATTTATTCTTAAGTAAAGGAATTTTAAAATTAGTCAGCCGTCCTGTGTTCAATATTTTAACCAAGTCTGGAACTATAAATGTTTGTTGAGCAATGCATGCTTTTCGATGAATAGTTTTGCCTGCAGAGTTATTTGCTTCCTGACCATCTTTGGAAGTCGCTGTCAAATTAAGTTTCGTTAAATTTCCTCTAGCTTTTTTTTTATTTCCCGTTAAGCTTTGAGTCTCACTGGTTAATTGAGTATCTTCAGTAGTGTTAGAAATTACCTCTGACCCTCTTCTGCTCAGTTCCTCTGATTTTATCTTTTTATCATCCTTGATTATAGGTTCCTTTATAACCATTAAAGTAGGTTCTACTGCAGAAACTGAAGACAAACAATTAGAATTAGAATCTAATTTTTCTTTACTTGAAGATTCAGTGTTTGTTTCTGTTAAGGAACTTTGTAATAATAATTTGGAGTCAGTTAAATGGGTCTGGTTTGTTTGGTGTTTAGGGACATCAACTTGCCTACAACTTTCCTGAGACCCACGAAGAAAGTAACTTGATTCTGGCAAGGAAGCCTTTTTCCAACACCAGGCAGATATTCTAGCACATGAATAATAGGGCCAAGTTCTTTTACCAGTCATAGGTATTGTTCTCTGACAGCTTAACTTCAATTCTTCAGATGCACTTCTTAAGTCTTCCCGTGAAGATCTCCTTTCAATATGGTACTCATTAGGTGATTTCCCTATGAAGCTTTTCATCGATTTAAAATCCTCTTTCGATGCCATGCTTTCATAACCTAACGGCTCTGAAGCATTCTCTGTTTCTTCTTTCAAAAGTGGTTCAATGGTTTTCTGAAACACAGCATTTACATGATGTTCAGAACTTGTTTCTTTTTCTACTGTTTCTGGGACACTTAATAAATGATCCATCAAAGAGACTGTATTATGGCTTACTTTTCTCAAAACATTTAAAGGACTTTTAGTCTCTGCTTCTTTACCATCAGCAATCATTTGATTTTCTTGCAACATCAACTCAGACTTGTTATACTCATTAGAGAAGTTCATCTCAGTAACTGTTTCATCTGCTTTTTCAGACAACTTCATCCTTTTCCTGGGTTTTCGCCCAACACTGCTCTCCTCTATTGAATATTTATTTTTTTCATGTTGAAGGCAGGAAAGCAAGCCATTGGTTTTACTTTGGTATAAATCACTCTCTTCTGGTAGTAACTTATTTACTCCCATTACATTTTCTTCTGTTTGTAAGAGCTGAGGAATACTATTTGTGTCACTCTTCTCTGCAAGACTCCTAAGGTTTTCTTTCTTTGAGAAATTTTCTGCTACATGCATACATCCACCATCAGGTTTATATGGCAGGTTGTTTTCATCATTACAACCCTTGGAATGGGGGAAACAATTGCAATCACGTAATTTTAAAACGGAATTATTTTCTACTTCAGGTGACAAGATATTACAAGAATATTTTGGAGTATTCTTGTACAGTTCATCTTGGAATTCAACCTTAATATTTTGTGTAGCCTCATTTTCGGTTATTTTGAGAGGTGGGTTTTCTAAGCTTTTAAGTTTTTTATTTCGAATTCTTCTTTTAATACCTTCTATTATACTTTCCTTACCCAAAGACTGCAAGCATTCCACTGTTTGGAAAGATTCCGAACTGGTTAATGATTCCTTTCTTACCAAGTCAAGCCCTGGCTGTGGATCATCACTTGAGGCTTCAGTAACTTTTCTTTTTTCCTTGGCTGATCAAAACAACAAAATATATCAGAAAAGATTTTATATTGAGGAGGAAAATGCAATTATCATTGAAATTAAAAATTGTGAGGCTATCATTTTTATTTCCCTGAACAGCTGTATGTAAATACACATTTGTTTTTAAATGAAAGCCTTAATTTCTGTTAAGGAATTACATATAAACCTGTATAAATTCTAAGGCAACTGAATAACCCTTATAACATCGTCATCTCATACTAGCCAAAATGGACCACAAGTAGGAATTCCTCCTATCATAATTCTGACCAAGGATTCCTAACAGGGAACACCCCTTTTAAGGAAATCCATTTTTCCCATCTCCTGGTCAACTATGTGCATCAGAAATAACCATGCAGGTTCAAGTTAAAGACTAGTGGTAAAACAAAGATGGAGCACGCTGAGGTACAAGGGCTAAAGGTAAGTGATCGTGGATGCTTTCTTACTGTGTCTTTCCGTTTGCAAGGGGAGTTCAGCCTCCTTTGCTGCTTCTAGGCCTCGCGGGTCTGACGAGTCTGACGGGCTCACCGGGCCCCTGCGCCCCTCCACCTGACGCCTTGCGGCCTTTCCAGCCCCTGATGCTGCAACCGACTTATCACTTTCCACCTCGCCTCTCCCAGGGGTGGCCCGGGCCACCATTCTCCTCTTTTGCTTATTTTCCCGGCACCCCCCGGCCTCAGGGCCACAGCCTCCCGCCGCGCCTGGCCCTGGCGCCTGCCGCTTCTGCAGGTTTCGCACATTGCCTTCAGGCCCTGAGGCCGTCGTGGGGCCCAGGGGTGGAGGTCGTCGCATGTGCCCCGGGGCCGGCCCGCTGGGGCCCCTCTGCACCAGCTCGCAGGAACCCACCGCGGTGCAAACGCTGCTCCCGCCTGGAGGTACCTACTGCCCTCTGACCCACCCCACACCGCCAGTCACCACAGCCCGGGGCCGGAAGCGGAAGTGGGGCGCGTAAGCGGAAGTGGGGCCTCGTGTCTGGGGCCCCGACTGGTGCTTCGGGATCCAACGGGCAGGAGAGCCGCGAGTTCCGTGCCAGCGTCTTTTTGGAGGGCCTCTCGCGGAGCTCCGAGGGAGGCAGTGGCCGCGCCCGATTGCATTGCGAGGGACTGTAGTGGGGCTCATCACATAACAGGCCTCCGTTGGCCCTTCCACTAGGCTGAGCTTCCTGGAACCGTTCAGGGCTCATTCTCCCAGCTGCTGCTCTTCGCGCCTTGGCTGCTCGCAAAGGCCACTGTCAGTGGCTTGTAACTCCACACCAAGTCTCCTAGAAGCCCCTGTCTAACTGTCTTCCTGATATATTCACCCGGATATTCCATATTCCACAGGCACCTCACACTCAGATGGGCAAACCAGCTCATCGCTCCTCACAAGCTTGCTCCTTTCACATAGGTGGATGCGCCACCATGCGCCTAATTGTTTAAGCCAGAAACCTAGAAACCATCAGAGACAACCTTCTTTCTACTTCATCCCTCACATCCACTTTCACTAGATCTACTTGACTGTATTTTGTTTGTCAGCCACTCTCCCGTTTGCCATTACCGTGGCTCTGGCCCTCAGACTTTCTTGACTGACCTACTGCATCAAGCCTCTGAATCCATCCTTGAGCTATTCCAGTCAAACGTCCACCTCCTTGCCAGGCCATGCCTCTCCGATGACAGGAGATCCTAGCACTTCTCAGTTTGACCCTTCATGAACTTCTTTTGCTCAAAGACTAAAACTAACAGAAATCCAAACTCTGGTGTGGTATCTGTGACCCTATCTGATGTGGCCTCTGAAAAATTAACTAGTTTTCTCTTACTGCCACTGTAGGGTAAAAGTTGTGCTTTGATGGAAAACTACATAGAAGTCACCCTTCTGAATTATCTGATTCTGATTCTATGGGAGTTATTTTACAACTCTGTAAATTATAGATAAGCGATAGCAACACAAAATAACGGTCTATAGAAATCCAAATTCTGTCCAATAGAAGTTTAATTGACTTCCCATTTTCACTGTGGAAGAAGCTAGTTTTGCCTCCATTTCCACATTCACTTCATTCCTGGTCTAGAATGTTTGTTGTTTGGACTTACCCTTTGAACCAATGTTTATAAAATCTGCCTGATGGGAGAATATAATCTTTAATACATGTTCATCCATGACAGCCATTATTTTCTCTTTTTTGAAAATTATCTCTTATCACCACACATAGCCTGCCCATAAGCCACGTTGGACTACTACCTGAAGTTCCCCAGATTTCATATACTTTTGTTATGCTTGTGCTTCTGTACCTGACAGTCCTGGAAAGTCTTCCTTTGCTTGTCTGCCTGGTAAACTACATATTTCCCCTTCAAGATTCATGCAAGGATCACCCATCAAGGAAGCCTTCCTGCAACTGTTCTTGCACTTTGAGGGGTAAAGTGTTCCTTCCTGTCTGCGAACACACAGTTCAACTATTTACTTGTGTGTCTCCCTTAGTAGCTTCCTTCCAACCAAGTGCAGATACCTTCCATTAATCTTTGCTTTCTGTGTGTTTAAAGAAGGACCTGGTGAATTTGAATACAATGCATTAAAGAATGGTAGGTATGATGCATAGAGTGTGACTAATATGGCAGTTTGGATGAGAAGCTCAGGTCAAGTATTCTGAGGAGCTTTTATAAAATAGAACTTAAGTAAAAGAGGTGTAAAAGATACAGAAATTATCCTTGTTTCTTTCTCTTTGTAAGTACCCTTAGTAAAAGGAAAATCAGTTTAAGACTAGCAGAATTTATAAAAAGTTATCATAAGCACTTCAGGCTCATTCCACATTCACTTTATGCCTCACTTTATATATCACTTTCCTCATCTGTAAAATGAAATAGTGTGTCCTCAGAGTTCTCATGAGAATTAGATGTGCCAATATTTGTAAAGCAGTTAGAATAATGCCTAGTTGATTATAAACATTAAATAGATTTGTTAAGTAAAAACTTCAACACACACACACACACACACACACACACACACACACACACACACTCTCTCTCTCTGAGTCAGAGTCTCACTCTGTCACCCAGGCAGGAGTGCAGTGGTGTGAACACAGCTCACTGCAGCCTTGATCTCCTGGGCCCAAGTGATGCTCCCACCGTAGCCTCAGGAGTAGCTGGGACTACAGGTGTGCATCACCACACCCAGCTCATTTTTTTTTTAATAGAGATAGAGTCTCCCTATGTTGCCCAAGCAGGCCTTGAACTCCTGGCCTACAGTGATTCTCCCACCTCAGCCTTCCAAAGTGCAGGGATTATAGGTGTGAGCCACCAGACCTGGCCTCAATATATATTAAAAGGTAGACTCTATAGAATTCTGACATTTACTACCTTCAAAATAAACATTGCTACTAGGATGTTAGTAAAATAAAGATAAAAATTCAAGAGTCCGGCCTCTGGTCTGAACCTGGAGCCCACTGGCAGGCACCCACTGCCTTCGGCCCACTTTAAGGACAGATGGTGTTAAAGTTGGTTATAGGCCCAGGAATTTGAAACTTTTATGACCCATAACTGTCAAACAATTTGTAGAACAGGAATGAGAAGAACTTAGTAGCATAGGAAATTCCAAAATCAAGTGCAGTCGTCCCTCCCTATCTGTGGGTTCTGCATCTGCAGATTCAACCAACTGTATAACAAAAATATTTGGAAAAAAAAAGAATAAAAATACAAAATTAAAAAACAATGTAACAATTATTTACATTGTATGAGGTATTGTAAGTAATGTAGAGATGATTTAAAGTATACAGAAGGATGTGGGTAGGTTATATGTAAATACTATGACATTTTATGTAAGGAACTGAATCACAGATTTTAGTATTGAGAGAGGTCCTGGAATCAACCGTCTGTGGACATTGAGGAAGGACTGTATACTTAGGGTTCTGCATAGTAAAATTTTAGTCTTTATTACAGCTTTTAAAATCCTCACACCAAACTGCTTTCAAATGGAAAACTTGAGGTTAGATGTCTTTATAAAAAGTTTCCATTGGATCTTCTGTTCTATTCTGTGAAATGATTATCATAATTTTACTTATTATGCATGGCAATATCTGGAGAGGGAAGGCATTATCATTTATCAAAAAAGACTGTCTTCCTAGTGGGAGACCTCACATACTTGGGAAACCAGAACATGGAGCAGAATGTTTACTCATAGCTATTGGGTTGCATCTCAGCCCACACAGAGATGACCTTCTATGGGTGCCTAAGAGTCCCTTCTCTTCTAGTCCTTTCCCTTTTCCTTTTCTACCCATGTGCTCTTGTCCCTGCATCCTGGCTGACAATATTGCCCAGCCCTTGAAGTCAACCTCAGGGTCACCACTTCTCCAATGTCCTAGTTCTATCCAGAAAAGAGGACAGCAGAGCTACATTCTCTGCATTCCACAACTCTAAGTTGTAGATTATTGATCCTCTGGACTAGCTACATAATTTATGGGCCCCAGTACAAAATGAAAACTCACACAGCCCTTTGTTCAAAAATTAAAAAGTTTCCCCATTTCTTTGGGTCTTCATTTCTAAAGGCTTCTGTGTCATGTAAAACTTAAGGAAGTTTGTGAGCTTTCAGCCAGGCGTGGTGGCTCACACCTGCAATCCCAGCACTTTGGGAGGCTGAAGCAGGAGGATCGCTTGAGCCTAGGTGTTCAAGACAAGCCTGGGCAACACAGTGAGACCCTGTCTCAAAAAAGAAAAAAAATTAAAAACTTTCAAGACAGTGACAGCAGAACATTAAACCAAGTATGGAACCCTGTGCAGCTACACAGGCCATGTCCCCATAAAGCTGACCTTGTAGATTCATGTTCTATTTATACAAACATCTATAAGACTAACAGTCCTCTCTATTGCTAATATTTGTCAACTCTAACATCATAACTTCTATCCTTTATTATGCCAGTCCTTGGCCAGTTTGCAGTTAGAGCAATTCCATACCCTTTTTCTGCCCTGCTATGACTTGCAGGGGCCAGCTCCTGAATCTGCATTTTCCACATTCCTGGGTCAGCTGGCTTTGAGTGAGACTCGACCAATAGAGAACCCTGGCAGAATAAAGAAGGGAGAGTTTTCCCACATTGCTTTCTGCCTTGAACTGCCTAGCAGACCACTGGTACATCTCCCCTGGGGCTCCATTTCTTGCTGGAGGGGCTCTCTGTGGGGGCAGCTTCGGCTATGTGCCTTGAGGTCCCTTTGCCGCTCCAGCCTAGAAGTGGTAGTTGCTTTCTGCTGTTATTAATATCTGGGCACCACAAACCTCATTTGATTTCTCAGTTCTTCTATCCCATTCTCTGAAGTACATGCCTGTTTTGTTGGGAGTGATGAGGTTCAGAACATGCTACCCCAAAATATGGCACCTTGGCATTTGAGAAAACAGCAGAAGCAAGGTCACTTTCACCCTCCCCTGCCCTTTTGCCCTGAAACAGGCCATAAAATCCAGCTGACTTTTTCCTGAAGTAGGCCATAGACCCTCATTCCAGAGGTGCCCTTCCTATTCCTGGAAGAAAGCAATATCCTTATCTCTGAAGACACAGGGACACAGAGAAGAACGTGAACAAACAAGTCTTGCTAAGCTCTCCCCAGTTTATTACCATTAGATCACACCCCCTTTGTCCAATTATACTTCTGTACAACTGTCCACTCTTTAAGCATAAAAATACGCAAGTTTCACCATTTCTTTGAGTCTTCATTTCTGAAGGCTCCTGTGTCATGTAAAACTTAAATTTGTGAGCTTTTCTCTTGTTAGTATGTTTTTATTATAGGTGCCTCAGTCATGTACCTAGTGATGATTATGAAAATAATTATCTTCTCCCCTATGGAAGGAAATATTTTTTCATCCTTCGATTTGGGTCCAGTGTTTGGGGGTCTGCAAATTAACTGACAGTAGACATATTAATAGGAGAAAAGACAAAATTTGTGTAGTCACTCTGGATCCTTTAGATGAAACGGCTACTCAATCAGCCAAAGATAGTTTATATATCCACTGAATAAGGAGAAAGGAGGGGGAGAAAGGGCTTCTATGGAAGAACGAGTGGAAAGTTTGGTTCAGATGAAGTTTAAGCAATTACTAATTCCATTGATAATAGTCTTTTTTTCCGGCTGTAAATCATTCAGAGAGGGAATTATGGTGGCTGGTATTTTCTGGGAGGTCCTGCTTAACTCAGCAAAAGAAGTTTAGATAAGGTCCGCCCGCCTCCTGCCCTCATGGCTGCTGTTTGTTCAGATGGTTTTAGCTTAAAATAATCTTTATGCCACTGAGGGGCATTTTAGATTCCTACAGTTTAAAATACTTAATTTCTTTTTTCCTGGTAAGAGAGCCCCCTCTGTAGCTAAAGGAAGCTGGAAGAAACAGTGTGAAAGCAAAGACTTGTTCAGTCACAGTGGCAGAAGATGTTCTTTCACTGTCTTGAAATTGGCGTTTAAATAATGCAAGAATAAATTTTGTGTTCTCCCAAAACATGGTCACTTATCTTTTCTGCTAAACATTCCCCACATTTTCTCCAAGTTTGGCTTCTTATTCAATTTCTGATTGTAAATCATCTGCCTAGGAATATTATCCAATCCAATGTTCAGCAGACAATAACATATCGGTATCTCTCAAATGTTAAAAAAAATTAGTGATCCTATTTTACCTTGGAGAAAAATGAAAGGTTTCAAAACCTGCCACTTGTCTCAAGTAATTTTACGTCTTGAAGTCCAGACTTCGGAATCTCAATTAACTTTGTATCCACTAGAGGGCCCCAGATCAGAGCCGCCAACGATGACTCACCCTCTTTCCTCAGGCTGCAGGAACTCCAGGCTCTTTAATCTTAAGAGCCTCTCTGATTGTGTCATTGAGTCGGAAGAACTCAATTACTCAATGTAATAAGTCCAAAATGGAACACAATAGGAATCTGTGAGCAGAATAGGACCTTGAAATAATCTAGTCTAACCTCTCCGTTTTGCTCCTGAGAGGCAAGAGCAGCTAAGTAATTTAAAAACGCGGTGAATTAATCATTTCCTAAGCGTTTCCTCTTGGTTGCTGCCTAGCCGCCTGTGCTTCCAAACTGACCATTCTCCAGGAGGCAAGAACCTCTGGTCTGAGAGAGACGGAAGCAAGCTTATTCTACTGCTTCTGCACCCGCCCCACACCTAAGAATGCCTAAGGTGGATGTGCCCATACTCTGGCATCTCTGGAAAGGATCTTGTAATATTTATCCCTCTCAAATTTTCAAGTTGGGGCCGGGTATGGCGGCTCAGGCTTGTAATCCCAGTACTTTGGGAGGCTAAGACGGGTAAATCACTTGAGGTCAAAAGTTCCAGACCAGCTTGGCCAACATGGTGAAACCCCATCTCTACTAAAAATATGAAAATTAGGCCGAGTGTGGTGGCTCACTCCTATAATCCCAGCACTTTGGGAGGCTGAGGCAGGTGGATCACTTGAGGTCAGGAGTTCGAGACCAGCCTGGCCAACATGGTGAAACCCCACCTCTATTAAAAATACAAAAATTAGCTGGGCATGGTGGTGCACGCCTGTAGTCCCAGCTACTAGGAAGGCTGAGGCAGGAGAATAGCTTGAATCTGGGAGACGGAGGTTGCAGTGAGCCGAGATGGCGCCACTGCACTCTAGCCTGGGCGACAGGGCGAGACTCCATCTCAAAAAAAAAAAAAAAAAAAATTCAAGTTGGATTAGGGCCATCATTTCAGTGTATTATTTTGTTTGTTTGTGGAGGAGTAAATAAAGCTAGAAAAGATGAGGTATGGGGTAGTGGGGTGTTCCAAAGAGTGGCGTGTTCCAAAGAGTGGTGTGTTCCAACAGGAGATCACAGAATGTTTGACCCTGAGGCCAGCCTCTTCTCAGGAGGGGCTGTATATTGAGCCAAAGTTCAGGGACCTGGAGGAAGGAGAGAAGCTGAACCAAAGTGTGAAACATGCATTTTGTTCCAATTGGTCAGTGGGGACAAGTAGTTCAGCTAATGATTTATGAAGCAGAGTAAGATTGGTGTCTGGCCTCGTCATAGATAATTAAGGTGAGTATCTGTGAGTCTTATCTCAGTTACATGGGGAAAGGTGGTTCTTTGCAGTAAGCTGTTTCTTGGAACATAAGGGCAGGGAGATATCTTATCCTTCCCTTTTCCAGGGTCACAGGGCACAAGTAAAATTCAATATTGCTACCACTCTACAATGGAAGTTCCCTCCCATGCACTTTTCCGGTTTGATTTTCCTCACGACAGTGCCATATAGTGTACTTGCTCATTTTCAGTCTTCCCCAACCCTTAGCTAGAACAGGGCCTTTTTTCATGCCCTGCTATATCTCTATTAATGAAAACAGTGCCTGGCACACAGGTGCCAAGTAAACATTTGTTGGCTGCGTGGGGCCTGTAATTTTTTTGGAGGGGTTGTGGAATAGCAGGACTGTCAGGGTCATGGCTCAGGAAGCTGATCTGGAAGGAATGTGCAGCATTGTAGGAGGAAACCAACTTCCTTGGGGAACCCTCTCCACAGTCCACGTGGGAAGGATGAGGACTGTGATAGAGTGAAACACTGACAAATGAGGTTACAGATTCAAGGGATCCTTAGGAAGAAAAATTTCTCTTTGAGAGCCAAGATAGTCTTATTTCAATCTCTTAAAAATTGATAAATAATAATTGCACGTACTTATGGGGTACAATGTGATGTTTTGACATATGTATACATTGCAGAATGATTAAGTTAAATCAAGCTAATGAACATATCCATCGCCTGATATATTTCTTTTTGTGGTATGAAATCTATCTTAGCAATTTTGAAATATACATTATTACTAACTATAGTCACCATGCAGTGCAAAAGATCTAAAAAACTTGCTCCTCTTAACTAAAACTTGGCACTCTTTGACCAGCATCTCTCCATCACCAACCCCCTAGCCCACCATTCTAATCTTTGCTTCTGTGAGTTTGACTTAAAAAAAAAAAGATTCCACATATAAATGAGATCGTGTGGTATTTGTCTTTCAAGAGTGTCATATTGATCTCTCTTCTCTCAGCACCTAGCATGATGCCTTGCCACTGGTCAGTCCTTAAAAATAAATGTCATGATGTCTCCATGGATATTCAGAGGAGTGTTGGGAAGAGTTTGTATATATCTATATTGAAGAACATCAAGACTGAAAACAAGAGCAAATGTGCATCTTAAAAAGGGTATAAAAAGGAAAGAATTCCCAGCCCTGGCATTGTCTTCAATACTTACTTTCCTTTGAAGGAGAACTGTATTGACAGAAGAACATCACATATTTGGTGGCACCAAAGAGCTAGATTGCTTTCTTCTGTTTCTCTAAGATCTATCTTTCAATAGCCACTGCCCATGTAGCCACCCCTTATCCCCACAGCCTGGTCAAAAGCACTGACACTATCAGGCAACTTATAGTCCTAGGCCTCACTTGTCACCCCTCAGGATATATGCCTTCAACAGTAATGGTTGTCTTAGACTTGGCACACATGGAAGCAGTGTAGACCGTGGGCTCTGGTGCCAAACAGCCTGGGTTCAAATTCTGGCTCCAGCATTTACCAGCCCTGTGACCTTGGGCTAGGTATATAATCTTTATGCCCTAGTTTCCTCCTCAGTAATAGTAATACTTAACTCATCCAATTGTCCTGAAGATTAAATGTCAATGTAATAATGCTTGGCATGAAGAAAGCACTAAATGAAGCGTTAGCTTTAGGAAATCCTCTTTTAATAATTGTACTGTGTATCTCCAGTTTACTAGTGAAGTTCTATTTATATTCAGCACTCTGATCCATGTCCATGCCAAGAGATTCAGCAAAGGGCTGAGAGAAAACACTGTCTTGTATGCATTAGTTTCTAAGATTTTACATGATATGCCAGCATTCATATCTTGACACACTGTAGAATGCATACCTGCACCCCCGACCCCAGCCCCCAACAACATTCCCTGGTCCTTTTCTCTTATCTAATTCACAGTCTCTGGTATGGACTTTTTGCATGAAACACAAGGCGTAAGTCAATGGATGCTGACTTGGTGGGAGGGGGAGCTTCCTATTTCTCAACGCTTAAAACCTGGAACACCCAGTGATGTCAGAAATTTGTCCTTTCAGTCAACATATACTTATGAAGCAGCTATTATGTTCTACATCCTGTGCCCAACCTAACCCTTAATGCAACATAGTTCAGTAAAGAAAACAGATGACAAATAACTTCACGAGGTTCCCTTCCACATAGAGTTGAAAAGAGGGCTTGCAGGCTGATCCAGCACTTTTTCTCACATACTGCCTGGCACCTATTGATATAGTGTGGCTTTGGTTTATCCAGGAAGTGGCTAAGCCAGCATTAGGTTGAAAAGGGTTACATGTTCATGAGGCAATTCAAACTGTACAGAGGCACATAAATTAAATTAAAAAGTGAAAGTCTTTCCTCCAATAGCTTTTCCCAGAGGTAACCACTCTTAGGTTGGGTGTCCACTTCTCCAGATTTTCTATAGATGTACAATTAACATATATATATGAAACATGTACAATATTTTGTTTGGATATAAACTTTCCTCAAAACAAAGCAGTTTCTATTGTTGCTCAACTTGTCTGAATTTATTTTTCCCCCAATATATTTTGTGGTTTTTTTTTCAGATATTGATTTACAAAGTTTTCATAGAAATTGTAGCCCTCTCTTCCATGACCCAAGCAAATACTATGTGGAATAGTGCTATGTAAATAAAGATTTTTGATAACCAAGGGAACGGAAGGAGCAGGGAAGATATACAACATTTTTACTATTTTTCTCATTGCAGGGACGACTAATTAAAAAGTTAGAAATAAAATTAAAATATGATTAAGTTTGAATTCATACTTAATGATTGTGTTCCTGTGTTCCTGATAGTTCAATTTTCAGTTTTATCCATTTTTATTATTAATTGTTTAGGATTCCTATATCTTCCTAAGAATTTGCCATTTTATCTTTATGAAACATCCCTCTATTTCTGGCAATACTCTCTGCCTCGATACTACTTAGATTCCTTTTTTTTTTTTTTTTTTGAGGTGCAGTCTCGCCCTGTCACCCAGGCTGGAGTGCAATGGCGCAATCTCGGCTCACTGCAACCTCTGCGTCCCAGGTTCAAACGATTCTCCTGCCTCAGCCTCCCTAGTAGCTGGGATTACAGGCATGTGCCACCATGTCCAACTAATTTTTGTATTTTTTAGTAAAGATGGGGTTTCACCATGTTGGTCAGGCTGGTCTCGAACTCCTGACCTCGTGATCTGCCCACCTTGGCCTCCCAAAGTACTGGGATTACAGGCGTGAGCCATCTACTTAGATTCTTAAAAATAGCCCCCTGGCATTCTTACGGTTAGTGTTGGTATATAGTTTATCTTTTGTTATATTTGTTTCTGTCATTTCCCTTTAACCTGTCTGTAGGCCTCATGTAATAACATATAGTTGGGTGTTGCTATTTTTTTTACCTAGTTTGACATTCTCTTAATTTAATCTCTTGAGGATTTAGCCTTTAGGCTTTATTTATTTATTTATTTTTAGATGGAGTCTTGCTCTGTCATCCAGGCTGGAGTGCAGTTGCCCAGTCTCAGCTCACTGCAACCTCTGCCTTCCAAGTTGAAGCAATTCTCCTGTCTCAGCCTCCGGAGTAGCTGGGATTACAGGCATGTGCCACCATGTCCAGCTAATTTTTGTATTTTTAGTAGAGACAGGGTTTCACCATGTTGGCCAGGCTGGTCTCGAACTCCTGACCTCAAATGATCCGCCCACCTCAGCCTCCCAAAGTGCTGGGATTACAGGTGTGAGCCACTGTGCCCGGCCTTAGCCATTAATATTTAAAGTAATTACTGATATGGTTGGATTAAATCTACTGTCTTGCTGTTTGCTTTCTGTTTTTCCCATCTGTTCTTTTGTCTCCCTTTCCTGACTTAAAAATTTTTTTTAGGAATTTAGATATATTTTATTATTTTATATCCTTTTTGCTGGCAGTGGTGGAGGGGTTAAACAGTAACCTGTTGTTTTTAGTAACTAGAAATTATATGTATCCTTAACTCATTACATCTGCCTTAAATTGGTACTTTACCATTTCCTGAATCATATAAGAACCTTTAACAATGTAATTCCGCTTACCATCTCTTGCTCTTTATGACATTGTCATATTTTACTTATACATGTTATAACCCCTTAGAATGCATTGTTGTTATTGTTGCTGTAAATAGTTAGCAATCTTTTATAACATTTTAAACAGTCATTTATATTTGCCCATTTATATTTCTTAAGATTTCTTGCAGTGAGAGTACATGGGGGGAGAAATTCTTGTTGTTTTATTTGTTGAAGAATGTCTTTATTCCACTTTGTTTTATAGAATATGCTTTCATTGGAGATAGAATTACAGGCTAGCTTTTATTTTATTTCTTTCCCCTTTAGGCACTTTAAAGAAATAGTTCCATTGTCTCTGGCTTCCATTTTTTTGTCGTTGTTGTTGAAAAGTCACTGTTATTCTTATTGCTGTTCCCCTGAATGTAATGTGTCTTTTTTTCTGACAGTTTGAGATTTTCCCATTATTTTGGATGTACAGTAGTTTAACTATGTGTAATTTTCTTTATATTTGTCTGCTTGGGGTTCACTGAGCATCTTGAATGTAGCAAGGGCTTGTTCCCTTCTCTGGTATTTCCTCTAGATTTCTTCTCCTTTGCCTTTAAAAATATTTAAAAATTTTTTGGTTATTATGATAAGAGCAATGATTTCTTGCAACTCCCTAGGATGAAAGCTGAGTGCTCTGCCTCTGATATTTAATTCATCTATTCACAAGATAATTTAATGGGTAGTCAACTAAGCTTCTTTTACTATATTGATTCAAACCTATCAAAGTAAAACAATGCTCCTTCACCTGAATCAATAGCACACACGCACATACACACATATACACACACTAACCTTTTCAGTTCTAGGATATGTAGCTGGTTATTTGCTTCTTTGCAGATTTTATTATCATTTTTTGAGACAGAGTCTCTTACTCTTTTGCCCAGGCTGGAGTGCAGCAGTGTGATCATGGCTCACTGTACCCTCCAACTCCCAGGCTCAAGTGATCTTCCCACCTTAGCCTCCTGGGTAACTGGGTCTACAGTAACTGCACTACCATGCCTGGCTAATTTTTTAAAATTTTTCATAGAGGCGAGGTCTCACTATGTTGCCCAGGCTGGTTTTAAACTCCTAGCCTCAAGCAGTTTTTCCACCTCAGCCCCACAAAGTGCTGGGATTACAGGCATGAGCCACTGTGCCCAACCTTCTTTGCAGACTTTAAAATGTCACTTTTTGTTTCAGGAACCTGACTGAAATTTGTTTGGCTTTAATCTGCACGAGCATAGGTGTTTGTACATTCATCTGGTAATTCTACTATCTGTAGCAGTTGTGGGTCTGTCTCTGTACTTGTTTCTTTCATCTGTGCTGGGTCTTGGTCACATTTCTTAGCTTCTTGTGTACCTGGTTATATTTGACTATATTGATTGTTTATGAACATACTTGAAAAAATTCTTTATAGATTTATAGAAATATGTAGGATTATATTATCTTCCTCCAGAGAAGATTTTTCAATTGTTTGCTTCAGGCACCCAGCAGCACTAGCAATGTGGGACCGCCTGTATCCAGCATTAACACAAGATTTTCCTGACCCCCAAATGAGTCTTGGAGTTTACGCAAGGGGCGATTTACTTATAGTTCACTTGCATTTCTAGGGTTCAGCCTGTTAGGCTTACGATACTAAGTGAGGAATTTTTTGCTGCTGCTTCCCTCTCTTGATCAGCTCTCAACTTCACATTTAACCCCATAGCCTTGAGAGGCTGTCAGAGGTATGACTCAGTCTCTCAGTTCCTCCACTTATGCTTTCTAGATTTGGCAAATAAAAATGCAGAACACCTAGTTAAATTTGAATTTTAGATTATCAAAAAATAATTTTTTAGTACAGATATATCTCCTACAATATTTGGAACATACTTATACTAAAATTATTCATTGTTGGCTGGGAGCAGTGGCTTACACATGTAATCCCAGCACTTTGGGAGGCTGAGGTGGGAGCCTGAGCCTAGGAGTTCGAGACCAGCCTGGGCAACATGGTGAGACCCTATCTCTACAAAAAATACAAAAATTTAGCCGAGCATGGTGGTGCACGCCTGTAGTCCCAGCTACTCGGGAGGGTGAGGCGGGAGGATCACTTGAGCCTGGGAGGTAGAGGCTGCAGTGAGCCAAGATCACACCACTGCCACTCCAGCCTGGGAAACAGAGGAAGACCCTGTCTCAAAAACAAACGAAAAATTACATAATTGAGATTGTTTATGGCTAAAAGCCATGGAGGAATTATCTGTGAGTGACTAGAAGATTCTTTAGCTTGCCCAAGTCTTCATCTAGGATCAGGAGATTATTCCTTACTACAGAAAATTTACAGGGCTAGAGGAAGACAAAAATAAAGTTTAGTTTTGGTCAGGTTATGCATTTGTTAAAACAAAAAAACCCTACTATTCATATTTGAGTGTGTTCTATAAGAGACATGGCATTTAGGCCTCCTACCAGCTCTATGAGGATGGGCTTGTTGCCAGGACACTCAGTTAGGGACACTGAGACTCAGAGGAGTGTCCTCCTTCAGCAAATTGGAGCAGGGTGGACATTTACACCCATTTGCCCAACTCCTTGGCCTGCGAAGTTCCTCACTGCACTACAGTGCCTCCCATGAGTGTATTTCTCTAGTGCTTCCTGGGGATTAAAGCATCAGTATATTTTATTTATCCTTCTGGTAATGCCATGAAGTGGGCCAGTGGGTGGTGATAGCCCCAGTTTTACAGAGGAAAATTGTAGAGATTCCAAGCCTTGCTCATGGCTACTGGTTCTGTGGCCTGTTTTTGGATTCTTGCTCTGTTGGTCTTTCTCTATTTCTCTAGGGTGCCTTTCAGAAACTAACTTTGCTGAACCTGAGGGTTATGCTTAGAGAAATTTTCTATTGACTAACTTTTGAAAAGTTGTGAAATACACACCCACAGAAAAATATGCAGAACACACGTTTGGCTTAAGCAAAGGTCTTTGTAGACACGAGCAGCTCAAGGAGCAGTATGTCAGCACCCCAGAAACGCCATGTGCCCTGACCACAATCCTGCCTCTTCAAAGGTAGTGCTGTGTCTTTCATGGCCTTTCTTGCCTTGCTTTACAGTTTTACCAGCTACATGTACTTGTATGTCTTTCAACACTATAGTACAGTATTGTTTTCAAACTTTATATAAACTGAGTTGTATTGGTGTACTATTTTGTGTTGAACTTTTTTTATTCAACATTGTTTTAAAGGTTCACCTATATTGCTATACATAGCTCCAGCTTGCTTTTATTACTGTATAATAAATTTCACTGTATGAACATACCAAAGGAATGTATTTATTTACTATTGGATAATAGGATTGTTTCATGTTTTGGCTGATTGTAGACAATATAATGTTTCTGTATGTGCAATATGAAGACATTTCTGTAGGGTGGCATGGAATTTCTGGATCACTGGGTGTGGCCATGGTAGTATGTGTGCTGGAGCTTCCTCAGACTGTCCCCCAAGAGCCACTTGTTAAATTTCCTGAAATTTTATGAGCAAATTGTTAACACAGCTATTAATAGTTGAATTATATAAACTTATAATTAAAAATTATGTTAAAAATAAAGGTGACACATATTGAAGACTCATCACTTTCTAGTTATTTTACAACATTTATATTATTATCTATATTTTTGAGATTCCTTCTGTTTATTTTATCTATATGGTGGAAACACTATATAATGGTGTACTATTGTGCATCTTTTCTCAATTCTGCATTCGGTAATGTCATTTTGGTAGCTTGAAATCAGTCATAGTGGGAGTATTTACACAATGGAAATAAGAAAACACTACAAGGCTTTCCCTCTGGAGAGCTGGTTGTTAAAACATTTGGCAGCCCACCACTGGATATGTGTCGTCAAATTTATCAGAAAATTCCAAACTGTTTTCCCAAGTTGTACCAATTTGCATCCCTACCAGCAATTTCAGAGTTCCTGTAGATCCTTGCCAACACTTACATTTGATTCTGCTGGGCAAGTAGCAGTATCTAATTGTGGTTTTCATTTGCATTTCCCTTCAGCACTTGTCTTGTTTATTGGCTATTTGGATTTCCTCTTTCTGTGAAGTGCTTCTTCAAGTCTTCTGCTCATTTTTCTATTATGTTGGCTGTCTTTCTTATTATTTTATAGGAGATCTTTTCTCTTACAAAGGTTATGGACCCTTTGTTGATTAGGTACATTGCAAATATGTCTTGTGACATTTCATTTTTTCCTTTCTTGTTGTAAAACAGGCACAAAAAACCACATAAAATGTAGCTTAATAGGTTGGTATAAAACAAATCCCTTGCAATCACTACCCAGGCTGAAAAATAGACCTTTGCTGACCACTTCGGAGGTAGTGCCTCTGTGCCAATCACAGCCTTTCTCTCCTCCCTAAAAAGACTATCCAGATGTTGACAATCATCATTTCCTCACTTTTCTTTGTAGTTCTAGCTACAAATGAGCATCCTTATGTGCAATAGTCTGGTTTTGCTTTTTTAAAGATAAATATCTTAGAAGTCTCTTAATTTACAGGTTCTCTCCTCTCTTTCTTTTTGCAATTTGAAGACATCAAGTCATTTGCCCTGTAAAGTTTCGCATAGACTGGATTTTGATGATTGAATCCCTATAATGTAAGCTATCATTTTCTAATATCTTCTGAATTTTCTGAGCTTTGATCCTATTCAGGTTTTTTTTTCCCCAAGGTAACTTTGTAGATGGCAATGTGTTTTTGCACTGGGAGGCACTTAATGTCTGTTCCTCTCTCCTTCTGTGATATTACTAGCCCCTGATGTTCAACACCTACATTCATGAATTCATTAGGGAGTGCAAAGTGGGGAGATTCTAAATCTATTATTCTGTCATATATTTGTTCAATTTACTTTTTTGAAAGAGTTTGTTCTCTGTCCTGATCCAGAAGTGATTTTTTTCTTTTAGTAACATTTCGTGATGCATTTACTTATGACCTATGTATTTGAGTATCTGTCTACCACCCTTATCTTTTTATGGCTGTGCAAATTCTCTCATCTCTGGTTGTGGGAGCCTCATGAAGAAACACTACCTTATTAGTCTTTGATAGCATCCCTGTTTTCTGATATGAAAAGATGTTACAGGCTCATCTTGGTCATTTCCTATTCTGGCCCTGGAATAATTCATTTCTCCAAGGAGCCCTAGTTCCTTTTAATAGGAAATGGTGTTTCAAGACCATAGTCTGGGTGCCAGGGTGCTCATTGTTCACAGGATGCTCATTGTTTCTACGTCTCTTCAGCAGACAGTGCTAGGAAGCTAAATGAAAATAATGTGAGTTCATGCTGACACTTCTATTTCATATTCATGACCACAGGATTTTTACTTCTTTCACCTTATCTCTGTTATTTCTATCCTTCCACATAGAAGATCTTGGTTCTCAAGGATACAGGGGATAATGGATTAGACTATCCCATAATTACACATTTGCTCTCCTCCATCATACACACACTACACTCCCAGAGCTGCAAAACCAGTGACGACCACAGAAGTTACTGAAGACAGCTACCTTGTCCACACTCTGTCTATTCTCTTTGTCTTTTTAAATTGTGTGCTATATCTGTATTGCCAGAGTGAATAGCAATTACATGTTATATTTCCTCCCTTATACTCTCAATTCCTCATAAGCAGGAGTTTATACAGGGATGCTTAGGCAAAACTGACACTTGCAGCACATCTTTACATATTTAAAGGAGCATATTTTAAACAAAAGAGAAGTATACTTGATCAAGGTCACATATTATATATCTTCATATGTGAACATGTACACTCTTCCCTCCTTTTAACTGATGTTTTGGGTTATGCAATTAATTCTAGCAATCTCACTAGATGATCTTTTAGCATAAAGAATGTCTGTTTCCAGATTTACGGGCATAGAAATAACAGATATACAAAAAGTTTCTGGCATTTGAAGGATTACAAAAGAAGGGCAATTCTTGCTGAAAGTACACAAAGTTTTATTTTCAAAACTTTCTTTTCAAAGTTAGTATCTGTATCTTTCTGGAAAAAAATACATGACTTTGTTAAAAACTTCATCAATATAGAAACATATTTTAAAAGCCACCTTTAAAAAAAATCACTAAAACTCACATTACCCACAGGGAGTTCCAAAGTTGGAATTCCATATTGTCAATTAAAACTTTAGTTCTGATTATGTTACTTATCATAACTTCTGCCAGAACTTCCAACATTCTCAAAATCACTTTAGATAAAGGGAAGAAACAAACAAGCTATACTTAGAATCATGAAAATGCAACTCAAATGTTTTGATAAATATAGTAGTACATCCCATAAGTTGAAGCTGTCAGGATATTACTGGTGTATTGTAAGTTGTACAATTGTGGTCATTAACTGCAAACTCAACCTGTAGAGTTGCAAAGCAGCAATTGCCCCACAATATACTTGGCTATGCAGGTGTAAGTGGTAGGAAAGCAGGTAATCAGGTTAAGGAAATGAGATTAATCATGCACGACTTCTCTATTTACCTAAGATATATTCAGCTCCATGGTGCTGACCTACGTACTTCAATTATATCATTAACACACTAATTAGACAAAGCAAACACCAGCTTAGTGGCTCTTATTTTTAAAGACTAGCTACAATGTCTTAAGTACCTGCTCTGGCTTTCCCAAAAAGTTGTTTATCTAAAAGCTCAGCAAATCTAGTTGGAGGTTAATAAAGAACTTCTAACTTAAAGCAGACACAATCTCAACTTTCATCCGATGCATTCACAATGAGGTTACAACACAATTGGTTTACCTCTAGAGAACTAGATCTTTGTTAAACCTAAAGTCATCTACCTATTGTGAAGGAGTGGATTCAGGCAATGTAATGGTCTTCACAGGCCCTAAAAATTGGTAAGAAACCTCTATTTGCTTGCAGCCCTACCTAAAGCATTTCCTAAACTACTGCCCCTTCCTATGCACGGTATTTCTGCCAGGGAGAAACATCTAGAAACATCCCTGACCTACAACATCAATTTCCCAAGACAACTTATTAGAAAGGCAAATTCTTGGGCCCCACCCTAGACCTCCTGAATCAGAAATTGGTGTGGGGCCTTATAGTCTGTTTTAACAAGCCCTCTAGGGAATTCTGATCCAAGTTCATGTTTGAGAACTGTGGTCTAAGATCCGAGTGACAAATCACTTTCTGTGTGCTTTGTGAAATTAAATAAGTCACGATTCTTTGTGATGCTTGGCATAAAATATGTTCCATAAGCATTTGTTTACCTCTCTGAGCAGCATCCAGGGAGAGTTTTTTAACTACTGCATTGGGATAAGATAATTCACACTTTGTGGGTCTGTGGTTTTTTTCCTGAGATCGGCTTGGACCCCAGTCACTGCCACCCACCGCCCTATGATTCAGCTTGAAGTCAGCTGAGTCATGACTATAGGAAAACACAAATCAACCCTAAATCATTTAGCAGCTGCCCCCCTTTTCATAGCTTACCCACATAGACAGGAGACCCCTGCTAAACTGTGTAACCCGGTTTCTCCCACGGCCACTGCAACCAGTCACATCCCTCAGTGACTGTCTGCCACCTGATACAGCTGCCCCTAAAGCCCTGACCAAATCAGCATAACATGTCCAAGCCTCTAGCTTCAAGTAGTGAGACAAGGAGCTTTCTAAGTTTGGGGGAACACTAATTACTGCCAGAGAGATGAATTTAATGAGAAACCAGCAGAGGAGCACCTGGTCTTACTGCTCTTCATGCTCCGTTCGTGAGCTACATCAGATGCTGTCCCTGAGCTCACCAGCTGTACCTTCTCCCTGACCAGTTTTGCTTCTGGGCCACTTCACGTGGGAAGCAGACTCAGTAGGGAAGCAACTGCAAAGTTGTTATAAACTGTGTACTTTTCTTCCTATCTCCTGTAATTCCCAAGAGGTTACCCTAAAGTTACTTTTATTGCCCTCTTTATCTTGCCAATAAGAGAATGGTAAAAATTTGGTGGAGGGCAGAGATGCATGGGCAGCTAGGAAGCTTTGTGACCTGAATACATCAGCGTTAAGTACATGTTCCTACACGTCAACATCAACTTTTACATCCCAGCTTTCCAGCCTATACCTGCTGTCTGTCCTTTCCACGGTCATCTGCCTTGTAGTCCTCTCACTCTTCATAAGCACCTCCCAAAGAATGACAAGTTAGGATCAAAATGGGAATAACTTTGAGGTGCTCAGTTGCTTACATTTTTCCTTCCTCTCCTTAGAAAACCTTAGAAGTGGTCTCTTTTTGCCAGTTTTGCCCTTTGGACTGCTGGGCTAGACTAGAGTTCACTCATGGAGCAACTGGCTGCTTGAGGAGGGGAATCACTCCTTGGTTCACTGTCTCCACCTGCCATTCTGCCTCACCTCCTCACCCCGCCCCTACAGGTCCCGAACAGCTAGATTTCTTAGCCTCTGATTCAGCATAGCTAAAGAGTACAACATTTCAGGTAGCCCTTTACTTCTTTCTCCCTGGAAATCCCTGAATTAAGACAGACTTCTCACTAAGAATTGCCTTTTTCCCGCCCAGAAAAATGAAAGAAGAGTTCAGACCTGTGGCTGTTTTGTGAAGGGAAGATTTTGTGAAGGAAAACATTTTAGGAAAAAATATAGTTAAAAAATATTGGCTGTTATATTTATAAGCTTGGCAAATCTTACTTCCAACGATCTGATGAGGATCTAAAATCTCCATGACTTCCTCCGACTCCATCGCTTTTGAGAATGTCCCCCTCTAATGAGGTGAGACCATCGTATAAAGGCAGTAAGCGGCCGGGCGCGGTGGCTCACGCCTGTAATCCCAGCACTTTGGGAGGCCGAGGCGGGCGGATTAGGAGGTCAGGAGATCGAGATCATCCTGGCTAACACGGTGAAACCCCGTCTATACTAAAAAATACAAAAAATTAGCCGGGCGTGGTGGCAGGCGCCTGTAGTCCCAGCTACTCGGGGGACTGAGCCAGGAGAATGACGTGAACCCGGGAGGCGGAGCTTGCAGTGAGCCGAGATTACGCCACTGCACTCCAGCCTGGGAGACAGAGTGAGACTCCGTCTCAAAAAAAAAAAAAAAAAAGGCAGTAAGCACAGAAGGGTAAAAATGGGACCTTGTCTACACCCATCACTGTCCAGGTACCCTTTTGAGAGAAGGTGAAGATCTTTAAGTCAAAAGGAACAATCAGTACTTTCAGAGCAAGAACACACTGTCAGTGGGAGATAGAGCAGAAGGTGGCCTAGAGAAATGATTCCCTGTGGTGCATAGAGCACTAGAGAAGTCTGAAAGGTAAGTCCTCGCACTGGTGTTAGCTCTCCATTCAAGATAACTTGGTAAAGAGATGGCAAATTCTTAAGCCCAATAGATTGCCAATCCCCAGATCAAAATCGAGATTGATTTATTTTTGCTCATAAACTTTTGACCATTTTCTAGGGTTTTTAATAGATATCATCTGGGTCACTGACCACTCTTGGAGGAATAAGAGAAGTCTCAGACTACAAAGAGCAAAGTCCATTAAAAGAAAGAAGTATTATTTATATCATAATATCCCAACCAAGAAAACAGCTGGACGTTGTGAGCACTGATTGAAGTGACGAAGAATGACGGGAGTAGGGGCTCTGTACCCAACCCCTTAGCACACAAAGAGCCTTGCAGTATAGCTAGGATCTCTTTAGAGCCACTAGGTTTCACCTAATGCACCACACTCTTTGTAAGGCTGCAGCCCCTTTCCCGTGCAGGCACTGAGAAGTCTCCTAATTTCTGGACTCAAGCTTTCCGGCCCCTCTCCCCGGGCCTGACCACACTACATGAACCTGTTCAAAGAACTTAGCTTCTTGACAGTCCCACCTACCTACACCTCCAGACTCTTGGGCTCAGCCTTCCTCTTATATCACCTTCCTGCTTGTTAGCTGAATCAGATCACCTGGGTATGTAGCAGCATGGCACCTGTTAGCAATCTGGTGTCAGCTGAATTCTGAGCCCATGTCTTGTTTTCCCCTCCTCCTGCCCTCAGTGTTAATTACCCACAAAATTGAATTGTGTTCCATTGCTTAATATTGACATTCTTATAAAGGTAGAAGGACTGATTTCCACTTGTAATAAACAATTTCATGTAAACACCTAAAAGTAAATCTCATCAACTAGTTTAGAATACAAAGGAGAACCAAATTTGTATTAAAAAAATTTTAATAGTTTTTAACTGTAGGCTGGGCATGGTGGCTCACACCTGTGATCCCAGCACCTTTAGGAGGCCAAACCAAGTGGATCACTTGAGGCCAGGAGTTCAAGACCAATCTGGCCAACATGGCGAAAGTCTGTCTTTACTACAAGTACAAAAATTAGCTGAGGTGGTGGCAGACGCCTGTAATCCAAGTTATTCAGGAGGCTGAGACGCGAGAATTGCTTGAGCCTGGGAGGTGGAGGTTGCAGTGAGCTGAGATCGCACCCTTGCATTGCAGCCTCGGCAACAGAGTGAGACTCTGTCTCAAAAAAAAAAGTTTTTAATTGTAAAATATAGAATTCATAGATAAAGCAAATATTTTCATACTTGATATTTAAAGCCAACTTCTGTGTGGTCACGACCACATGCCAAGAAATGGAACATTGCCTGATTATGAGATGCTTCCCAACTTCCATCCCTTCCTGCCTCTTGTGATAACCATTTCTTGTTCTTCTTTGTAGTTTTACTACTTATACATCTAACCCTAAATGACCTAGTAAAGTTTTGGCTCTTTTGAGCTTTATTTAAATGGATCATACTGTAGGAATTTTTAAAAAATCTTTCTGTTTTTGAGCTTCTGCACAGCAAAAGAAACTATCAACAGAGTGAAAAGACAAGCTACAGAATGGGAGAAAATATCTGCAAACTGCATCTGACAAAGATCTAATATCCAGCATCTATAAGGAACTTAAACAAATTTACAAGAAAAAAATGACCCCATTAAAAAGCGGGCAAAGGACACGAACCGACGCTTTTCAAAAGAAGATATACATATGGCCAACAAGCATATGAAAAAGAGCTCAACATAGCTGATTATTACAGAAATGCAGATCAAAACCACAAGGAGATACCATCTCACACCAGTCTGAATGGCTATTAATAAAAGTCAAAAAATAACAAAAGCTGGCAAGGTTGCGGAATAAAAGGAATGCTATGCACTGTTGGTGGGAGTGTAAATTACTTCAACCATTGTGGAAGACAGTGCAATGATTTCTCAAAGAGCTAAAAGCAGAACTACCATTTTACCAGCAATCCCATGACTGGGTATATACTCAGAGAAATATAAATCATTCTATCATAAAGACACACATGCACATGTATGTTCATTGTAGCACTATTCACAATAGCAAAGACATGAAATCAACTTAAATATCTGTTAGTGGTAGGCTGGATAAAGAAAATGTGGTACATATACATCATGGAATGCTATGCAGCCATAAAAAACCAAGATCGTTTCCTTTGCAAGAACATGGATGGAGCTGGAAGCCGTTATCTTTAGTAAACTAATGCGCGAACAGACAACTAAATACTGCATGTTCTCACTTATAAGTGGGAGCTAAATGATGAAAACATATGGACACATGGAGAGGAACAACACACACTGGGGCCTACTTGAGGGTATAGGTGGGGAGGAGGGAGAGGATCAGGAAAACTAACCAATGGGTACTAAGCTTAGTACCTGGGTGATTAATCTGTACAACAAACCTCCATGACACAAGTTTTCCTATATAACAAACTTGGACAGGTACACTTGAACTTAAAATAAAAGTTAAAAAAATTCAAATCCAGACACATATTTAAAAAATCTATCTCTTTTTTATTTTGCTATTATTATCTATTTTCCTGCTCAAGCTTGGTCATTTTCACTGCTGCATAATATTTCATTATAATGTATCCCAAGTTATTAATTTTTATTGTTGATTAGCATTTGCATATAGTTTTAGGTTATTATAAATAATGTTTCTATGAACATTCTTTTATGTGTATGATGGTGCACATATCTACAAATTTCTTTAGGATCTAGGAGTGGAATTTCTGGGTCATCAGGTTTATACATCTTCCGGATTATCAGATAAAGCCAAACTTTCAGTGGTTGTAAACTGAACAAAGTGGTTATGCCAATTTAAACTCCCACCTGAAGAATATGAGTTTCCATGATAACACATGTTCAGCAGATGTTTTCAGCTGCTGAAAACATTTAGGATTGTAAGACTTCCCATGTTTTGCCAATCTGATGGGTTTACAATAGCATCTCATTAAGGTTTTAGTTTATATTTCCCTGATTATTAATGAAGTTAGGCACTCTTTTCTATTCATGAGTCGGGCACTTTTTTCTATTTATTTGCTATTTGAATATCTTCTTCTGCATGTGCTTGTTTAAGTCTTTTAGCCATTTTTACCTTATTGGTTTGTAGGACTTGATATATTCTGAGGTTGAGTTTGATGGCTTACATTTTCATTCTCTTTATGGTGTTTTTTGATAAACAAAGTTGTCAAATTTAATGTAGTAAATTTACTAAGCCTTTCCTTAAAAGTCACTGTACTTTGTATTGTTTGATAGATATTTTCCTTCCCCAAGGTCAGGACAATATTCTACATTATCTTCTGAAAACTTAGGTTTGCCTTTCACATTTGGGTTTATAATATAGAGGTTTCAGCATTAGTTTTTCCATACGGGCACTCAGTTGTTTTTAGCAGTATTTATTTCAAAACTCATCCTTTCCCCAGTACTCTGTGATACACTTTCATTATAAAGTGTCCTCATTTTTGAGACCCTGTTTCTGAGATCTTAATTCTTTCCATTAGTTTATTTGTCTAGTCCTTGTATCAATACTAAACGTATGACAGCTTTGTATAAATAATTGATATCTGGTAAAACAAGTCCTCCCAACACATGCTTCTGCTTTAAGTCTGTCTTATATCTTTACGGTATTTACATTTTCATACATTTTATAAGATCATTTATCAAATGCTTCTTTACACCTATTGAAATGATTACATTTTTCTTCTTTAATCTATTAATGTGATCAGTTAAATTAATTGATTTTCAAATATTGAAATACACTTACATTCCTGGGATAAACCCAACTTGGGCATGAGGTAGTGTCATTTTCATATATTCTTTAATTTGTTTTACTTGTAGTTTATTTGAGATTTTTGTATCTGTGTTTCACAAATGACTTGCAATTTTCCTCTTCCTTTCTTATATAGGCCTTGCCAAGTTTTTTTTTTTTTTTTTTTTTTTGAAATAGAGTCTCGCTCTGTTGCCCAGGCTGGAGTGCAGTGGCGCAATCTCGGCTCACTGCAAGCTCCGCCTCCTGGGTTGACGCCATTCTCCTGCCTCAGCCTCCCGAGCAGCTGGGACTACGGGCGCCCGCCACCGCGCCTGGCTAATTTTTTTGTATTTTTAATATAGACGGGGTTTCACGGTGTTAGCCAGGATGGTCTCGATCTCCTGACCTCGTGATCCGCCTGCCTCGGCCTCCCAAAGTGCTGGGATTACAGGCGTGAGCCACTGTGCCCGGCCCAGGCCCTGCCAAGTTTTGCTGTCAAATTTATGCTTGCCTTACGAAGTGAGTTAGTCACTTTCTTCTTTTTTCTATGCACTGGAATAATTAGGGCTAGATTATAATGATTTCTTCCATAAGATTAAAAAAATTTCATGGGTACATAGAAGGTGTATATATTTGTGGGCTACATGAGTCACTTTGATATAGGTATACAATGCATAATAATAACATCAGGGTAAATGGGGTATCTATCACCTCAATCATTTATCCTTCCTATTACAAATAATCCAATTATATTGTTTCAGTTCTTTTGAAATTATGATAAATTGTTTTGAATATAGTCACCCTGCTGTGCTATCAAATACTAGATCTTATTTTTGTACCCATTAACCACTCCCACTTTTCCTCCACCCCTCACTATTCTTCACAGCCTCTGGTAATCATCATTCTACTGTCTATCTCCATGAGTTCAATTGCTTTAAATTTTAGCTCCTACCAACAAGCGAGAACATGTGAAGTTTGTCTTTCTGTGACTGGCTTATTGCACTTAACATAATGACATCCAGGTCCATCCATGTTGTTGCAAATGAATAGGATCTCATTCTTTTTTGGTGGAATAGTACTACATTGTGTGTGTGTACCACATTTTAGAAAATCCATTCATCTGTTGATGAACACTTAGGTTGCTTTTAAACCTTGGCTATTGTGATGCTGCAATAAACATGGGAGTGCAGATATCTTTTTGGTATACTGATTTGCTTTCTTTTGGGTATAAACCTAGCAGTGGGATTTCTAGATTATATAGTAGTTCCATTTTTAGTTTTTTGAGGAACCTCCAAACTGTTCTCCATAGTGGTTTTACTAATTTACATTCTCACCAACAGTGTATGATGGTTCCCTTTTCTCCACATCCTCACCAGCATTTGCTATTGCCAGTCTTTTGGATAAAAGCTATTTTAACTGGGGTGGGATGATATCTCATCGTAGTTTTTATTTGCGTTTCTCTGATGATCAGTGATATTGAGCACCTTTTCATAAGTCTGTTTGCTATTTGTATGCTTTCTTTTGAGAAATGTCTATTTAGATCTTTTGCCCATTTTAAAATCAAATTATTAGATTTTTTCTTACTGGATAGTTTGAGCTCTTTATATATTCTGGTTATTAATCCCTTGTCAGATGGATAGTTTGCAAATATTTTCTCTCATTCTGTAGGTTGTCTCTTCACTTTGTTGATTGTTTCTTTTGCTGTGCAGAAGCTTTTTAACTTGATATGATCTCATTTACCCATTTTTGCTTTGGTTGCCTGTGCTTGTGGGGTATTACTCAAGAAATCTTTGCCAAGAGCAATGTCCTAGAGAGTTTCTTCAATGTTTTCTTGTAGCAGTTTCATAGTTTGAGGTCTTAGATTTAAGTCGTTAATCCATTTTGATTTGATTTTTGCATATGGTGAGAGATAGTGTTGTAGTTTCATTCTTTTATGGATATCCAGTCTTCCCAGTAACATTTATTGAAGAGTCTATCCTTTCCCTAATACATGTTCTTGGTCCCTTTGTTGAAAATAAGTTCACTGTAGATGTATGGGTTTGTTTCTGGGTTCTTCATTCTGCTCCATTAATCAATATGTCTGTTTTTATGCCAGTACCATGCTGTTTTGGTTACTGTAGCTCTGTAGTATAATTTGAAGTCCGGTAATATTGTTACCTGGCTTCAGGTAACAATATTTTTGCTAACAATATTTTAACCAGTTTTTTTTTTCTTTTTGCTCAAGATAGCTTTGAGCTAGTCTGTGTCTTCTGTGGTTCCATGTAAATTTTAGGATTTTTTTTTCTATTTCTGTGAAGAATGCCATTGGTATTGTGACAGGGATTGCATTAAATCTGTAGATTCCCTTGGGTAGTATGGACATTTTCACACTATTGATTCTTCCAATCCATGAACATGGAATATCCTCTTCAATTTCTTGGTGTCCTCTTCAATTTCTTGCATCAGTGTTTTATAGTTTTCATTGTAGAGATCTTTCTTTGGTTAAGTTTATTCCTAGGTATTTTACCTTATTTGTAGCAATTGCAAATGGGATTACTTTCTTGATTTATTTTTCAGGTGGTTTGCTATTGACATATAGAAATGCTGCTGATTTTTGTTTTTTGGTTTTGTATCCTGTAACTTTACTGAATTTGTTTATCAGTTCAATTAGTTTTTTGGTGGAATCTTTAGATTTTTTCTTCCACAAATTTTTGGTAAAACTTGGTGAAGCTATTTGAGCCTGGAATTTTTGTGTGTGGGGAAGGAAGATTTTTTTTTAACCACTGAGTCAATTTATTTAATGGTCATAGTACTATTCAAGTTTTCTATTTATTCTTCAGTAGGTAAATTTCTGGAAATTTGTTCATTTAATTCAGATGATTTGAAGCCGGGCTGCATATCCATGTGGTGGCTGGTTCATTCTTACTCTTAGGGTGTAGACTATTTATATCAGTGTTTACAAAAAGTTTTGGAAGCACAAACATGAAGATAATTGGTTGGGATCTTGTAGATTCTAGGATTTTATTCTTTTTATGACTGAACACTATTCCATTGTGTATATATACTGCATTTTCTTTCTTTTTTAAGACAGCATCTTACTCTGTTGCCCAAGTAGGAGTGCAGTGGCATGATCATGGCTCACTTCATCCTCAACTTCCTTGGCTTAAGTGATCCTTCTGCCTCAGCCTCCCAAGTAGCTGGGACTACAGGCGAGTGCCACCATGTGAGCTATGTGTTTTTTTGTTTTGTTTTGTTTTGTTTTACTTTTTGTAGAGATGGAGCCTTGCTATGTTGCCCAGGCTGGTCTCAAATGCCTTGCCTCAAGCCATCCTCCTGCCTTGGCCTCCTGAAGTGTTGGGATTATAGGTGTGATCCACTGCAACTGGCCCCACATTTTCTTTATTTAGTCATCTGTTGATGGATGCTTAGCTTGATTCTGTATCTTGGCTACTGTGAATAGTGCTACAATAAACATGAGAGTACAGATCTCTCTCTCTCTCTCTTAAATAGAGACAAAGTCTTGCTCTGGCACCCAGGCTGGAGTGCAATGGCATGATTATAGCTCACTGCAGTCTTGACCTCCTGGGATCAAATGATTCTTCCGCCTCAGCCTCTGGAGGAGCTAGGATTAGCCACCATAACTGGCTACTTTTTTTTGTAGAGACAGGGTCTCACTATGTTGCCCAGGCTGGTCTCAAACTCATGGGTTCAAGCGGTCCCACTGCCTTAGCCTCCTGAAGCATTGGAATTACAGGTGTGAGCTTCCATGCCTGGCCCAGATATCTCTTTGACATACTAATTTCATTTCATTTGGATATGTATCCAAGAGTTGGATTGCTGGATCATATGGTGGTTTTATTTTTAATGTTTTGAGGACCCCCATACTGTTTTTCATAATAGCTGTACTAATCTACATCCCCACCAACCATGTATGAGTTCCCCTTTCTTGACATCTGTGACAGCATTTGTCAGTTTTTGTCTTGTTGATAATAGCCATTTTAATTGGGGTGAAGTGATACTGTGATTTTGATTTGCATTTCCCTGATGATTAGTGATGTTGAACAATTTTTCATATGCCTATTGGCTATTTGTATGTCTTCTTTTGAGAAATATCTACTCAGGTCTTTTGCCCATTTAAAAATTATTATTATTATTATTATTATTATTATTATTATTGCTATTGAGTTGTTTGAGTGCTTTATGTGTTCTGGATGTTAACCTTTTGTCAGATGCATAGTTTGCAATTATTTTCTCCCATCCTGTAGGTTGTCTTTTCACTCTGTTGATTTTTCCCTTTGCTGTGCAGAAGCTTTTTAGTTTGATATAATCCCATTTGTCTATTTTTGCTTCTGTTGCATATGCTTTTGGGGTTCTATCCATAAAATTTTTACCCAGACCAATGCCATGAAATCTTTCCCCTATCTTTTCTTCTAGTAGTTTTATCATTTCAGGTAATGAAATGTAAATTTTTTTATTTCTGTGATTTCACTTTTTTTGGTAATTTTTTTGGGGGGTCTCTGGCTGAATGTTCTTCTTCCCTTTTCTGCCTATATTATTTCAGCTCAGTCTTACATGTTCTGCTCAAATGCTACACCTTCTTGAGACTGTTTCCTGCTGGGATCCTTCTCTGATTTCCCAAATCTCTTCCATAAACCTACTTCACTCAGCTTTGTATTCAGTTGGTTGCTGGTATGTTGATCTCTGTCTCACTCTAGACTATATTTTAGGTGACTTTTTATTCATTTTGGTATCCACTATACTGTCTGGCACTTTGATTTGTCTCTAGTAGCACTTGATAAATATTGGTTGAATAAATGAATAAATAAGCTCATGAAAAGATTTTCAAATTTCCTTTGTTTTAATGGGGATGGAAATTAAAATTCTATGTTCTTAGTGTTATTGTTAATGTTTTTATTTTTTTATCTTCTGATAGGCAAAAATAGCATATTCTAGATCTAACTTGTACTTCATTGAATATTTTTGAAGTCCAGTATACTTCTGTGTATTTATTATTTGTGTTTTTTTCTGTGCATTTGTGTTTACATCCTTTGCGAATTTTGCGGCAGGGTTATCCTTTTTCTATGGATTGTAGGCACTCTATATTATGAATATTATCTTCCTGATTATATACATGACTAATATTTTCTCCCATTGTCTTTTAATTCTGTCATATCTTTCATTAAACAAAAGATTTGGATTCTTACATGTTCAATCTGTCAGTGTTTTCCTTTCCACATTTGGTTTTAATGAGAGCCCCAGTTCTACAAGAAGCAAGGTCTTGAGGAAAGAGATCCCCCTTCTAAGAGATAACCATTTTGTAGCTAATAAAGAGACCCTTAAGTAGATTGGCGACATCTTCTTCTATATTTTAATTCAGAGGTCCAAATTCTCATATGCATGCTACAGACACACAATAGCATATCAAGATTAATTTTTTTATGTTTCTATGCATGATTTTAAAAATCATTGCCTGATATTAGCATTCACCATGTGGTTTTTCCATGCACTGAATTTTTTAGATGGTTTAATAATTTCTATCTGAATCAGTAAGAACTTCAGAAGTAACCCCTTGAGGGTGTATAGTCTATCAAATTCTCTCTGATCCTTCAACTTTCAATATACCCAAACTAATCAATATTTACAGAGAAATATATAGGGATTCGTGATTATACTGCAGTAGGACTGGGAGTCCTACAATAGGGTGGGCTTTCATATGGACTGTTGTCATTCAATTTTTACAGATAGAAATCATTGTTCCCAGGACCTGACAGCATAATGCCATGATGTTTTTAAAAATAATCTTGCTGTCAAGCTTACTTTTCTGCTGTCTCCCCAGTGGCCTTGTAGGTCAGGAATAGCCCAGCAGGACTTGAGCTCACAGCTCTGGTCCTTATGGACTGCATCTTAGTGATGCTCATCTTAACCAAGGTATGAATAGGTTATTGAGAAGCACTAATGGGAAAAACAGTAATCAGTGAGCTGTTCTAAAAGTGTGATTAATTGCTCTGTCATCAACTATAGTATTCCCTATACATTCCTAACAAGTTTATTGCCATACTGGGAAGGGCACAAATTATGTTCTTGTCCTTTGAGTGCATGGATCATTTATGTGTTTCTGAAATCTGAATTTGCATAAAGATATAACCACTTTGAATAATACCTGTTAGTTGTTTTCCTTTGTACTTAACTTGTTTAAATATTTAACGTGAAATGGATACTGGGCTTTGAACTTAGGAAGTATCCTAAGGATTCTTCTCCAGTGATGAAGTCTACCTTGGCATAAGAGGGTGTGTCTAGCTTGTCGTTGATTATCACCTTCCATTTGAGCTCTTTTTTTTCCCTTCTGCACCAATCCAGAGGAATAAGGAATTCTGATCATAAAACCAGCAATAACTTTCATATTTTGAATCTAACTTAATAATATTAGCAAGTGCTTATGCAGTGTGTACCATGTACCAAGCTCTAAGACTTTATATGTAATAACTCACTTAATTTTCACAACAACTCTCTAAGGTCACTACTACTATCATCCCCACTTAACAGATGGTGAAACTGAGGCTCAGAGACATTATAGGGTAATAACTGAACCAAGTTTAAAATCTAGATGACTAGCTCCAGAATCAGGTTCTTAACCACTATATTATGCTGTTCAATTATTATTTATTTAGAAAAATTAGAGTATGACTTTCCTCAGGGTAAGAGGAGACCCATAAGCTGGTGGCCAACACACTGGAGTGAATCCCTCTAAAATTTGTTCAAAGTAAAATCTAGGATGTGCTATAAAATCATAATAGTAATAGTAGCAAACACTATAACAGCTAAATATGAGCTAGTGTTCTAAAGCTCTTAACATATATTAATTCTTTTAATCCTCATGCCAACTTCATAAAAAAGGCACTTCCATTATTCTTACTTTACAAATGGATGAACTGAGGTGCAGACAGGTGAAGTAATTAGCCTAACAACACACAGCTTAAAGTACTTACTAACGATTTCCTAATTACTTTTAGCCATCTGTAGAGACAAAAGCGACTCCATCTTGGATGTGAATCCTCCGCGTTAACTTCTGATTAGCCCTAGTCCTATGAATGTGTCCTAATTTCTACGTAGTGTCCTTAGTGTAAGAACATGTACTCCTGCTTTTAGGTCAAAGAAATGTTGATGTTATTGCACAAATCATAAGCTATGACACACATAGCATTCTGGCCTGTTCTGGAGGGTTGCCTTTCATTGTCTCTATAGAGCACATACCCCTTTCCCTTTGGTATATAAGCCCTGGTTCTGGGGAATAATGGTGTGGAGATCTACCTGTCTCGTGGCCACTGAAGACCATGCTTTTGTCTGTAAGTTCCCCAGTTAGACACCCTATACCAACAAACTGGATTTGCCTGCCCCCGTCTTTGGTTTCTCTGCTCCTCCAGCATTTGGGGGTTGCTTTGCATATATAGCCCTTTCATGGAACACCATCAAACTATTTGTTCTCTATAAACATTCAAGGTTTTTTCACATGTATTAGTCTCATTTTATTCTCAAGATAATAGTGTACCAAACTGTTCAGTAAGTCAGGTTTCAATTCTTTTAGCATTTAAGGTATTTTCTATTTTAGGTCATTAGGAGATAATTAAGAGTACTCCAGCACTTGAGATAAAACTTAAAATCATACTGTTGAAATGGAATCATGGCGATCAATTATTAGCAAGAATCACAATCCAGGGTTGCAGGACCTGGGAGGGAACAGATGGAGTCCCCAGATGGTCAGTACAGACTCAGGAAGTAAATAGAAATGCTTCAAACCCAACAGGGAGATAAGTTGGGGTTTCAGATCCACGGCCACCCATTCTGCTCCTGGCTCTGGCCTTCTTTTGTGTGCCATGCATGTCAAAAAATTGTTTAGAGAATTTAGGTGACTTGAGCCATTTGAAGTGGGGGGAAGAATTAGTAGAAATAAAGAATAAAAATTCTATTCTATTAATAGAGCTGAGCTGCACCCTTGCAGTATTGTTTGATTGTTGACCCAAAGAAGCGTCAAGGGTGCAGCTCAGCGTGATTTTCCCAGGCTGGAAAGCACACGATCTGAGCTGGAGTTCTCCTTGGGCAGGGCTGCTATGTACTGCTGAGTAGATTGTTGAGTGTACCTGCCCGACAATACACAGTGGCCTTGCTTGTATGAAATGCACTTGGAAGAATTCCTTATTGAATAGATTTAATTATAATCTAATCTGCCAAAAAAGATTTCAAAATATAAAAAACTTTGTTCCCTTGGATCTTCTCTTGTCAGTTTTATTGCGATGGTTTTTTTTTCAAATAATAGCTTCATTGAGATATGATTTATATACCATACAATTAACCCATTTGAAATGTATAATTCAATGGTTGTTAATGTATTCAAAGTTGTGCAACCATCACAATAATCAATTTTAGAACATTTCATCATGCCCCAAAGAAACCCCATACTCATTAGCAATCACTTCCCATTTCCTCCAACCACCCAGCTCTAGGCAACTACCAGTCTACTTCTCTCTCAATGGATTTGCCTATTCTGAACATTTCATATTAATGGAATCACACAGTATGTGGTCTTGGTGTCTGGCTTCTTTCACTTACCATGTTTTCAAGATTCATCCATGTTGTAACATGTAATAATCATGTATTCTTTTTTATTGACAAATAATCTGTTTCTGGAATATACTACATTTTGTTTGTTCATTCACCAGTTGATGGACATTTGAGTTGTGTCCACTTTATGACTATGATGAATACTGCTGCTATGAACATTCGTGTACAAGTTTTTGTGTGGACATATGTTTTCATTTCTCTTGAATATATACCTAGGAGTGAGATTGATGGGTTATATGTAACTCTATATTTAACCTGTTGGGGAGTTGCCAGATTGTTTTACAGAGCAGCAGTACTGCAGTGTATGAGGGTCCCAATTTTTCCATATACTCACCAATACTTACCTGTCTTTTTGACTCTAGCAATACTAGTGGGTATGAAGTGGAATCTCATTGTGGTTTTAATTCCATTTCTCCAGTGGCTAATTGTGTTAGTCATCTTCCTGTGTGTATTGAACATTTGCATATCTTCTTTGGAGAAATATCTAGTCAGACAGTTTGCCCATTTAAAAAATTGGGTTATTTGTCTTCTTAGTATTGAGGTCTAGAAGATTTTTTAAAAAACATATTCTAGATATGTCTCTTATCAGATATATGATTTTCACAAATTTTCTTTCATTCTGTGGGTTGTCTTTTCATTTTCTGATGGTGTCCTTTGAAGCACAAAAGTTTTTAAATATTGAGTAAGCCCGATTTTATTTTTTCTTTTGTTTCTTGTGCTTTCAGTGGCATATCTAAGAAATCATTGCTTAATCCTAGATCATAAGGATTTACATCTCTGTTTTCATCTAAGAGCTTTGTGGTTTTCACTTTTATACTTAAGCCTTTGATGGCTGCAATGTGGAAGACAGCCTTTTCAATGTGGTATCTCTTTGCAATGCACATTCTGTGCAACCTTGTATGGTAGCCCTGACTTAGGAGAACCCAGTATCAAATGAATTCTATAAATACTTGTGGTTTGCCTTTAATAAGCAAGACACTGCATGTGTCTATGAGTGTTAGGGCAATGTTTAGGGGATGTGCAGTTGCAGCAATTGATTTTAGTAACTAGTTATTGAGCACCTTTTGTGTGGAGTCCTTGCTGGGGACACTCAGGTGAATAACACACAGTTCTTGTCCTCAGTGGGCCTAGAAGAAAGTGGGCAAGGTGAATGCATTGACACATAACTAGTGTATAATTCATCCATCTTTGTGGCTACTTGCATTTCAATGATAAAGTCAGGGTCCTTTGCCCAACAAACAGCATCACCCCTCCTCCCAAGCTGTCTCTGCTTCCAGCACCCCTAATCCCTGTCCTAGGGAGAGGTTCTGGAATGACCACTGTTTATAGCACAGACACAGGCTTGAAGTTCATTTGAATGTACAGTGGTATCCCACATAAATCATATAGCAGACAGCCTGTTTTATTGAGTCATGGAAGAAATACCCTTGGAAATGCAAGACCCACCTAAGATACACAGGACTTGGGCTACTGGCTAAGGATTTGCATGATGCTCCATCTGGTGTGTAGGTCATGGAGCATTTACGTTGTTATCAGCTGTGTGCTTGATACAAATGTAGATTCACAGACCACTGACCCAGAATCTCTTGGGATGGGGCCCAGGAACTTGCACCTTACTAAGCTCCCAGGGGTGACCCATGTATAATGACAGCCACCTACTTAACCCATTGTAAGGTATACGGATGTACTTTGGTCAAGGAATAGGCCAAGGCAGACATCCAGGCCAGAGTGACTCAGTGAGTTTAGGGTGTAAGTGCATATTCCACTTGTTATATAACCTGTTGTGTAAGTTCATAGTTGACTCGGAGTCACTATTGTTTGGAAAAGGTATAACTGCCCTGCTGATGCTGTACATCAGCATCAGCCCAAGAGCTAAACATGGCTTTTGGGCTGGGCTCAACGTGGCTCCTGGGCATGGCTCAACATGGCTCTTGTGCAGGTGCTGGTGCCCAGAGAGTAAAGCTACTGACCACTGTAAGGGAGAATGAACGTCTAGGAGATGGACACAGGGGAGCCAGGATACGGCTTGGCTTGTGCCCAAATGGAAGGAGTTAAGTTGCTAACCCTAGAGCTGGCCTTGCAGGCTGGCTGTGCAGCTGTGCGTGGGAGCCAGCTGCTGAGAGGAGCCACGGAGCCGGAGCAGACAGTCGAGATAAAGGCAAACAGTGTAAAGAGCTAGTGTGAGAGAGCTGCTGATGAGAGAGCTGCTGAATAAAACCATATTCACCTGCCTATGGCCCCCTGAGTGTTCTTTCAGTTATCTGCCCATCTACTACCCACTCCCTTCGGACCTCAGCATGGGCTGGAACCTAACCCTGAGCATGACATTGGGCGTAGTTGTGGCCCTGGTCTGACACCCATGCTTCCAAATGCTGTTTGGGCAGTAACTTCTCCCAATGACACATCAGACTCTGGGGAATGACCCTGTATTTCCAGAAAAACATAGCCACCCCAAGTTTTTTGAAGAACCTACCTAGCATACTCTTTGTAGGCATAAGAAGTGTTGATTGAAGCCTCACTCATATAAGGCAGCTGAGTGGAATCACAGTTTTCACCTGAGCAGGAGGCCCAGGCACAGGCCATAAAAGCTCTAGGCCAGCAACCTCTGCCCTCGCAGACAGAGTGGGAGTCAGTCTGTGTCTAGAGTCCTTTGTGAAACCTGCTTCTTGGGTAGCTGTGATGAGAGCTTTCTGACCTCTGGAATTTGAGCCCCTTATGAGCAAACGGGTCTATAGGAAGAGCCAAGTCTCCAGGAGAGGAGGAGAACAAAGGTCAGCTTCGTGTCTGCCTGTATTGATAGAGGTAAAGTCCTCTGTACACTTACTGCGCTCTCTGGAAGGTAAGGTCTCCAAGCTACTGCTTCATCTATCCAACCTTTGCTCTGAAGAGCCATGGCTTTCTGTGCAGCTAGGAGCAGTGAGAACAGGATTGAGTCAGCTGCTGTTGTTTTGGTGGGGTGTCTGAGGAACACACTTTAGGGGCCTGTAATTCTAAAGTGGAGAGTCTTTAGAATCTCAGTGAATTCCATTTTGGTTTCAAGCAATTCTTTTCAATTTTAGCTTCAAGTTTTTCTAAAGTTACTGATAGGTCGAACTTTAGTTTTGTTTTAAATTCCTAAGTAGAGAGACTCTTGCATCTAAAAATGGGGCTATTCCTAGAAGGGTGTAAGGCCTGGGGCAATTTAACCCATGTAGCCTGCCCAAGATAAGGGCAATAGAAAGGAGGCTGGGCTATTGGCATATTTCATGGAACCTTCAGGCTTTGGTTAGATTTGGAAATTTGAACTGTGATGATCAGAAAAAAAGGAATAAAGTGTAGGACCATGTGGGGCTCCCAGGAACTGCCTTGTTGCCCCTTCAAAGGACAGGCCAGTCTAAAATGGTAATAATTGAATCATTATGGCAACACTACCCAGTCATTTAAATGTTGGCTGTAGCTATGAAGAGGCCAGATAGATCTTATTTTAGTTGATAACAAGTTCCTGGGTTTGTTCTTAACTCAGTTCAGGTGTTGTCTCAGTTCTTTTTTGTGGCTGTAATTTACCCGGCACAAGCCAGGTCTGAGTTCGTCAAGTGCGAGCAGTGCTGAACAAAGGATAATGCTGCCTCAGGTGCCTGTTCTGGTTTGTTAGCCCTTTTTACAAGCTACTTCTTATTAGCCTGGAATACTTCCCTCATTGGTTACCCAGCTTAAGTCATCAATGTAGCCTGCCAAAGCACCAAGAACAAAACGGCACTGTGCATAATGCAAGTCTACCTAGAAGTTCTGTCTACACGTCAAGACCTCACTGGTTGTTTCTTATTCCCTTCCATGATAACTCAATGCTGCCCTGAGGAAAATGTCCAGGGAGGGAACCTCATTGATTTTGACCTGCAAATGTCCTAGTGCTTCCTCCTCAGTGATGGGTTGTCTTATGAGGGTGCACCCAACCTAGGGAAGAGCGGGTGAGCATGAACAGCCAGAGAACTTGATTTTCCCATGTCTGCTTGGGATGTGGATCAAAAGTCTTTAATGCTGAGTTTGGCTTTTGATAAAGAGAATTATTTTTCAGTTTCTGAGCTATAGTTAATTTCCTCACTGTGATTCTTCTATCAGATGGCCAGACACTGATGGTAAAGAACAGGTCATGTGTTCTTGTGACTTGCACTGAATTAACTCAATGCCTTGTGGGAAGTAGGTACTTGAAAACTGTTGGTTAGAAATAAGATGTGGATTCTTTGGCATTTGAAGGTCTTCACCAGCCGGGTGGCTGAAATGCTGGAGAGAAATTGAAATGAAAGGAGCTTAGTAATTTGGTCTATCCTTCCACTCTTCAAATGGTAAGAGTACTTACCCCCACACTCTTACCCCCACAAAATGGTAAGAGTAACACTTTCCCCTTATAGACTATATGGTTAAAACTGAGATATTGAAATTTTCCATAACCAGTTAATGGTAGGGCTGTATGGGAGACTGGACTGATATTAATCATATTGCTTGTCCCATCTAATCCACTTTCCTATGGCAGAGACAGCTGTGGTGAGTTCACCAAATGGGTCAGTGTGTCTACTTCACATCTTCCTTCAGGTGGTTGCTAGCCTGGACCCTGGGAACAGTGATCCTTTTTGGTATTTCCAATACTTAGTGTGGGTGCTCTTGTGTTCTTGAACAATCAGTTGCTTCGTGCACAGATGGAGCTAGCAGGGGCCCAAGTCACCAGTTTATTTTTCCAGTCTTTCCATTTTCGGAAGTAGTCATTTCCTTCTGGCCATTCTCCAGCTGTGGCTCCATCTATCTCTCTTGTCTCCACCTGGAACAGGTTCAGAAAACCCTACAAGACTCTTTTGCAATCCCAGAGACTGTGTTGGTGGAAGTACCCAGGTTGGTCTGTCCTTCCATGTTGATTAAATTGTTGCTTTTGGCAGAAAGCATCTGACCATGTTATTGGTATTGGTCTCCAAGAGCCAGTTGGCACACTTAAAGTTAGAGCATTGAGTGGCACCTCCATGGGGAAATTCACTCTCCCTCCATCTCTTAATTATAACCTTATGAATTATGCATTCCTGAAGACAGTGAAGCATTATGTGTGAGCTGTACAGTTTTTCTCCATCCAATTTTCTGTAATATGGAACTAGTAATGACAGGGGTTCCCACACTTCCTTTTTTATTGGATAGACTCCTTGGTATCTTTTTCTAGATGGCTGTAGCTCTTCAAAAGGCCATTCTGAGTAGCTAGAGTAAGACTATCAGAGGCAGGTTATGGAGGGGAACTCTTTGCTTACTACCTATTCTGTGCCAGTAATATGTTAGATACAGTTTATTTAATTGTTATAACCCTGTCTGAAATGTGTTCTCAGTTAAGGGTCATAGAGATTTGAATCATTCAGACTCAAATTCTTTTCACTGCATTCCTCTAGAACAATGTTTTCCTAAGTAGTGTTATATATCTATTTTTGTATATACATAGTCACTATATTTCTAAAACTAATTATGGGAAGATGTTGGATTACTACTACAGCACATAAAATAGAAGCCAATTTTTACCTTCATCTCCTACTTAAAAGGTACAATGTTAGGGTCTCTGGTTTTAAGGTTGAGTTTATTGGAGATCTGTCCACCAAAGGGTGGACTTAAAGTTCTTAGCTGTGGTTATGTCAATCTTGAAATAGAGTTGCAGGGCCTGTATATTCCATTTAGGTCAAGACTAAGTTGAGTGAACTTTGAGGCTTGGCAAAACTGGAATTGCCCATCTGTGGAGTAGAGAACTGGTAAGTTACTGATACACTGGTTAGCTCAATTCGTTATGCACTGGTTAGCTCATTTACTGAACACATATTTTGTGGGAAAGCCTGGAGCTATGAAATCAAGACCATCTCACCCCTAAGATGCTGAAAGCCTGATGAAAGATGGATTTGTAACCAAGCATACCCCAGAAGTAGGTTGCATATTCACCTCTTCCTTTGTTCTCTTTCCCCCTTATTCCTCTCTTCTGCCAGTAGCACCCACACCACTTCTTTGGTTCCACAGGAAACCTCCAGGATAAAGACACTTGCTGAGTGGAAGTGCTCACATACCAGCAGTTACTGTGTCCTGGAGGATGCCCTCAGTGAGATCTGGCAGCCAATGCCAGAGAATACAAAGTCATGTTCCTTTCTCCCATCCAGTGGGCAGGCTGCTATATTTCATGGCTAGTCAGCAATCTAGTCACTTTATCAGCAGTTTGCCTATGACTCCCTTAGATATTATCGGAATTTATAGAACATGAGACTACATTTTGAGAACTTAAAAGGTAGGCCGGGCATGGTGGCTAACGCCTGTAATCCCAGCATTTTGGGAGGCCGAGGTGGGTGGGTCACCTGAGGTCAGGAGTTTGAGACCAGCCTGGCCAACATGGTGAAACTCCGTCTCTACTAAAAATACAAAAATTAGCCTGGCGTGGTGATGGGCACCTGTAATCCCAGCTACTCGGGAGGTTGACCAAGAGAATTACTTGAACCTGGGAGGCGGAGGTTGCAGTGAGCCAAGTTCATGCCACTGTACTCCAGCCTGGGTGACGAGTGAAACTCCGTCTCCAAAAAAAAAAAAAAAAAAAAGTATTTAGGCATCTGTCAATGACTGAAATTTTATTTCATTTCATACCATCAGATTGTTTCATCTTTGGGGGTTTTGGATCTTTTCAATGCTCTTACAAATATGAATCACCTCTTCAGCAAATAAAACATGTGTGGATATTTTGTGTATACTGTTGACCACCATGGCCCTTGCCTTCCACTATATGACGAGACTAAGAAATGGATTAGAATAAGCATCCTTGTATCTGGTCGTCTTTCTTGGTTCCTCAATTCTGCAATCCTAGGAAAACAACCCCAGGGCCACAGTGAGATAGCACGGGTCTCATTATTCTAAAGACAGTGAAAATGACTTTTAATCTAGGAAACAACAGAACTGTTTCTTCTAAATTCTTGAGGAGGCCTTTCATTCAACAGATATGTTTATCCACCTGGAGCAAAGTCTATAGGAGTTAAGTAGTAGCAAATGTGGGAATACTGCTTGGCTTATGAATAAGCTAGGTGATTCCTGTCAAGTCCAGATGAACAATGTGAGCTATTGGCCTCTCATGAAAAATCAACTGTAGACAAGAAAGAAGGAGGAGTGTCATCTGGGAACTTAAACAATTGAAGCCTCTGGTGAGAGGCAACCCCAGCTGCAAGTGTAGGGTGTCTGAGGGAGGTTATGAGAATAAAGCTCTTTGGTTCTGTTCATGCCTCTCCACCATATTGCCCTAAGACAGTCACTGCCTGCTCCTTCCATGTTAGAATGGAGAAGAAAAACCCAGCTCCCAGTGAGGGCCAGGTAACATCAAGGTAGCAGCAAAATAGGAAAAAAAAGCCCTACTGCTGTGAGGAGTTGAGGAAATAAGGAGGGGGCTGCCCAGTTACCCACAGGCAGTTCTGGGTCTACCCTTCCACCCCTAAGCCCCAGGGATAAGGGCATTACGGTAGCTCATCCCAAGGCTGCATCCTAGAGTTGAAAGATAGGAATTTCCTGGTGGAGAGATGGAAGGCAGTTCTCTGGAGCCTGTGGTTCAACTCCTGCCCACCCCTTAGGCTCACCAGGACTGAGACAGAGGAGAGCCTGATTGCAGCCATTCTCAGGTCCTATTACCAGGCAGAGGAGCTCAGAGCCCCAAGGAATAGCTCACAGGCTCAGTAACTAGACACTTGAAGAGTGCCGCAAACTGAACAGTAGACCCTCTGAAACAAGGATTGGACCAGATGCAACAAGGACTTACAGGGATGATCAAGAAACTTGAAATGAGGAATGGTGTTGGCAGCATGAAACAAGAAATCAAAAGACCAAGTATGAGAAGAATACAAATGAAGAATATATATATGTATATATAGGATAAACAGTAGTAGACAAAGCAGAATAAATCGGTGAGGTGGAAGATCAAATGAAGGAAACAGAAAAGTATAAAGCAAGCAGGAAAAAAGATATGAAAGACGGCTTTGTCTAGGAGACCAAAGGGAAAGGTGGAGACTAGCTAATTAGAGGTGACCAGGCTTAGGGTCACATGGTCATCCACAGAGGCACTGTTTGGCTTGAACTCAATTTAGAGAAATTGAGACCAAAATTATAAAATAAAATTTAATCCCCTCTTGGAGGAAAAAGGAAAATCAACATACTTCTATTAAAGCCAGCTTTCTTCTTCCTGCTTCATCCACTGTCTAGCTGGGTATGTGATATACTTGACCTTGGAAGTATGCATGCTTGACTATGCATATCCCTCATCCAGAACAGATAATGTCTCTTTGAAGTTATTGAACTATATAAAAAAGCTATGTTAAATGACATCCTTAAAATCACAGTGAGCCATGTACAATGTCAAAGACTGCCGAAGGAATACTGCAATCCAACAAACAGCTTCCATGGTTCAAGATTGACTGGTGATGGAGTAAGGAAAGCCTTGTGGTTTCCAGTGAGCAATAGCTTAGGTCACCCCCTAACTTAGGCACTTCTTTAGTAGAAAGTGTGACTTTTTATGAAGATAAGGGTAACCAAATCTGCTGGCCACCCTGGGCAACTGTGTTGTGGTGGTGGTAGTGGTTGTTTAAAATCCTGAGTTGCCTGTCAGATGTCTGTAGTCTTCTGTTGTCAATGTATTTTACATGCCTGTCATCTTCTGCTTGTAGCTATATCTGCCCAGGGGCAGCCCTGATGTACCTTCTCCCGTTTGGAGAAGGGAGACAGTCAAGCTTGAACTACCTGAAAGGCTTCTATCAGCCTTTCCTCAATGAGCAATGCCCTCTTCTCTGCAAATTGTGATCAGCTGTGCATGCAGCAAGATGAACAAATGGTTTTGACCAAGCTGGCCAGTTGGTCACTTTAATAAAGTGAGATGTGAACTCACTTTATTAAAATTCAAGGACACTGGTTTTCCTTACTAGGAATCCGGGACTTTCATATGGTGGTGGGTGTGGGATGGGGGGGTGGGGGGTAAGGGGGGAAGGGGTGCGGCAGGCACGAGGGTATGGGCAGCAGGTGGGCTGGTGGCGGGGGAGGTGGGAGGCCTGTATTTGGATTTCCCTTCTCTGATCTTTGGAAATTGCTCTTTGTGGCATGAAATGCTTTTCTTTGTGTCTGTTCTTGACATGCTGAATTACTTTGAACGAAAGTAGTGGCAAGCCCATCTCCCCTAGGGCAAAGATGAAAACATGTATATGAGGAGGCATGTTGACATGTATATGACATGTGTTCACATGTCACTTCCCCCAGTGCTGGAAGGAAGGGGCTGAAAAAGGAGCTGGAGGGAAAATCCCTATGCCCCTGTTTCCAGATGACCTGCAGTGTCAATATGAGGCAGTATTAATCTTTTGTTCATAGGAATAATCTTTAGGGGTTAATGAGCACCCAAGATCAAATGTAAGATTTCATGAGCACACTTGTTTGAGACGGGGTCTCACTCTATTGCCCAGGCTGGAGTGCAGTGGTGTGATTATGACTCACTGCAGCCTCAACCTCTTGGGCTCATGTGATCCACCCATCTTCCCAAGACTACAGGCACGCATCACCAGGCCTGTCTAATTTTTGTATTTTTTTTGTAGAGACAGGGTTTCACCACATTGCCTAGGCTGGTCTTGAACTACTGGGCTCAAGCGATCTGCCCCCCTCGGCCTCCCAAAGTGCTGGGATTACTGGCATGAGCCACTGCACCCAGCTCATGCGCACTTTTCTAGGGAGCTCATATGTTTTACCAGATTCCCAAAGGTGTTATGTGAAACCAAAAAAATTGTTAAAAAAGCAATTCTGATGGGAGGTCATGGAAAGAATAATGGTCCTAAAAATAAAGGAAAGAATGGAAGTCTTCTACTTAACAGACTATTTGCCCTTGTCCAGTAGAAATGCCACTGCCCCTGCCCCTGCCTTTGGCCACCTACCTTTGTGGGTCACTGAGGTCGGGCAGCCTGACAGGCCTAGATGGACTGGCTTAACTCTAAGGAGTGGCGAGTGAGTTTTTAAATGTAGGAATGTCATTGGTTCTAACACTGGTTGGTGTAGATCTGAGTGCTTGCTCTACACCAGGCATGGTGGTTAGTGCTGCCAGTGTGAGTCACTTTTATCTTCACAATAACCTTAGGGATAGATGGTATTATCCTCATCCACGATGATGAAAGGTATCAGAATTCAATCAAATGAAAGCAGAATGCACTGCCATTATTAAAGTCCGGTGGGCGTTCTGCTCTTCAGAGAGGGTGTAGAATGCAAAAGAAGTTCCAGGCTGCATAAGCGACTCCTTCTTCCTCTCCAGTGAGTTTGAAGCGGGGGCGGGGAAAGAGCTTTGAGTTCTCCTCTGCCGTCACTAGATGGCGGTGTGTCAAAGGCTATTTCCTACCAGGATGCTAACCTCCAAGGAATGCACCTGTTTTGTTCTGGGGTGTTAAAATTTTTTTTTGCCTGAGTTTGAAAGAAGAGTTGTAGGAATGAGGTAGGAAACTCTCCTAATCTATCCCTCCCACGCATCCCCACCTTTCCCCAGAACACTTTAAACCGAATGTTTCATATTTGGCTAAATAGTGCATCTCTTAAATAATGCATCCTACCTGCCTCTGTCCCCTGGAGTAATTCTGCATTTCCATCTGCAGAGCGTCTGCAACTGGCATGATGACTGCATTCTCAGCATGTCGTAACAGTTCTGCAGTGATAAGGCCTTTCATCTTAAAGTCTTTACAGAGTTCTCCTTATGGTCCTGATTCTAATGCCTTGAAATCTTGAGACATACAGTAGTGCAAAGTCCACAAACACGTGTTGAAACATTTTGCTGCTGAGGTCATTAATGACTCAAGAACATTATGATCCTTTACATTTCCCCCATCATCTACTTTGTCCTGGTAAATGAAATCCTGCTTGGGTATTCTCTGATGTTATCAATACTTTCAGACACCTTCTCAAATGTATAACTCTTTGCCAAATGTAGGCAGTCAAAAGATATATTTTGTATCACTAGGAGCTGGCCTTTTTGAAGCCATATTTTAGTACTACAATGAGACCAAAGTAAGTAATCTTATTCAATTAGGAGTTTTTCTTTAATCAGTAGTACAACTTTAATGGCTGCTGCTATTCTGTAGGGCTGTAAATGTATTTTTATTGCACCCTTTCCAGCAGTTAGACACTGAGACGAGTCTCTTGTCTAAAGACCTTCATCTAAAATCATATATAATTCACTTACTAAATGGCTAAACTGGAACTGTGCCTCTTCTCTTACATAGGAATCTAAAACTTAGAATTATTAAGCAGTGGGATCCTCTTCCTTCTCAAATGTGCTTGATGAAAATGTCCTACAGTCCTAAGCTGTTTGTTTCATAAGAGAATTAAGGGCCAGGTATGAATCCTTGCATATGATGTATGTTCAGGGATCTTTGCAATTTCTTTAACAGATCCATAGCAAAGATTTCTTAGTTATATGGAAAATAGTCTCGATTCTTACTAATTTGTATGTTCTGTTTTGAGGCTCCCATTAAGAGCACCTGCATTATCAGATTGCTGTTTCTAACAATCTTTCCTTTGAAATACATAAACACTATTATGACTTATGATATTTTTGCATCTATCAGAAAATATATGCCATCCAATTTTGCTAGTGCTAAAATAAGTATCAAAGTGCTTTCCTTAAATACACTTTTATTTGCTATTTCTGTGAAGCAAACTGCCGTTGGACTTCCCATTAAACAATGTCTAGAATCTTTGCCATTGTCTCTCTATGCTAGTCACACTTACAGCACCTACTTTCAGACTCCTCATCTTTCAACCTGTTGTCTCCTTTCAGTTGCTGGATTAAGTATCATTTGGGCTACATGTTCCCCCCTTGTCCCTAAAATTCCTTCCCATTCCACCCCAGCTATTCTAATGCATTTAATAATATGTCTTTGGATATGTATGATTTCTTCAATGTACAGTGGAATGTATTCCAATTTACATAAATAGTTCTACGTTATTTTCTGTTATGGCCCTTCAATCAATTCCAAGTTTCACCTTATTGATCTCATTCTTTCTTTCCACTCAGTGCTTAAGATGTGTGTACAACTATGAATGCATCCTATTCATGGCATTTAACTGCAGGATGGTGTTCTAGTATTCATCCGAATTTCCCTTATCTGATCCACTAGTGATGGTCATTGTGTCAATTAAGGTAATGTTAGCTAATGGATCAAACACGATGAGTTTACTAATAGGAGTATCAGTCATTTCTGGCTGGATGCAATAGCTCATACATGTAATCCCAGTGCTTTGGGAGGCTGAGGCAGAGGGGATTGCTTGACCCCAGAGTTGGAGACCAGTCTGGGCAACATAATGAAATCCTATCTCTACAAAAAAATTGAAAAAAAAAGCTGGGCATGGTGGTGCACACTGGTAGTCCCAGCTACTTGGGAGGCTGAGGCAGGAGTATCACTAGAGCCCAGGAAGTTGAGGCTGCAGTGAGCCGTGATTGTGCCACTTCAGCCTGGGCAACAGAGCGAGACTCTGTTTTTTTCTTTCTTTTCTTTTTCTTTCTTTTTGAGACGGAGTTTTGGTCTTGTTGCCCAGGCTGGAGTGCAATGGCATGATCTCGGCTCACTGCAACCTCTGCCTCCTGGGTTCAAGTGATTGTCCTGCCTCAGCCTCCCGAGTAGCTGGGACCTCAAGCATGCGCCACCATGCCTGGCCAATCCTGCACTTTTAGTAGAGACGGGGTTTCTCTATGTTGGTCAGGCTGGTCTCTAACTCCCGACTTCAGATGATCCTCCTTCCTCGGCCTCCCAAAGTGCTGGGATTACAGTGTGAGCCACCGTGCCCGGCCGACCCTGTTTCTTTTTAAAACAAACAACCCAGTCACTCCTGATAGGTGCACCTGGGTCCCCAGAGCACTTCTATCTCGTGGCTGTGCCATCTTCAAACCAGGGTTTCCTATAATGATCAGGAAGCAGAAATTGAGGATTGCATCTGAGAGGATTTTCTGAGCCATGCTGAGAGGGGTACAAATCACTTCTATTCACATTCCATTGATCAGAGCTGTGGTCCATGCCCATTGCTGGGGAGGCTGGAAAGCTATTGTTGTATGGCTTTTAAAATTTCTATTTTTCAACTAGCATATAGAACTATAATTGGTGTTCTTTTATTTTTTATTTTATTATTTTATTATTTTCATCTTTATTTTTGAGATGGAGTTTCGCTCTGTCACCCAGGCTGGAGTGCAGTGGCGTGATCTCGGCTCACTGCAAGCTCCGCCTCCCAGGTTCATGCCATTCTCCTGCCTCAGCCTCCCGAGTAGCTGGGACTACAGGCGCCCGCCACCGCGCCCGGCTAATTTTTTGTATTTTTAGTAGAGATGGGGTTTCACTGTGGTCTCGATCTCCTGACCTCGTGATCCACCCGCCTCGGCCTCCCAAAGTGCTGGGATTACAGTCGTGAGCCACTGCGCCCGGCCTATAATTGGTTTTTAAATGTTTACCATGTATCCTGTGACCTTACTACATTTATTAGTTATGGTAATTGACTGATAGATTATTTAAAATTTTCTTTATAAACAATCATGTTGCGGTGGCAATTTCTAGTATACCCTGTTAACAGAAGTTGTGACAGTAGATATCCTTGCTTTGCTATTGACTGTAAGGGAAAAGCCTTCGGCATTTCATCATTAAATATGATATTACCTATAGGTGTTCTGTTGATACCTTTCATCAGATCGAGGAGTTTCTCTATTCCTAGTATGCTGAGAGTTTTATCATGAATAGGTGTTGAATTTTGTCAAAGGCTTTTTTCTGCATCTATTGAAAGAATCCTGTGATTTCCCTCCCCCTGCCATATTGTTAATAAGGAAATTATATTTATTTTTTTCAAACCTTAAACCAAATTTACATTCTATGCACAAGCCCCACTTGTTCACAATGTATTGTGTTATTAATATTTTTCTAAGAATTTTTGTATGTATGTTCATGAACAATATTGTTCCGTAGCATTCTTGTATCATCTCTGTCTGGTGTTGGTATTAGGGAAGTGCTGGCCTTGAACTATTTTCTGAAAGTTTATATAAGACTACTGTAAATTTTTTCTTGAATATATTAGTAAAACCATCTGGGATTGGAGTCTTGTTTGTGGGAAGGATTTTAAAAACAGTCAATAATTTCTTTAATAGGTGTAAGCATTCTTATTTCTAGACTTCTTATTTCTTTAATAAGTTGTGTAATTCATGGAACTTGTCCATCTTATCTAAATTGTTTCATTTACTGTTGTTCAGTTCATAATATTCACTTATTCTCTTAATATTTTTTACTCCTGATATTGGTAATTTGTATTTATTTTCTTGATTAGTATAGCCAGGGGTTGATCAGTTTTGCTGATCTTTTATTAGAACAAATTTTTGACCTTAATTTTCTTTTTTCTCTATCTTATCAATTCTTATATATATTCTACTTGCTTTGGGTTTACTTTACTTCTTTTTGGAGCTAATACATGGAACCTCAGATCCCTGATTTAATACATTCTTTTCTAAAATAAACACTTATGGCTGTAATTTTCCTCTGAGCATTTAAGCCCTGGTTTAGCTGCGTTCCATGCATTTTAGTGTTTTATTTTAGTTATAGATCAGTTCTAAATATTTTCTAATTTCCTTTGATTTCCCTTTTGTCTTGTTAGAGGTGTATGGTTTAATTTCCATATTTTTTTTTTCTAGAGCTCTTATTGATCTTTGATTCCATTGTGGACTGAGACCATACGCTGTATGATTTCAAACTTACGGGTTTATTGAGACTCGATTTATAGCCCAGAACATGATCTATCTTGATGAATGTATCATGTATGTTCTGAAGTTTGTTGATGAAGTGTTCCATAAATGGCATTTAAGTCAACTTGGCCAAAAGTATTTTTCAAATCTCAGTCCTGTTTAAGTTTTAAATCTGGTTTTCTATCAATAACTGAGCGAGGAGCATTAAAAAAATCCAACTATGATTATGTATTTGTTTTTCTTTCTTATACTTCTATCCATGTTTGCTTCTTGTACTTGTAAGTTCTGTTATTTGGCTTATACGTATCAATCATTGCTTTGTCTTCCTGAGGAACTGACCCTTCTATAATTCTAAAATGTCCTTCTTTATTGATGGCAGATCTTTTTGGAGTACCTTTATCTAATCTTAATGTAGTCACTCTAGTTTTCTTAGGCTTCCTATTTGCATGGTATATGTTCTTCTATAGATTTACTTTAAACCTATCTATATCTTTATACGTAAAACATTGTCTCTTGTAGATAGCATGTAGATATGTTTTGCTTTTCTTAACCAGTCTGACAATCTCTGCCTTTAACTGGAGCGTTTAGTCCATTTACTTTAATGTAATTATTCATATGGTTAGGTTTAGGCCTACCATTTTGCCATTTGTATTCTGTTTTTCTTATTTATGTTTTGTTCCTCTGATTTTCCTTACCTATCTTTTGTGTTTATTCTTTAAAACTCCATTTTAGGCTGGGTGCGGTGTCTCACACCTGTAATTCCAGCACTTTGGGAGGCCAAAGTGGGTGGATCATCTGAGGTCAGGAGTTCAAGACCAGCCTGGCCAACATAGTGAAACTCCATCTCTACTAGAAATACAAAAAATTAGCTGGGCATGGTGGCGGGCATATGCAATTTTAGCTACTCAGGAGGCTGAGGCAGGAGAATTGCTTGAACCCAGGAGGCAGAGGTTGCAGTGAGCTGAGATCATTAAAACACACACACACACACACACACACACACACACACACACACACACACACACAAATTAGCTGGGCAACTTGGGAGGCTGAGGCAGGAGAATCACTTGAACCCAGGAGGCGGAGGTTGCAGTGAGCCGAGATGGTGCCACTGCACTCCAGTCTGGGTGACAGAGCGAGACTCTGCCTCCAAAAAAAAAAAAAAAAAAAAAAAAAAAACCCAAAAACTGTCCATTTTAATTTAGCTGGCTTTTTCTTTTAGTGGTTGTTCTAGGGATTACAATATCCTTTTCAGTTTACTTTGAGTTTATATTATACCATCTCACCTAAACTGTACTTTGTAGCCATCTACTTCCATACCTACCTCATACTTTATACAATAGCTGTGTGTATATATGATATTATCCACATATAAGCCCCACAATTCAGTGTAATAATTGTTGCTTTAAAAATCATATTTTTAAATTAAGAAAAATGTACTTTATGTTTGCCCGTATATTTTCTATTTTCGGTTCTCTTCATTCTTGAAAATCCAAGTTTGCATATGATTTTTCCTTCAGTGTGAAGAATTTTTAGCATTTCTTGTAGAATAGGTCTACTGGCAATTTTCTTAGGTTTTGTTTATCTGAAAATGTCTTTATTTTGCCTTCATTCTTGAAAGATGTTTTGGCTGTATATAGAATTCTGGGTTGACTGGGTTTCCCTGCTACCTCCAACCCCAACACTTTAAAGATGTCATTACACTTGACTTTTTGCCTCCACTGTTTCTGATGACAAGCCAACAACAATTCCTAATTTTGTTCTACATATAAGATTTCTTTTTCTAGCCGCTTTCAAGATTTCTCTTTAACTTGGATTTTTAGCACCTGAGTGTGGTTTGCTAAGGTGTGGTTTATTTGTATTTATCCTGCTTAGGACTGACTAAACTTCTTTAATGTGGAAATTCACATTTCTCATCAAGTTTGGAAAATTTAGACTATTATTTGAATATTTTGTGATCTGTCTCCATCTTACCTCTTTCTGGGACTCCAATTATACCTGTGTTAGATCTTTTGATATTTTCCCACAGGTCATTTATTGGTGGGGTGGTCAAATCTGCTTTTAAGCCCACCCAGTGAAAAGCATGAATTATTCTGATACCCAAATCTTTTTAAAACACTATCCTTACTATGTCAGTATTTTAAGAATCTACAGGATGCATATAATGATGAGATATATATATATATATATATATATATATATATATATATATATTTTTTAAACGGGTTCCTTCCTGCCTATTAAATATACACCAAGTGCTTTATCTTGGCACTCAAATCTTCAGTAGCTGTGTGTATTATTTGTATATGTGAATGATTGCTATGATTGGCAGGCAGATCAGAGCTACATGGCTGGAGAGTGTGACGGAGTAATTCTCAAGGAGAGGAGAGGGGTGATTACTTGTGACCAAATACTAACCCCCACTGTTTCCTCCCTGACAACTGCCACATCAACTGGCCTGTCCATGCTTCCTGTTTTATTCTTTTACATCATGTTTGGGCTCTTATATAGAGTATGTCTGTGTCCTTTAAAGTCTGACAGGAGAGTGTTTATTTCCCCCAATTAAATTTTAATCTCTGTGACAACAAGGTTATAAACATGGAGAATACCAACAAATTCTGGAACAGATATAAACATGGGTGTTTCCTAACACTCATATCAAACCTAAAGTCAGATGCAAGATGTTTTGATGTGTATGGCTACTTGAAGACCTCTTTTCAGGCAAAAGAATGATGGGAAGGAAAAAGTGTGCTTGGTTGAAATAAAGGGTGACCATGATGGGCAGTTTCTGACTTTAGCACTGGATTAGGCTGCCCATTCTGAGTTATTACCATGATTTGTCAATGACAGTTCAGCGGTATGGAGACTACTGCATACTTTTTTTTCTTTCTCTCTCTCTCTTTTTTTTTTTTTTTTTTTTAACAGGGTCTTGCTCTGTTACCTAGACTGGAGTGTGGTGGCACGATCTCGGCTCACTGCAGCCTCCACCTCCCGGGCTCAAGTGACCCTCGTACTCAGTCTTCCAAGTAGTGGGGACTACAGGTGTGCGCCACCACACCCGGCTAGGTTTTGTATTCTTTGTGCAGATGGGGTTTTGCCATGCTTACTAGGCTGGTCTCAAGCTCCTGGGCTCAAGCAATCTGCCCAGCCTCCCAAAGTGTTGGGGTTACAGATCTGAACCACCACACCTAGCCTACCTTATAACTTTTGCATATTCAATGCATCTGTGACAGGGATATTACACTTTAATAGCTACCATCTTAAATCTCTTCAGACCCATTAATGCTATTTGAATTACTATCCTTATTCTTATAGAAAAAATTATTACAATAGCTCACCTTCACTTAATGGACTTCAGAAAAAAATGATTAACTGGGTAAGGTTTCTTTTAGACTTACAGAAAAATTTTTAGATGCTAATAAAGTATTTAATGACTGTTAGAGTCAGCACTACAGGATAAGTAAGAGTGAATAACAAAATTAATGCAACTTAAATTTATAAGAAAAGAAACAAACCTCAAACATTTTTATTCATAATTTATTTTCACACTTTGTCAATGATAATACTTTCAGGTACTGTTATGTAAGTGTAATCAGCATTTCCCCTGGGCTTCTTTTTGCTACTACTTCATATGCTGGCAATTTTGCTAAAGGGCATTGCCCAGGAGAGGATGGGGAGATGTCTTCAAACCTATTTGGAAATAAAGCAAATAGTTCTGATAACTATACAGAGCTGAAACATATAAAGAAGCGCTTCAGGTTATCAGAATAAATGTATCATTCATGCCTTTGCCCATGTAAATGTCATAGGTGAAGTCAGGTACTTTGCTGCTATCAAGGTAGCAAACACAGGGAGGGACCCTGTGTTGTGCCTTGGTTCAGCCACATCTTTCTGGGATGTCCTTGAGGGAGCTCCCTACACGAGGAACAAGAGAACGCAGGAGAACAGCATGTCACTCTAGCTAAATCTGTGATACACACTCCCCAGCCCTAGTCTCCTGAGAGGCACAGAACTAGGCTCCTGAAAGGCATAAAAGGGGCAACATGTACAAACTCTGTGGCAGACCCTGAATTTTGTAGCCACCAAACCAACCATTCCTGCCATCATGAGCACCAGACTAGATCTGTGGGTCCCTGCTGGCAGTTTCCTAAGGTGCTTCAGCTGGGCCCAGAGGCACCACTTCCCGGAGCAGAGCTGAAGAGCCCCCTGCAATTGCCTATCATTCCACCAAAATGGACATCAGCATGGGCAGCAATCCAAAGGGGACTTATTTGGCCACTTTCAAAAATACCATTTAGCGTTACCACATGGTTTCTAACTTGGTTCAATGGGACTCTGAGCACCGTGTCCCCTTATGTAATCAAATGTGCAACTTTTACCTGTTTTATACATATAGTGTTCTTGTAACTTTGTCTTTAGAATAAATGTAGAAACCACCACTCTGGGGAAATGAGCATCTTCAAGTGTTGAGAGGCCCTGGAAAGAATATCAGAGGCCCTTGAAAGCATCTTTTCAGATGTGTGGTTAGCTGTGGAGGGAAGAGGCCCCCTGAGATATTATCACCAAGTAAGACTTAGGATGGTCCATGACCTCTGACAGCATGGCCAAGCCTCATGCTAACCTAGTGCCACCTCCCTCATCCCCATGGTAACCTTAATGAAACAGAATACAAATACCACACAAAATGATCGAAGGAAATGGAGAATCAAACTTCCCAAACCTTATGATCCTAGGCTTACTCCAGTGATATGAAACCTTTCTATTTGTCTTCAAGGATGAGATAGAAACTTTTTTCAAATCTTTTGCAATGATTCTAATTGAGTGGATCAAGAATCTGAAAAGACCAATGTGTACACGTCTCAGATTGGATTCCATGGGAAGCAGATAGAGTTAAGGATGCAAATGGTTTTGGGAATTTCCCTTCCTTGAGGGGCCTGAGCTGTACTTTGTTCTGCTGAGAATGGCCTTCTCCAACAGCTGTGTCCCACTCTGTTTCCTGGGCCCTGAAGCAGCTCTTTGTGTCCAGAGTGTCCTCAAGCTTCTCATGAGCCACTCTTGTTGGTTTTTATGCCCCTATGCACAGGTGCTCAAACCTGATACAAGGGGCTGGGAGAAAAGCTTTCTCCACACTGACCCAAGCTCCATTTTGGTCTACTTTCTCTTCACTCCTTCTTGCCTGTCCAAACATCTTCCCTTTCTTACAGTTAGGAGGCAAAAGCCCCTGTAAGTCAGCAGGTGCAAAGAGACTGAAGTTATGGAAAGACCTTGTCCATCAGCCCAGCTCAGCCCATCCAAACACCAAGAGATAAGGGCTACTTGTCATTCACATGGAACTTTAGGTAACCCTTGACAGAGGGAACTCATCACAAGCTCCCCTTTCCCTGATACCACAAGCTCACATTCAGTACTTCCTACATTTCCAACTTCCAGATAAGATAATTTAAAAGCAAACTCAGGGCCTTGCGTGGTGGCTCACGCCTGTAATCCCAGCACTTTGGGAGGCTGAGTTGGGCAGATCACGAGGTCAAGAGATTGAGACCATCCTGATCATTATGGTGAAACCCCGTCTCTACTAAAAATACAAAAATTAGCTGGGCATGCTGGCATGCACCTGTAGTCCCACCTACTCAGGAGGCTGAGGCAGGAGACTCACTTGAACCCAGGAGAAGCAGGTTGCGGTGAGCTGAGATCGCGCCACTGCACTCCTGCCTGGCAATAGAGCGAGACTCCATCTCAAAAAAACAAAACAACAAAAGAAAGCAAACTCAGTCTTTGGTAAATGGATGCCTTGCCACAGGTTAAAATGAATCATCAGGGTGAAGATGCTGTGAATTCTTAAGAGAAAGCCCTGTGCTATTGTAGAGAAGTCTTTTTAGGTCTCAGGATCCAAAGTGAATTTGTTTAGGATTATAAACTTTTCTAATGGAAATATTTAGTAGTGGTGGGGGTACCTACCACCTATGCTTTAGGGAAGACACTGGGGTCATTCTGGAAGACTCTTCCCATGGGATGGCTCCCAAGACATATGTGTCTGCATGGGGAAAGACTTTAGGTACTGAAAGCAAGACCATAGAGATCTCTCTAAAGAGGGCTGGATTCCAGGCTTTCCCACCCTAGCTTTTCTCCTGGTCTCTAGGGTCTCTGGGTTACACCCATAGCTTTTGTAGACCACAGATAACAATGGTAGGTAGGTAGAGATGAAGCACTTTGGGTTAACCCAACACTCCAGTTTATAATGATTTCTGGCTTGTCCTCATAGTGAATGTGGAGCTAAGTGATTAACAGCTACTTTGAAAATCAGCACCAAGATACTCAATTCTTAAATGACAAGGGGGCAGATGCTAAGGCTCTAGGCTCTAAAAAAAACAGCAAATGTTCCCCTTCTGTGGGGGGAAAAAGAGTGAGGAAAGAAGTAGCTTGCAAAGGTTTGCTAGTTTTGAAGATTAGCTTTTACCTTACATCACCCAACTCAAATTCCTGTGCTGCCCAGCCTGTGGGTAGGGCTTTGGCTTGAAGCTGCCAGATTACCTGGGAACTCTTAGCTTCTCAGCTGCTGTAAGCTGTGATGGCAGAACTCCCTCTTCTGACATATGATTTCTGTGCAAAGTTTGTTCTGTAATGCCTAGGAGTGCCTAGTACGGAGTGTGGCTCAGCACCTCTGACTATTCACTTGACTCCTGTCTCCTGAATCAGTTCCTCCGGCAAAGGGTTGGTGGCATCATTTGACAGAAAAAGGGCAAAGCTTCTGTACTTTGCTCCTGACCAGTCATCTAATTCTTAATTTACTAGGTTCAGTATCGCCTTCATATGTTGATGTGGGGGTGAATTCATTTTCTATTGCTATGTTATAAATTACCCCATAGCAGCTTAAAACATCAAACATTTATTATCTCACAGAGCTTTTGTGGGTCAGGAATCTGGGAGTGGCTTAGCCATTGGGCTCTGGCTCAGAGATTTTCATGAGCCTGCAGCCACACTGTCACCTGGCACTGTACTCATCTAAAGCCTGAAGTGAGAATGGAGTCTGCTTCCGAGTTCACTCACCTCGGCATTAGCTAGGCCTCAGTTACTTGCAGGCGGTTGGACTGCAGGCCTCAACTCCTCACTTGTTGTTGTCTGGAGGCTTCGGTTCTTTACCACTGGAGCCTATCCAGAGCTGTTGACTACATGGAAGCTTGCTTCTCCCAGAGGAATTGATTCAAGAAAAAGAGTGAGGGACAGAAGCCAGTCTTTTTATAACCTAGTCCCTTCTGCCATATGCTGTCAGACACAGGCCAATCCTGGTACAGTGTGGGAGGGGATTTTGCAAGGGTGTGAATACCAGGAGGTGGGGATTGTTGGGGACCATCGTAGAGACTGCCATCCACAGTGGCCATTGGAAGAAGAGCTTAGAATCAAATTCAGACACTGCTGTTGACCTGTCTTCATCTTTGGTGGCTCTCTAAAGTAGCCAGTGTGAATCTCAGTCTACAAACCCAGGTGTATAAAAATGAAACAGCTTTCATTTTGAGCCTTCCCGCCACTGGGCTTTAGGAAACTGTAACTTCCCTTTTTCTTGGGGGAGCCAAGGTATTGGGAGGGCTCTCCCTGGCTATGAGCATTTGTTAACCCATTTTCCTACTGTGATATCTAGTGTCCTGGGGGCTTTCTTCTGCTTTCAGGCTGTAGCTGGGAATTTATCAGCACAGCCATGTAGTATCTCATCTGCCTGGATGTTCCACAGCCCTTTCCTTTCTGAGGTCTGGCTGCTTCTCAGGTGGTTTTTCCTGGGAAATGGGAAACAGGTTGCCTCCACCATGGGACCCCCAGCCATCTTTGCTTGTTTTTACTTCCACATCCCAGAAAAACTCTTTTTAGGCTATTTCCTTCATTTTTCTGACCAAAATGTCTTTCTTGAGAATTCTACCCTGACCCCAGGGGATTTAAACTTTAGAAACAAGCCCTGTAGAGTCCTAGGTTACTGTGACTTCTGTCTTGAGGCAATGAACACAGGACTGCCTACGTTCTTGAAAGGCCAAAACACAGGAAGAAAAGAAGATGAAATATCCTGCCATGCCAGTGTGCTTTCTGTCCTTCAGGTGGCTGGACTGCACATTGCCTGGAGTCTCACCATCACGCCTTTGCTGTGCTGGCCCCAGGTTTGGCAGGCATATACACACCTGCCTGCAGCTCTGAGTCATGTGCTTCAGTCCCTCTCTTGATCTTGAGACTTGTCTCCTTTCTGACACCTTTATTCCCTGACCTCAAGCTCCAGAGATCATCATTCCTCATCCAGCATTTTATAGAACTCCCTTTCCCTCATTGCTTATTCTCTTTAACCTGCTCAGCATCAATTCAGAGATCACAAATTGACAGCCTATTTGCTGAATCTGTCCTGAAGATATAGTTTGACCCATGAAACTTCTTGTTTTTAATTTGAATTCATTGTCAGCATTTAACAACGGGCATTTCACATAAACTTGGGCTTCTGGTTTGCACTGAAAAGTCATATCTAGGAACAACAGACCCACATTCCCATGGAACAATAGTTGGCTGGTGCTGCAGCAGCCACCTTCCTTAGGTGGGTCCCGCTGTCTCCAGCTTGGCACTGTCTGCACCTGCCTGCTTTGCTCTTCTACCTGCTAGACCTGAGTCTGAGCCCCTTGCTCTAGTTTCTTGTGTAGTCACCTTGCCTCTTACAGGCTGATTGTCCTGGATGCTGCCCCTTTCAATATAATGATTGCCTTACATTGGGCTAAACTGGATACAAAGAGAAGGAAGTGAAAACCATGTCATCTACGTAATAAAAACTAGAAAGGGCATTAAAAAGCAATTGGCCCTGTCAGCTAATTTCATCTAGAAATTTTCTGCTAGAAGTTCAATTTACTCTCCAATATTTATCTGATTTAGGGAAGCAAGTACAAAAGCCCTGGGGCAAGGGTGTAGGAGGGGGCAAAGTAAACAAGAGAGAAAGTAGTAGGAGATGAGACCAGGGAGTTCACAGGAGGCTAGGGTGTGACTGCGCAGGTGAAAGGAAATGGTCGGGTTCTGGTTTGCCAAGAGATTGGCATTTCCATGGGCTCCATCAAAATGAGGTCTCCCAATCCATTCTGCACTATGGGGCTGAACGGGACTCCTGAAGCTCACTTTTGAGAACACTCGCAGGAGAAGATGTAAGCCCACCTTTGATTTCCCATGCTTCCCAGTCACCCTTTTGCAGAACCTGTGATCTGAAGACTCAGTAAGCTGAGCAGCATGCCTGAAGTCATAGTCAGCAAGTCCAGGTTTAGGCCTTGGCATCCAGAATACAGAATTTCTGGATTCTCCAGGGATGACCTTTGCCCCAGAAGCTGCCCAGGATCATTAGAGAATTGCAAGACCTCTGGGAGTTCTCTCCGTGGAGTGGAGTCTTTCCCTATCTCTCTCTGGCTGTTCAGGGCAACCCGGCAATTGTATAACCCATTTTCTTGACTCATAGCCCTAAATTTCCTTCTGCCCAGTTCTTTCTGTACCTCCTAGTTTCTCCTCGTGACATCCCTGTGTCTAGAATGGCTCCAGTATGAGCAGATTTGGCTTTGGAGGCTGTTTTGCAAACCAAAATGAAGAGCCTGCTTTCACGTGGCTTGCAGGAACACCCTGCGAGTGAGCTTCAGCAGCAGCAGTTGCTTCATTCAATCCTAGGATACAACAAATGCTCCAAACAGGGCCACACATGCCTAGAAGTACAGCCCGTTTCTCAGAGCCACCCAGCAAGCGGCCATTTAATCTCAATTGCTCCCCAACAGTGTGTGCCAATTAAAGAGGAAGCCAGCAGGGCAAGGATCACTGGCGAATCTTTTGAGGGAAGGAGACCCCAGGGCTGCCTAGCCAAAGGCTCTCCCCCTCCATTCACACACTGTGCAAGAATGCAAACGGTGGGGCTGCCAGTTGGATCGAGGGCTGCCCCAGAAACGGGAGCTGAGATTCAGTCCAGATGGCAGCTAGAGTGGCAGCGCCACAGAATAGTATCCCCAGGGCTCGAAACTTCCAAAATGAGATTTACAGTTCTGGCCCGCCCCCTTTCGGGAGGAAACACCTGCTCCAGCAGCTTTGTGAACGGCCTCTTATTATCAACTTCTGTGCAGGGATCAGATTTTTGCAGCTAACTAGTGCCTGGTGTGAAATAAAAGCTATTTTGAGGTGGGAGGAGTTCTCAACCTTTCCTCTTGGAATTTTATGTCTTCATTAATTTCTCTCTCATCCATTATTTCCAGGTCTGCTTTCTTCCACAATTATTCCTTCTCTAGCTGCTTTTCCTTTCTAAAACTTCAGAACAGTGCTTTGGAGACCAAGCTAGGGCTTACTAGTAGTTCCCAACACTTCCTGCCCATCAGAATTATCAAGGGCACACAAATGTTATGCCTGGGCCACTTTCCAGCTCACTTAAGTCAGAATCTTTAGGGGTAGGTCCCTGGCATAGAAATATAAGTTCCTTAGCTGATTCTAATATGTAGCCAAGGTTCAGAACTACAGGCTACACAAATGATGCTTAAGAAGTAAGACAGAGTTGGACAGTCCTGATGAATTGAGGTTTAGCTTAATACCTGCCTGCAAGTCTCTAGAAGCAGGATTTAGTCCCAAAGATGAGCTGTGAGGAGCTGGATTATTTTTTCTTGGCTTTTCTCTTGTTATATGAATGATACATGTTCATTGAAGATTTAGAAAATGCAGAAACAGAAAAATCTATAACCATTCAGAACTACAGTTAATATTTTGGTGTATATTTTAATGTATGTCTCTTTTAAGCTAATTTTTATGCACATGTACAGAGCTGCTTGAATGAAAAATGGGATCAAACTATGTACCCTAGTAACCCTTTTAAAATTATGAGTCACTTTCTATGTGAGTAAATACAACATGGAACACAATCTAAATTGGTGGCGTAGCATTGTTTAATCGGCCTCCTATTAATAGATTTTAGGCTACTGTTCTCTTACAATAAACACCATGATGTCTACTCTTATTGCCAAATTTTTGCCCACATATCCATGATATTTTTCTGATCTTTTCTCTCTGCTCATTGACTGGGTCATCTTGCCTAGTCCCGTAGCTTTAAATATACTCCAAATTCTAATATGCCAAAATATAGACAATTCAAAAATATTTTATTCAAAAGGAGTTATTATGATGCTCCTCTGGCTGCCTATACCTCATCTCCTATCTGCTTCTTGTATGTTTGTTTTTTTTTCATACCAGAAATCTAGACATCACCCTCAATTCTTCCTTAACTCCCACAGCAGAATCTTTCCCCATCAATCCCTGCACAGGACTTGTTGGTTCAAGTTCCACATTGTCCTGAATCTATCTACATCTTTGTATCTTCTATCATCTCCTACTCTAAGCCACCCTCAACTCTCATTTGGACTAAAGTTTTCACTCTTGACCTTCTTATATCTTTTCTTCATATTGCTACCACAATGATCTCCCTTAGGCCTAAATCAGATGATGGCATTTCCCACTTTGCAGAGTTTCATGGCTCTCCATCTTCTAGAATAAAATTCACGACTTCGTGTCATGATCCACAGGCCCTGCAGATCTAGCTCCCGCTTATCTTGCTAATCTCATCATTCTACTTCTCCACTTGATGACTAGGCTGTAGTCATACTTGTATTCTTTCCGTTCTTAAGTATGCTAACTTCTTTCCCCCCTTGGGACTTTGATACTTGCAGTGCAGCATCCACCTAATGCAAGGGGAACTCGTGCAAACATGAAGCTTATGTTTCTTGTTGTTCCACGAGTAATTAAATCCTTTGATCTAGGAGTACTTTGACCATGAAATGGTGGCAGGCTAATTTGTTAACTTGCAAGTAGGGTAAAATCTCAGACCCTTTACAATTATTGACATTCACCATGCCAGTGTTCTTGGGAGGAAACCTTAACTCAGAGGAGGTCAAATATGCCTGGCTGCTTACTGAACACATTGCTTTTGAACAGACCTGGCAAATCACTTCTCAAGTACTATAGCTTCCCCCATCCCCTTCCCCACTATACCCACTTTCAACTGACTATTAAACCATACTGCACTAAAAATTTCAGCTCTAATCAATGGAAGAAGCAGGAGTGATTATCTCTCAACGCTCATAGCAGTCCTATTTGGCCTATGAGTAAAGTGGGTGGCTCCTGGGGACAAATGTTGGCAATCATGGCTTTTCACCAAACTAGACACAGTGAAAACTATTTAGGAAGTGCAACAGATTGAAAATGTGACAGATTTGACGAATGCTTGCTTTTCTGTATGAATTTCAAAAGGAAGCCAGGCACAATTCATTTTCTTACAGGAAGAAATGCAGTATGCATTTCTGAATTCTCCAATGTATGCTCACAACCTGGTGAGAAGCAATTTGGATTTGGTTACTATCAAAAGTTGTTTTTCACATTGATATTATGATGACCTCCTTTTCAAAAGAAGCAGGCAGGGAAGACTGGAGAACTCCAGTAGCACATATGACCAGCTGAAGATGGTTACTTCACTTGTTCCTATCAGTTCAATTTGGGGAAATAATTTGGGCAAAGATTATGCAGACAGGAAACATTACTGCTCAGGGTGCTATTTGTTTCTTAGAATTTTATCGTGCTTTTTAACAAAGACAAGTGCGAACTGGTGACTTTACCTCGTGTGTCTAAACTAAGACTGCCTCTAAATCCTGCCCAGCTGCCTACATGTATAGTTCCATAATCCTTGGCTTGTCTGACCCCCTGCCTTCTCTTTCCTGTGAATAGACAAAGACATGGCCAGCCTAACCCTGCTGTCTGCTCTGGGGTCGGCAGTGTAGCTGAATCCATGGATCTAAATTCATTATCTGATTTGAGACAGACAATGAATGGGCAAAAGGGGAAATCGTGACAGATGGCGATAGAGCACACAAATAGACGGTGATGCCAGGAAAGGATGTCACTATCTTCTCAAGACTGCATCTTGAGCTGGGTGCAGTGGCTCACGTCTGTAATCCTAGCACTTTGGGGTGGGTGGATCACTTGAGGTCAGGAGTTTGAGACCAGCCTGGCCTGCATGGTGAAACCCCATCTCTACTAAAAATACAAAAATTAGCCCGGCATGGTGACAGGTGCCTGTAATTCCAGCTAGTTGGGAGGTTGAGGCAGGCAGGAGAATCGCTTGAACTCAGGAGGCAGAGGTTGCAGTGAGCTGGGATCGTGCCACTGCACTGTATATAGCCTGGGTGACAGAGTGAGACTCTGTCTCCAAAAAAAAAAAAAAAAAAAAATTGCATCCTGGAACAAGAGAATAATACAGTTAGGTGTTTGTGGTGCCAAACCATGGCAGATTCTGGGAGAAGCCCCTGGATTTGCTTTCCCTTGAGAAAATTTGGACTGAAGCTAGAATACAAGGTATGCTAATTACTTGCTTGATCGATTGACAGGGTTTCACTCTGTTACTCGGGCTGGAGTGCAGTGGCGCAGTTAGTTCACTGCAGACTCAAACTCCTGGGCTCAAGCAGTCCTCCCACCCCAGCCTCCCAAGTAGGTAGAACTACAGGATCATGACTGACCCAAGGAATAGTTTAGAATTTTACTAGGTTAATTAGAGAAAATATACCAATCAATAGCCCTTTGGTCAACCTGAATGATAGCCGGCTGGATCATTATTTGGGTAGCTTTTGTTTGTTTTGGTTATGTTTGTGATATTGGTTCTTTTGTAGCCCTTAGCTTTGAACTTGCATGTACCTGGCAGCTGATACATTGTAATGTTGTAATTCAGGGTGGCATCTAGGTAAAGATATAAAAAAGTTGCATCTTACTGCTTACACAGTGTCTCAGAATTCACTTTGCTTTTTGACTATACCAGATGTGGATGTGGATGAAAAACCATGCAATCAAGCATTCAGGAATCAGAAGGGTGTCCACGAGGGTGAATACCTATGTGATATGGTCACCCCATCCCACTGGCTCCCCTGGAACTTTGGGATGGCAGATGGGTGGTGCTGTATAGTGAAACCTGGAAGCTTGGGTTTGTGAGAACTTGTTTCTTGGTTGCAAGGGTATGATCATGGCCTGGGACCAGTGGAACTCAAAGTTTACTGAGCAGTGGCCTTTAATGACCACCTCAATTAAGAAAAATAAGTGATATTTGAGACAAAGGATGTTTTTGCTTGGAAGGTTGGGGAAATGACACCATTATATTAACTGATGTATGATGTAGTAAGCATTACTTTAATCTCTGTAATCATTATAGAGTATAATAAAAGATTTCTAGCTTCATGTATAGAGCTAAATGAAAATCAAGCCAATGTAGCAGATGATCTCCAGGATGAACAGGATGAAAAGATGTTTCGGGAAGTAGTCTTAAAACCTCCAATTGATGTAATTCCCATCAAAACTTGCCAAAAGACACCATGGAGTTGAATGCTTCTATCGATATCTATTAAAAATGTGCAAACAATGGGTGGGGAGGGGGGAGAATATAGAAGGGAAGAGTGGAACAATTGGTACCATATTATATATCAGAACATTTGTGAATGGGGCAGAGTGTTGTTAACATGCTTTGCAGAAATAATCCCAACTCTTCATTGGAGGATGTAGATCTTAGTGGTTGTCTGTATTTTAGCATATTTATTTTGTTGTACAACAAATATGGTGGAAATTACTATATTAAGAATAAGAAAATACCTCAAACATGTATCAACATGTTTTAATGGGGATCAGGAAGTGAGCTGGAAGGAGGTTAGCAGCTGCTTCTGTAGTATTTCCTTGAGCCTCAGGGATAGCTGAGGATCTTCTTGCAGCATTAACTCAAAGAATTGTTGGGATGATATGCTACTGATAACATAAAATCCATCTGAGGATTATGTACAGGTGTCGCATGTTGTCAAAATTTGTTATTGAATAATGAATAATTGATATTGAGATGCAGCTGCCCTAAAGAATCAAGACTAGTCATATGCCTGAGGGGCTGTAAGGCCAGCTGGCATAAAGCCGAAAGAGCTCAGAGCCCATGGCTTCCCTGAGCTGGGGTCAGCAGCAGTCACTCAGTCTCGTCTCTTATGACCACACATGTTCCGAGTTCAGAATGGCTGGGACACCAGCAGCTGTGCCCAGGAGTCACAGGACCTATGCTCTGCCATTGCTGTGCATGCCAGGATATTTCATGCTCTCTATCCTTTATTAAAGCTAAACACACTTGGTGCTAGTTGAGGCCTGTTGTGTCTTATGAGATTGTCTATCTGAACCCAAGTCTACAGGGGCTAGTAGAATAGATATTGCAGTGACTTTATTATGTATTTTATATTGTTTTATTCTTAGTTGTAGTATTCATAGCCACAAGGAACAGTTAATGGAAAGTAGAAAGTATGAGGAAATTGATTTTGAAATATATGTTTAAAAAGAAAAATGATAATTCCTCAAATTTGCTTCAAGATGCTCTGCCTAGAACTGTAAGTTGCACTTATCTGATCAAGATCTTTATATAGCAGATCAACATGTCTCTCTGCTTAAGCAACCAGTGCTAAAAAGGAAATATGGTGAAAATTACTCCAATTTGGCTTTCTATTTATTGGGAATAAATACTATGCACATCTGTAATATGGTATTCATAGAGAAATACTTGCAAAAAGCAGCCTAAAACTTTCACTCAAATCTTGCCTGTCATTTAAAAAAAATCATGAAGGTTGTGATAAATATATATTTGGTATTACATAGAGGAAAACAACACACAGCTGGGCCCTTGGGAAGGTGGAGGGTGGAAGGAGGGAGAAGATCAGAAGAAATAACTAATGGGTACTAGGCTTAATACCTGGGTAATGAAATAATCTGTACAACAAACCCCCATGACACATGTTTACCTATGTAACAAACCTGCACATGTACCTTGAACTTAAAAGTTTAAAAACAAGTAATATATTTGATCTTTCTCCCTGGTTCCTGGCACACAGCTCCTAAAAACCCTTGGAATTCCCAGAGTGATAGGAGTAACTTTACTATGCTAATGAGATGACACATGGCTAAAGGGTTCACGGATAGCTTTAAGATGGAGCTGGTTGCGGAAAGAACAACTGTGTGATCAGAGGGCTGGAACTTTCAGCACCACCCCCAGCCCTCCAGGGCCAATGACTTAATCAATTATTCCTATGGCACTCCATTAAAAACTCTTTAATGACAGGTTTGAGAGAGTTTCCAGGTTGGTGAATGTATCTATATGCTGGGAGAATGGTGCACCCCAGCTCCATGGAGACAGAGCTCCTGTACTCGGGACCCATCTGACCTTGTTCTGTATACCTCTTCATCTGGCTGTTCATCTGTATCCTTTGTAATGTCCTTTAGGGTAAACCAGTGATAGTAAATAAAGTGCTTTCCTGGGTTCTATGAGCTGTTCTAGCAAATTTATAGAACAAAGAGTGGGGAGGGTTTGTGGAAAATTTTGATTTGTAGCTAAGTTGAACAGAAGGGTGGGTCACCTGGGGACTCAATACTTGCAACTGGCACCTGAAGTGAGGGCACTTTTATGGGACTGGGCCCTTAAACCTGTGGAGTCTGTTAACTACAGGCAGTGTTAGAATTAAACTGAATGGTAGGACACCCAGTTAGTGTCTGGATAGTTGGGTAATTTAGTGTGAGGAAAAAGCCCACACATTTGGTGTCAGAAGTGCTTGTGGGTAAAAATACCCCAGAATCTTATAAAAAGAAGTCAGTTGATTTTATCTCAACACACAATAATTCTAAACATCTAATATGGACTTCTATTCTTTACTAACAAAGATCATCCAAAAGTACTTGAAGCACTGAACATGAGTCATGAAACATCATGAAACATTTTGAGAGAGCAAAAATGATTTCATTCAAGTCCCAGCTCAGTTGTTACCTTTCTAGGGCCAGCCTGAATGACTGTGTCTTCCCCAGGCTCCTTCCCCTTGGTTATCTTCCACTCCAGATATTGGGATTCTTTTTCTCATTACCCCCTTCTGTTTTGTGGCTTATCATGTTCCCCTCCTATAATGTGAGCTTCATGTGGGCAATGGCAATCTCTCTTGTTTCACTACTGTGTCCCCATAGTGCCTAAGAATATTGTCTGGAACATGATAACCATTCAATGACAATTTGAACATATCAAATATATCTTAATCCCCCCATAAAGGTAGTTATTCTGTAACAATTAACAAAAATGGAGTATGATATGCATTTTTCCTGTAACACGGTATCTTAAAAAATGATGGCATGACACCAAGTATTTATATAGTCAGATCATACATACTATGCTTTGCAGTTAGACTACTTATGGTTCTATTTCATTGATTTAAACATATACTGGACTTTAAAACCAAAGACTGTGGAAACACTTTGCTCAGATCTCCTGCTGATGGGAGTGTAGCTGACTGACAACTCTAGCTACTACTTCTCTGGACGTGCCTCTGCATTTGGAAAGAAAGCATGCTCCCAGCCAAAGACCAAACATGACAGGATCCTAGTGGGCTTTTTTTTTCTTTCTTTTTTCTTTTTTTCTTTTTTTTTTTTTTTTTTTTTAGATGCACTGTCACTCGGGCTGGAGTGCAGTGGTGCAATCTCGGCTCACTGCAACCTCCACCTCCCGGGTTCAAGGGATTCTCCTGCCTCAGCCTCCTGAGTAGCTGGGATTACCAGCGCCCGCCACCATGTCCAGCTAATTTCTTGTATTTTTAGTAGAGAAGGAGTTTCACCATGTTGACCAGGCTAGTCTTGAACTCCTGACCTCGGGATCCTCCTGCCTCGGCCTCCCAACCTAGTGGGCTTTTCTAACTGGGAGCTTTTGCTTGAGGACTCCCCATTGACTGAGTTGAAAGTTTCTTGGAATAGCACTGCAGTCTTCTACTCTTCCTACTCTTTTCTTTATTCTCTCTGAGAAATTCAGCAATGGGAGACATTGGCCAAAAATTGGAGGATAAGAGGAAGGGAAAGGAAGGCCAAATGTTCCTCCTCTGCTCTGTTTCCTGTAGCACCGCTAGCAACATCTGTATCTCCTCTAGGGCTCCATCTCCCTCTGTGGTCCTGCATGCAACTAAGCTCTCCCCATTGAGTGAGCCTTTAGCCCCATCCAATGGTCACTGTAATCAAATTTTTATTGGCTTAGGGATTGACAAACATACAGTGGAACAGAAGGGAATTCAGAAAGAAATCCTTCTTTATGTAAAAATTTAATATGTCAAAATAATTAATAGGTTTGTAAGAGATTATATAATAAATGTTACGCCGGAAAATGCATGTAGACTTATCTTACTCTGTATAAAAAATCAAATAGATTCAAGTCTTAAAATGTAGTTTTTTTAAAGTAAAAAATCTTACAAGCAAATGTAGGAGAGTACAGGTGCAATCTGGGATGCTGGAATGGTTTGTAACTGTGTTGTTACTTTATCTATTGCTGCGTAACAAATTAGTCCAGAATTTTAGCAGCTTAAAACACCAAGTGTTTATTATCTCAAAGTTTTTAAGGATCAGAAATCTGGGAGTGGCTTAGCTTGGGGGCTCTGGTTCAGAGTCTCTCATGAGGTCGCAGCCAAGCTGTGGGTCAGGCCTGTAGTCATCAGAACACTCAACTGGGGCTGGAGGATCCACTTTCAAGCTTGCCCTTGGGGTTCCTGGCAGCTTTCAGTTCCTCGCTGGCTGTTGGCAGGAAGCCTCAACTTCTCACCATGTGGACCTCTCCATAAGGCTGCTCCCATTATGGCAGCTTGCTTCCCCCACAGTGAGAGATAGAGAACACAAGCGAGCACGCACCTAAGATGAAAGCTTTAGTGTTTTTGTCACCTAACCTTAGAAGTGACATCTTGGCCACTTTTGCCATGTTATATTCATTAGAAACAAATCACTACGTCCAGCCCACATGCCAGGGGAGGGGAATTAAGCCCCACCTGATGGAAGGAGTATCAAAGAATTCATAGGTACCTCTTCAATAGCACCACTAAGAAGAGAATCTCAAAAGCAATAAAAGAAAAAAACTGATTATATGAAAAATAAAACATTTGCATGGCAAAATACTATAAAAGTTCATAGACAAGAGACAGCTTGAGAAAATATTTGCAGTGCAGATAAGGGTAAATCTCTACAATATATAAAGAGCTCGTAAAATTTGACAAGAAATAGACAACCTGCTAGACAAATATGCAAAGGATATCAAATCAGTTAGAGATTGTGCTTGACTGCTGGTGACAGAGCCGTGCCTGTAGTGGCTTAAAGACTTGAGGGTGTGTTTGCTTTTGTAATAGGTCCAGAGGGTGGAGGTTGCTGGCATTGGTTCAGGTAACCAAATAATTTCTATTGGCTTAGGGATTGACAAATAAAGAGAACTCAGAGATTCTCTGAGTTCTTCTGTTATATATATATATATATATATCAGAATATATGTATAAAACAGTATATATAAATATATATACACACACACACATACATACATACATATACATACACACACACACACCTCACATGTCAAATTATTGAATTGCCTGAAACCCTAGTCAGTGACTTCTGTTTACATCCTATCCAAAAATCTAGAACTAAGCAGAGAATACTTTTCATCCAAACAATAGAAAACCCAATTAAAAGAAGATAAAGAATGAGGAAAATTCTTTACACAAGAGTCCTGAGGTTAGAAAGGTCCCAGTGTTAATTCAGTGGCTCCCTGCCAAGATTTATCCCAACTATTTCTATTTTTGGCTTTGCCTTCCATTGAGTACTTGCTTTTTGTTCCTAGGTATTCCCTCATGGACACAAGATGGTATAGCTGCAAGCATCATTTATCTAAACAGCAATACCAAGGGCTAGAAAAGGCAACTGTGTCTTCCACACCGGAAGCAATTGCGACAAGGGTAACGGAATTATCATGACTGAGTGACTGCATAGACCAGAGAGTCTCAGTGGGTGGGCCAGTGCTGAAATTGTATGCAGTTATGAGAGTTTGATCCTCTTGGTCCTAGCCTGGGTGGGACTTGGGGTGCACGGAGCCTCCTAGTCTATAGGAGCATGAATGGAATAATGGAAGCATTTAAAAGGTGCCATATAGAAAGTATATTATGTGTGGGGCCTTGTTATGAAAAAGGATAGGAAGCAATGGCTGAAAGGTATCCACAGTTCACCCCAGGGTGAGAGAAATTTATGGAACACTGGCCACCAGAGCTGGGACAATACTCTGGTCTTATTAGCAAGGAAAAGGAGGAGGCAATCAAATGTTCGCCATACCTATAAAAGGGCTAGAATCAGATCTAAATATTCTGTTGAGTATCATTAGAAACAAGACAATAGAGCTATTGCTTCAAAGTGGTGAAGACCCAGAAATTTATCCCCAATAAAACTGTTGCAGGTTGATGTCACTAGAAAGCAGACACTGAGATGAAGATTAGCAGATGATAGTTTTATTAGGGATCAGTACACGTTGGGGAAGGGAAGGAAGCAGAATTAGGCAAAGATACAAGTTGGGCTGCAATGCAACCCTAGAAAAGGCTTCAGTGGACCACAAGGGGAACTCTGAGGTGGGATGGCGCTTTGGAGTTGTCCCACACTGCAGTGAAGGACTGGATCTTTATACTCCCATATGGGCCAGTCATTGGGTGCTACAGGCAATTTTCTAGCTGAGGGCAATTTCTGGGGAAGATACATTTGCCAGCAGCACTCCTAGATGCTAGGGGAATAAGTTCTTCAGTCTTGAGGGCAATCTGGGGGCCACATCTCAGCATCTAGCACAGAAACTTATTTATCCAACAAATATTTATTCAGTACCTACTATGTGCTGTGTAACCATTCTAGGCACTTGCCATGTATCAGTAAACAAAAGAAACAAATATTCCTGCCTTCATCCACTTATTTTCTACCTGGGCAGATAAATCATAAATGTAATAAATAAATTATGTAGTTGTGAGAGGTGACAAAGTGCTAGCAGCCCTCGCTCGCTCTGGGCACCTCCTCGGCCTCTGCATCCACTGTGGCCGTGCTCGAGGAGCCCTTCAGCCTGCCGCTGTGCTGTGGGGGCCCCTCTCTGGGGCTGGCTCCCTCTGCTCCCTCTGCTAGTGGGAAGGTGTAGAGGCAGAGGCGCCGGTGGGAGCCGAGGCCTGCTGGGCTTGATTGAAGGCTGGGTCCCATGCGTGGACCACCGTTCCTTCTTCACGGGGTCATTGGCCACGATGGCAGGTCTCCATCTCTTTCTCGCTTCCCCCCTTTTCCTCTTGGTTGTCTGGGACGAGCTCCCTCTGGGCTGCCGGAGTGCCTAGGCTAGGTGCCACAAAGTCTGGAGGCGAGTGCCAGTGAATGGTGAAGCTGGATGGGCTTCTGGGACGTGTGGGGACTTGGAGAACATTTCTGTCTAGCTAAAGGATCGTAAATGCACCAATCAGCACTCTGTGTCTAGCTAAAGGTTTATAAATGCACCAATCAGTGCTTTGTATCTAGCTAATGGGGTAGGGACTTGGAGAACTTTTCTGTCTAGCTAAAGGATTGTAAACACACTAATCAGCACTCTGTGTCCAGCTAAAGGTTTGTAAATGGACCAATCAGCTCTCTGTCAAAACGGACCAATCAGCTGGATGTGGGTGGGGCCAGGTAAAGGAATAAAAGCAGGCCACCCAAGCCAGGATTGGCAATATGCTCGGGTGCCCCTTCCACGCTGTGGAAGCTTTGTTCTTTGGCTCTTTGCAATAAATCTTGCTGCTGCTCACTCTTTGGGTCCACCCCGCCCTTATGAGCTGTAACGCTTACCGCGAAGGTCTGCAGCTTCACTCCTGAAGCCAGCGAGACCACTAACCAACTGGGAGGGACGAACAACTCTGGACGCACCACCTTTATGAATTGTAACACTGACCATGAAGGTCTGCAGCTTCACTACTGAAGTCAGCGAGACCACGAACCCACTGGGAGGGACGAGCATCTCTGGATGCGCCACCTTTATGAATTGTAACACTCACCGCGAAGGTCTGCAGCTTCACTCCTGAGGCCAAGGAGCCCACGAACCCACCAGAAGGAAGAAACTCCAGACGCATCTGAACATCTGAAGGAAGAAACTCTGGACACACCATCTTTAAGAACTGTAACACTCACCGCGAGGGTACGCGGCTTCATTCTTGAAGTCAGCAAGACCGAGAATCCACCAGTTCCAGACGCAGTTGCATATCAGGGTCTGGCCAAGAAAATAAAAACCATCCTGGAATCTTCAGAAAGAAGGTGTTATAAACATGGGATTAATACAAATGTTGAAGGAGCTGGAGAGCCAAGTGAGCAACAACTGGAAACTGCTGCTATCTCTAGGGGCCAGAAGCACAAAAGGAAGAGGAAGGTTTACCAGAGCCAAGAAGTTTAGGCCATTGGAGTGGGCGCGAGGCTCAGTCTGGAAGGCACTGGACCACAGAGGAAGGGGATACGTGAAGGGAGATGGAGCCAGGGAGGGGACATAGAAGCTATTGGAAGTGCCACAAGAAGTAGAGGAGAGCAAGCACCCCAGCCTTCAGCCTTTCCCTGTCTCCCGCCCTTCAATCTTCAAGTGTCTCCCATTTGCTGAAGCTCCCAGAAGCCAGAGGGCAAGGCAGACTGAAAGATGCTCCCTGTGACACAGGTCAGGGGAAGGATGGGAACTCATCAGAGAACAAACCATCATTGAAGGACATAGTACACTGAAGAATGATAAGTACTACGGAAAAAAGAACACGAGAAATGTAAGGGAGGTGGGAGTGTTAGAATGGAGGGGAGCAGTGAGGTCAGGGAAGACCTCAAAGTGACATTGAACAAAGAATTAGGTGAGGAAGTAGCCAAGTGATTATCTAGGGGAAGAACACAGTATCCTGGAGAGAGAAGAGGTAGAACAAAGGTGTAAGGTGAGGTGAAAAGGTGCCACCCGCCCATGTTGGAGGAAGAGTGGGGTGGGTGGGAGGGTGGAGCAAAGCCAATGAGTTGTGAGCAGCAGCAGATGTGGCTGGAGAAGAATGGGAGCCAGCGAGGTAGTGGGGGCATCATCGAAGTTTGACTTTTCTTCTGAGTAAAATCAGGAGATATCGCATGATTTTAGTCAAAGGAGGGACTTTCAAATAAGTGGTTTAAATGCAGATCCTTTTCCAAATGGGTGGATTGAAAGCATACCGCCTACAGACTCTTACTAAAAAAAGACTACTAGAGACTGTAATTTAGGAAACAATTCAGGAGGATGTGGAGAGCTGCAATGATGGGTAAACTCTAGAGTAGACTAGGTAAGTATTAATTGAAGAAATGTTTTAAAAGAATGATCTGGAATTTGAATTCTAGCTGATTTCAATATGGAGGTAGAGCAGCAGGTGGTAGGACTAGCAAGGTATAAAAGCAGGTATGATTCTTGTTTTGGGGGGAAGATATATGTATTATCTTCCCCATTAGAAAAGTATATGTGGGTTAAATATTTAAAGGTTAAAAGCTTAAGGGTAAATCACTGAAAGAATCAACGTAGAACTTTCTAATTTGTAGAAGAAACTGGAACTAAGGAGATCTAATTCAACAGGAAAGGAAAGACCTAATTCAACAGGCAGGAAAGAGGTGTGTGTGGGTGGTAGAACTAGTGTAAGAAACAAAAAGCTTAGAAAAGAAAAACAACAAAAATAGAATGTTAAACATAGTTACCATTTGATCCAGCAATTCCACTCCTAGGTATCTACCCAAGAGAAATGAAAACACATGCCCACACAAAAAGTTGTACACGGACATTCATAGCCGCGTTGTTCATAATAGCCAAAAGATGGAAACAATTGAAATGTCCATTGATAGATGAGTGGATAAAATATATATATACTGGAATATTTAGTCATATAATAAAGTACTTTAAAGAAATTAAGTACTGCTGCATGCTACAGCATGGATGAACCTTAAACGTTATGCCAAGTGAAAGTATCTAGTCACAAAAAGACCACATATTCTGTGATTCCATTTATGCGAAATGTTCAGAATAGGTAAATCTATAGAGACAAAAAGTAGATTGGTAGTTGCTTGGGGAGGGTAGGATGAGAGCCATGGAGGTGATAGTTAAATGGTAGAACTACAGACAGAAATGGACAGGACCACAATAGTGACAGAAGGATTAGTATCTCTGAGTTGCTCTTACTGTTGGGTGAGGTTCATTCCCATGCATCTTTCACAGAGCCTGACATAGGGCATTTTGCTAATTCATTCATTAAACATTGATGGGGCATGAGGAAGTGCTGTGCACTAATGATGCAACAGTGAGTGTGATGGACCCATCTCTGACCTCGCAAGAGCACTAGATGGCTGTAGTCTCTTGAAGTGTTCACTGACTGAGAAACCCAGGGAGGTGTCTAATTAGAATGGATCTCCAATGCACAGGGTGTGTGGGGACGACCTGAGCAGAGAGAACGCCAGGCTACCATTTTAATTATACGTTCAATGCTGGTGATGTGGCATGAATTCTCTTTATCTTTCAAAATGTTGCTGCATACTTCTTTTCTTTTGTTTCACATTCCTTGAGACATAGGCATTCTCAGTTACTTGCAAAATGTTTAAAAACAAGGGCTTTGGTGGAGAAACAAAGCTGACAAAAATTTCTCTGATTTGATTACTCGACCAAGATTTAGCCTATTTTGATTTATACTTGAAAATGCAGATTCAGGTGTCCAAAGGCTCCGTCCTGGCTCTACCTCTGATTTAATTTCTGTGATTTTTTGCAAAGGTGACTTAGTCACCCTTGAGTGCTGAAGGCTGTATCAGCTCCAAGTATTTTTCACATCAAATTGGCATCCCTTCAAAAATAGAAAACATGAAAACACTTTTTTTTGATGGCAACAAGTTAATAGATTAATTTTCATTATTTCTAGCCCATAGTTTATAACCTGATCATGAAAATGAACCCTGGCTAATCTATTCTTTCTCTAGGGAGTCTGCTATTTATAGAGATTTGCATCCCTGTTGGGTTTTGGGGTTTGTTTGCCTCTCCTTCCTGTTAAGGGGAAGGCTCTTGCCAGTAACGTGCCGAGGGGCAGTTGGGCATGTGCCGTGTTCTGTTCCATTTGACCTTACCTCTCTGGCCATAGCTGTCTGGACCTTGAGTAAACTGACCCAAGTGTAATCCAACTATATACTAGTCAAAGACCTGAGTGACCTGGGTTGAAAGGATCAGCAGAGCCAATCAGATTCCTTTTTGGAGGGTGTGGTGTTAGCTAATAGAGATGGAGGCAGACAGTAGGAGGAGGAAAGAGGAGAGAACATGCTGGCAAACTGAATGGCACCATGACTAGCAAAGCAATGCAGTTATGAGGGGGGAGAAAAGGAGGTGTTTAAGGGCAGTGAGCCAAGTGTCAGTCATGCTTAGGTGTATGTGTATGATAGTGTCACTGTTGGCAGCCTCACTGCTTCCTAAGTCTCAGACCAAATTTGACCAAGTGTCCTGACTGTGCTAACAGATGTCTCACAGCCTGTCTGGAGTGGGAAGAAGTCTTTCTTGCTTTCCCCTGACAAGTCTATCAGTACTGGTATGAAAGGAACCCTCCCAAGCAAATGGGACATATTAAGGTTGGGAGGTGGCACTATCCATTTTAAAACAGGGAACCCCCAGAGGAGAGATGTCTATCTATTGAGCATGGTGCTGGTGACATGGACTGTTTGCTTTCTGATTTTTAATGCCATCTTCATGCAAGAGTGGGAGGTCCTTTTAGAGTCCTTCTGACCTATCCCATTTTAAACACTAATACCCCCAAACAAAAACCACTTCAGTTTCTAATAAACCCATCCTAAAATATTGATATAGATAAGATACACTTAGTTCCACACACATCCCAATCATAATGCTGAGACATTGTCAAGTCAGTCCCTCAAAGCACTATCACCCCAGCCTGTGTAGCAGCGCTGTGTAGTACAGGCACGTGGCCCTTTGGGATTCCATTTTCTTTTGTGAGCATGCTCACCTTGTGCCCACCTGTTATCTCAGATCATGCACTTTCATGCACATAAGTCCTTTGTGCTCAATGGCCATCTATTGTGCTGCATTCAACCCAGGCTCATTGAGAATGCATTCTAGACCAGACACTGTGCCACAGAAGTCTATTTAAAGTATTCACAGCTAGAGGGAAGGCAGTCAATTAGTTGGTTTATTCCTGGTGGTGTGTGTCTTCCCATCTCTAAAACAAGGAGTGCAGAAGTGCCTACTCTTCCTCTATTGTGTAATGGATGTTGTTTCCTCAGTATCCAAAGTGATAAAATATCCACTCAACATATTTCTTTTGCCTGTGCTAGGCTGGAAGTCTCCATAGTGGAGCTGGCTATTACAAACCAGGTACCCAACTACAGTACTTTAGAGCAGGCATTGGACTGCTCTGTCCTCTCTCCCTGGCCACCTCATTGCAGAAGAGGAAGTAAAGTGTTTAGAAAACAACTTCAAGTAAAGGGTGGGAGACAAGTACCTCCATGATGTGTGGGCTGTCATCACGGGGCTAAAGGTTGCTGCTCTAGGGATTCATTTGTTCATCAAAGGCAAGTGCTTCCATGGTGCCAGGTATCATTGCAGGGCTCTGTACATCAGTGAATGAGATGGACAGGTGCCTGCTGTCTTGGACCTTTCCTAGGGGGCACCTGGCAAACATAACAAAATGCTGAGTGTGGTGAAGTTTGCCTCACTTGCTGAGAACAAAACATGTTAGTATCTCCAGCTCTCCACTCTGAGGGACCAGCACTCACTGCATGCTTTCTATGAGGGGTCAGTCCAGTAGTAGGCCATGTCTCCAGCTAGAGATGGCTTCTGGAGAGAACAGGGCTGGTGATGCCCCTAACTTTGGATTTGGGTTTCTCTATCATCCAGGCTCTATCTGGGTTATTTCCCAGGGGAGACATTTCCCCACCTAACCTGGACCAAGGGAGGCAAACCTCCAGCTCCGCCCTTCCCAAGGGTGGAGCTGGGATATACCAAGGGTGTGGTCCCTCCAAGTCAGGCCCCTTCTCTCTCACACATGACAGTTTGTCATGGATGTACCCATGAAGTGTGCACATCAAGGCTTCCCAGCCTGGGTCTAAAGCATTGAAAAAACTACACAGTTTTATTTCTACTGCAGCTATAGGTTTTTCCAAAAGCATTTATTCACTGCAACCTTGTGTGGCTTTCCTCTCTTGCCTTTCCCTCTTTAGGTCAGGCCCTTGTTTCTCTCTGAGTGAGATGAGAGCATCCTAGCTGGCCTTCACATCTAACCTGGTCCCCTCCACAGAGCTGGGAGAATTCTTACCCTTAGGCGTTTCCACACCAAGTTCTTTTGTGTTTCTGGGTCGCTGTGTGCACTGTTTGGTTGAATGCTCTCCTTCACTTTCCATGCCTCTCTTCTACCCACTACATCAGGGAACATCTTTTATCCTTCAAAATCCACCTCCATCCCACCTCCTTGGGGAAGCCTTTGCTGATCTTGTGACAAAGCTGTTCACTTATCAGGGCTGGTTCTTAACCCTAACACATTGCCACCCAGGTTGTGATGGTTTGGTCACATCCTTGAGGCAGGATTCACATCTGGCCCATCCTCATCCTCATCGGGCAACCCCATGGGTCAAACATAAAGAGTATTGTTTCAGTTCAGGCTCCTCCCCAAATCAGACTCCAAGACAAGGCTTCAAGTTCAAGTAGTTTATCTGGGAGGTGAGCCCAGGAGGCAACAGGCAGGGAACTGGGAAAACCAAACAGAGGAGGGGAGAAAGTCAGCACAGGAGGTGTGATCAAGCCAGTGACAGCTGTGGGCACCCAGAGCTTAATCTCCTGCTGGGGAGCCTGGGGACAGTGCAGAATGCTGTGTCCATTAAGCTGGGTCATGGTACCCAGATGTTTGGTCAAACATTCTAGATGTTTCTGGGAAGGTGTTTTTTTGGATGAGATTAACATTTAAATTGGTGGACTTTGAGTAAAGCAGATTATCCTCCAACATGTGAGTAGGCCTCCTCTGATCCACTGAAGGCATTAACAGAAAAGACTTCCCAAGCAAGAGGGAATTGTGCCAGCAGGCCGCCTTATTTGAAGACCTGCTCCTGGTGGGCATTGGTTTCCCAGCACTTCCAGCCTGCAGGACATGTGGACAGAGGGGCTCTGGCAGTCACAGAAAGCCCTCAGGCAAATATTTTCAGGTGCTGGTGGTTAGAAGTCTGGCCCATGTGCTAGGAAAGCTGCCTCTGGAGTCTGGGTGGGGCCCTGACAGACCTGCCATAGCCTGTTTATTGAGTGGAGAGCTTCTAACAAGGCATTCTTCCACTGCCCTATATGAAACTGTGACAGAAGTCCATGGCCCGACTCTTCTTTTTTTTTTTCTTTTCTTTTTTTTTTTTTTTTTTGAGACAGAGTCTTGATCAGTCGCCCAGGCTGGAGTGCAGTGGCGCCATCTCTGCACACTGCAAGCTCCGCCTCCCGGGTTCATGCCATTCTCCTGCCTCAGCCTCCCAAGTTGCTGGGACTACAGGCGCCCGCCACCACACCTGGCTAATTTTTTTGTATTTTTTAATAGAGACGCGGTTTCACCGTGTTAGCCAGGATGGTCTCGATCTCCTGACCTCGTGATCCACCCACCTCAGCCTCCCAAAGTGCTGGGATTACAGGCGTGAGCCACTGCGCCCAGCCCATGGCCTGACTCTTGAATGTTGGCCCAAACTCTCTACCCTACTGCTTTCCCACCTCTGAAATAGAACAATATCTCACAAGACTGCTGGAGAAAGCAATGATACAATAAATGCAAAACTTATGCACAGTATTTAGTATATACAGCACACTCCATAAATGATAACTACTATTATTAGCTATTGGAGCCTCAACCTCTTCTTTTAGACTGCGGTCTCTAAAGCAGATGTTGGAACACTGGGTACTCGCAGCTGTCCATTCCTCCTTGTGAACACAGAGACAGACATGTGGCAAGACTGGACATAAGACTAACATGACCATGGAGAGGCTCTGCCCTTGAATTTGGGCAGCTTTTTTGCCATTTAAGGGTTTCTCATCAGTTCTAATCCTTTCTGACTGCCTTCAGTTTTGCCATTTCAATGGCCGTTAAACATAATGAAAGATCATGTACTCATTGTCAAAGATAGATAGCTATGTGATGAGTGAAAAGAAATCGACGCAGGAAATGGAAATAAATTGGGGAGAGTGATGTGAGCAGCATGTGCCTCAGGGTTCATGAGCTAGAAGCCCAAAAGCTTTCATGCCCATCTCTGTGTGCCCTGCCAGGAAGGAGAGCATTTGGTCCCCTTCTGCAAGCATGAGAAAGGATATTCACATTTACCCGTCGGGAGGGTAAAAATTCTCTGCAGTCATAACGTATTAAATGATTGGAGTGTGGCACCAGCATTTCAATAGGTGAATTGTAGAGCTTAAGGGTATCTTGAAACTGCCTTTTGAAAAAAAGAAAAGTGTTTGTTATTCTAAGAAGTTGGGAGCCATCATTCATTCATCCTCAAATTCTTAGCCGTGGGTCATTTCAGAGCTGTTCTATGTGTTCCTTCCTATGGAATCAACCTGGTTTGTCTTCAGCTGTAACTGCACCAAGGCCCACGTGGTAAAGCCAATGGAGCAGCAGGATGCTTGGCTCTCAGACAGCTGCTGCCACGTAAGGCAAAGGAGGTGAACTTAGGGAATTCTGCCTGCTTTCTGTGAGACAACTCAAGGTTTGTGTGGATGGAGAGCAGATGAAACCCTCACTACTACTCATGATGAAATCATTAGACCCCCGCAGGCAGGCTGGGATAGTTGATATCAAATGAGAACTGTAAAAAGAAAAAAAAATTAAAAAGTAAGCACACAAACCTATTTGAAAAGCTCCTGAAAACAAAATGCTTTTTATTTTGGAGGAGGGGGTGTTGAAGGAAAGATTCTAAAATATAGACTTTCAGAAACTCCTATTTGAGACTTCAATATAGATAGACAAGTTGGCTAGAAACTAATATCCTCGGAATGTTGATGGAAACATTCTCTTCCTACATATTTTAGATAATTTTGTTTGCAGCACACTTTAGTAGGCAGTGATTTAAGTACAATAACATAAATTATCTACTATATTGACAATGTTCAGTCTTTTTTTTTTTTTTTTTTTTTTTTGTGACAGAGTCTCATTCTGTTGCCCAGGCTGGAGTGCAGTGGTGCGATCTCGGCTCACTGCAAGCTCCACCTCCTGGGTTCACGCCGTTCTTCCGCCTCAGCCTCCTGAGTAGCTGGGACTACAGGTGCCTGCCACCACGCCTGGCTAATTTTGTTTTTGTATTTTTAGTAGAGACGGGGTTTCACTGTGTTAGCCAGGATGGTCTCAATCTCCTGACCTCGATCTCCTGGCCTCGGCCTCCCAAAGTGCTGGGATTACAGGCGTGAGCCACCGCTCCTGGCCAACAATGTTCAGTCTTGACAGTTTTCAATGTCACTGCTCATGCCATTTTGCATTTCATAAATGCTTCTAGATATACTGAAGAAAGTCATCACTTCTTGTACAGAGGAAAACCAATATGCCAAGCAAGTACTTCATTGCTTGTCTGAATTACAGATTGTCTTCTGACCCCAGCCACATGTACAATGAAGCCACACACTCTACTGTGTAATTACTAAAAGCCAATCAACTTGATTTGTGTTATTCTGGTTCATTCCAAAGAGAATTTAAGCCCAATATTGAAAACTACAAAGGAAAAGATCAGTCCGTGTATTGGCTGACACTTACATGGTCTGATTATCCACAGTGGAGCCTTCTCTAAGGAAATGGAGAGAGAAAAAAGATTGGTCGTCATTTAATCAGAACAGTAACCCCTGGGGTGAGTGGTACTATTTCCATTTTATGATGAGAAAATAGTTTCTGAGCAGTTAAATATCTTGCCTAAAATCACTCAATAATTAATGAAGACAGGATTTGAACCCAGGTCTTACACACACACACACCCCTCACATGATTTTTTTCATTCCATACCTGTGCTGCCTCACCATAGTTGATTCCTGACTATGAGCACTTCCGCTCATTAAGGCGAAGATGTAGGTTTTGATTTCCTGGGAGATGTTGCTGTGGTTTAACTTTGAGCAAATAACAAACTTGACAATCCACAGCTTAGCTCAGTTAACTAAAAAGAACTGTCCAAAGTAGGAAAGGAGGGTTAATGAGACATTATGGAAAAGAGATACAAGTCTTCCATATTGTAAATCTTGTTTCAAAGTATGTTTTGAAGGAATTGATATGGATTTCTGGGAAGGCCTCGTGTGTTTGAGGCAAGGCTGATCCAAGAAGAATCTGCGTGTTGCTTCCTCAGTTGGGATTCAGGAAGCATGTTGGCCAGTGGGGAAAACCCAGTACCTATACCACATGCTGGTGCGGCTAGACTAACATCCATTCCCATCACCTCCCATTCTTCCTGTGTACCCAAAACCTTATAGTGCTCGTACATCCTGAGTTTCAGTGGAGGCTGACCCACCTTGTCCCAAGGGGTGGGTTTGATTGCTATAATGAGGAAACTCCTATTCCCTTGGTAGTCCTGTAATTGGCTTAGACAAGGGTAGATGATATAATATAGCGAGTGTGAGGAATAGGCAGCTGGGGTCTTTCTTGACAGGCATCTTCATTTTTTAAATTGCAAAAAAGAGGCAGATCCCCTTCTGCCTCTGGCCATTTGCATGTGATGCCTGAATGAACATAGCAACTGCAGTGAGAGTATTGGAGTTGGATTGAATGAGTTGGAGGTGATTGAAAAAGCAGACCATGACCTGTCATCTCTGAGCTTATCCAGGAGCTGCCCTAATTGTTTTGGATTTCTTTTATGTGAGATAAATTTCTCGTAGTTGAGGCCAGTTGGGTTGGTTTTATGTTACTTGTAGTTTTCTTTAGGTTTTCTTCCCAGGAGCTGGGAAAGGGAATAAGGGTGAATCCCTGGCATTTCACAAGGGCTTTGGGGACAACCTTAAAACTTTAAAATGCATAGGGTTCAATTCAGCTGAGAAATTCTCCCAGACCAAATCTGTGCATTCCTATGGCAGCCTGTTCCTCTCTTATTGCACAGCTAATTGCCAGGAGGGCCTTGGAACCTTTCAGGTAGTTTTGTGGTGCTGTCTCTGATACTCCTAAAAGTGCCTTCAGTTAGAAAACACTGTTCCAATTACTCTCCATGTATTGGTGGCTCATGTTTTCTGATTGCACAAACTTTACACACTAATGGGAAAGAAGCAAAGGATGCAAAAACAATTACTTGTAACCCTAGCATTAAGACAACTATTGGCCGGGCACGGTGGCTCATGCCTGTAGTCCCAGCACTTTGGGAGGCCACGGCAGGCAGATCACAAAGTTAGGAGATCGAGACCATCCTGGCTAACATGGTGAAACCCCGTCTCTACTAAAGATACAAAAAATTAGCCGGGCGTGGTGGCAGGTGCCTGTAGTCCCAGCTACTCAGCAGGCTGAGGCAGGAGAATGGCATGAACCTGGGAGGTGGAGCTTGCAGTGAGCCAAGATCGTGCCACTACATTCCAGCCTGGGCGACAGAGCAAGACTCTGTCTCAAAAAACAAAAACAAAAACTATTTTGGTTATATGTTAGCTTTGTGTGTTTCTAATTAATTTTTCCCCTTTCAAAAATGTACTCATCATACTATATAGTTTTATATCCTATGATTTGAACTCAAGACTGTAACATAAGTTCATTTTCCACATACCATTAAATATGTTTTTAAAACTTTGTCTTAATGATTGCACATTTATTACATGACTAAAATTTTATATTTTACATGAAGGATATAATTTGTGACAATCTTGCATAATTTAAGCTTTGCATAATTCAGGACAATTTTCTTTTTCATAAACCAATACTGAAGTTTTTCTGTGTTAATGACAAATGTCATTGACAGCCTACCAGATGCTTAAAATTTGGAGGTGATTTGCATTATTTTTAAAATTTCCAATAAATTCATTTATTCAAGAAACATGGGAGCACCATGTGCTGCCACATGTCTAAGCTTTTGGGAATCTCCAAGGAAGAGTTGACCATTCTATCTAGAGATAATAAATGTTAATAGATTTACCTATTCATCACATTTTTTTTACATTAAAAGATGATAGGAAGTATGGGAAAAAAGAAAACAAAATTAGGGCAGGATGAGGAGATTGAGAGTTCCAGGAGAGATGGATTGGATCTAATCTAAATTAGAGTGAGAAGGAGAGGGAGTGAGCCATGTAGCTATCTGGGGGAAAGCCTTCTAGGTAGAGGGAACAGCCAGTGCAAAGGAGCTGGGGTCTGAGAGTGCTTGGTGAATATGAGGATGTCAGCGAGGCTAGAGCAAAGAAAATGAGGAGAGTAGTAAGATATGAGACCAAAGCAGTAAAGATGTCAGATCATGTAGGCCTTATAAGGGCCGTTGTAAAGCCATTATCCTTTGTGCTGAGTAAATGAGAAACTATTGAAAGGTTTTAAGCAGAAGAATGACATGATCTGACTGCAGGGGCTGTTCCTGTGAACACTTCAAACCCACTAGGTCCCGCCTCTTATTCTACCACTGTTGCAGTAACCAGTCATGGGCAGGCTTCAATAGCTTTGCACCAGGGCAACCTAACACTGCCTTGTCATGGCCCCATGCAGTGTATCTCTTGTTTCCTTGCTTAGGGCTTCTCTGATGCCGAGATGTGGGGCAACTGTGGGAATATACTTGGAATTCATGCATGCACAAACCAGGAAGTGAAAGCGTTAATGCCCACATGGTCATGTTAGTCAATGGGGGTGGGAGTTATAGATGAATTCCTGCCATTTTGCCTCCTTGGGGGTGAACTGAGATGCACTTTACAATTCCTCAGAGGTGCTGTGGAATTGAACTTCAGTTGCAAATAGTAGTGTTCCACTCGATAATATTGGCTTTTCCTTGTTTCCAGTTTCATTTCCCTCTCCCTCACTCCTGCTTCCTAGGATCACAGGCTCATTGAATGTGAGACTGTCTCAAGCTCTGCTTTGGGAGAGCTCAGGGTAAGATGTTTAATCAGAAAGGTCAACTTTCAGAAAAGGTTAATGGTTAATTCATACTGATATAACAACCATTTGACCAAGAAAGTGTGGGCAGAAGGAACTTCTTCTAGGTGATGCCTTAGAGCTGGGGTATGATTTGCCTCCATTTCTCTTTCCTGCTTTGATATGGAAACATCTCTCTTGAGATGGAGCTTGAATCATCCCAGGCCCCTGAATGACTATGCTAAGTTAGAACCCTCTGCTGACCCACAGTGTATATGCAGCATAAGCAAGAAGCAAGCTTTTATTTTTAAGCTACTGAGATGTTGAAAAGACTGTTTGATATCACAGAAAAACCTAGCCCATCTTGACTGATACACTCAATATGGGTGTTGTGCTCAGAGGTACAAGTGTGTGAAACATTGGGAGGGGCAAGGGCAACTTGGTAAGACCATCCTCAGAGTTGTGGGCCTAACAGCCCCGGGTAGGGTTTGACAGCAAGGTCCCAGTCATCTGAGGACTTGGGTCCCTTCCAGTGGGGACCATTGCAAATCCCAGCGCTGTAGTTCTCTGGCTCACAAGGATTATGCTGCAGTTTCCAGGAGCCTCACTTGCTTCTAAAGGGGTGATCCAGGGCAGACTGCAGCAGCTGATGGGGAACTACACAGGCTTCTGTAGTTGGAAATCTGCCAGCCTCTGAGCAGTGATTTGGAGTCAGGCATAGCTGGATCTGCAGAGTACTGAGAGAACTGGACTGGTTCTTTCTGATCAGCAAAGTGTCTTGCTTTAGGACTGATGAAGACTGCATTGATTTGAGGGGATTTATTGTAATGGTCAAAGAGCTTGGCAAGAGAGGTACTCAATAGATGTAATCAGGAGAGATGTTCTTTCTTTTTTGTAGTCATATGCAAGTTTATTCTAAAAATTTATAAGGAAAAACAAAAGCTAGAATAGCTAAAACAATTATGACAAAGAAGAATAAAGTGGGAGGGATTAGTCTACCTGACTTCAAGACTTCTTTCATAGCTACAGTCAACAAGACAGTGTGGTCTATATTGCAGAGGGATAGACACACAGATCAATGGAAAGAATAGAGAACTCAGAAACTGCAATCACCTTATGGCCCAGCAGTTACACCCTTAGGCATTTATCCCAGAAGAAAACTTAAGTTCACATAAAAACTTGTACATGAATGTTCATCGCAACTTTATTTGTGATAGCCAAAAACTAGGAATGACCCAAGTGTCCTCCAATAGGTGAATGATTAATAAAATTGAAGTACATTTTTATCATGGAATACTATTCAGCAATAAAAAGAAATATACTTTTGATGCCTTCAACAACTTGGATGGATCTCAGGGGCATTATGCTGAGTGGAAGAAACCAGTCTCAAAAAGTTTTATTCTAAATGGTTCCATTTATATAACAGTCTTAAAATATAACATCATAATAATGGAAAATAGGTTATAGGTTGCCAAGAGTCAGGTGGGAAAGGGATGCATGTGGCTATAAAGGGGTAGTACAGAAGAGCCCTTTGGTGATGCAACAGTTCTGTATCTTGATTGTGGCAGTGGTTACATGAATTTAATGTGATAAAATTGAATAGAACTATATACACATCATATACATACAAGCAAATAAGTACATTTGTATCTAGTGAGATTGTACCTAGTGAAATCTGAATAAGTCCTGCAGACTGTACCAGTGTCAATTTCCTGGTTGTGATATTGTACTATAGATATGCCAGATGTTTCCATTAGGGGAAACTGGGTAAAGGGTACACAGGACTTCCCATTTTTTAACTTTCTGGGACTGTATTTCAAAATAAAAAGTTAAAAAATAATATGAACTATAGATAGGATCATGTCACTCTTCTATTTATAGTGCTTCATTGTTTTTCCATTGCTCTCAAGTAATTTCTCACTGTGGCTTACAAGACCTTTGTGATCTCTCCCTTCCCTTATGCCTTCCCCTTACCATTCTCCTGTGACACAATTCATTTGTTAAATCCTGGACCATGCCAATAAGCTCTTTCCAGTGCCCTTCTTTCTCTAGCCCCTTTTTAAAGATTTCACTTTAAATGTCATCTCAGAGATCCCTTCCCTGACCATTCTATTCCTCATGGAACCATAATAATTTTATTTGTTGTGCTTATAACTTTTTGGGTTATTTCTTTTTATTGACTTCCTGTCTGCTTTCCAACTAGATTGTAAGCGGCTCAAGAGCCAGAAATGTCCATGTCTTGTTCTATTTTACTCCAGCATCTGACATTCTGCCCAGCCCATGGTTTCAGCTGAATGAATGAGTAAATCCGTGAATTATGCATAGAGGTGGATGAGCACTCTGGTCTCCTATCTTCTATTGCAACACCTCTTCTATAGTTCCCTCTGCCTCTCCTCAACAGGTCACAACATTAGCACAACATTCAGTTCCCACAAACTTAGTGGCTTAAAACAACATAGATTTATTATCTTATAGTTGTAGAAGTCGGAAATCTGAAATGGGTGTCACTAAGCTAAAATTAAGATGTCAGCACGGTTGTGTTCCTTTCTCAAGATTCTAGTGGAGAAATCTTTTTTTGCCTTTTCCATCTTCTAGAGGCTGTACCCATCCTTGGCTCATGGCCACCTTCCATTTTCAAAGTCAGCAATGGCCTATCAAGTCTTCTCATATTGTGTCAAGAGGACTCTACCTCCCTTTTTCACATTTAGGGGCTCTTGTGATTATATTGGTCTAGGATAACCTCCCTATTTTAAGGTTAGCTGAAAAACAAGCCTAATTCCCCTTTGCCATGTAACAGAACACAGTCATAGGTTCTGTGGATTAGGACATGGACATATTGAGAAGCCATCATTCTTTCTACCACACCATTAGACTCCAACTTCCAGGAGGAAAGTGACCCTTCTGTTCAGAGTTGGGTCCCTAGAGTCTAGCATCTAGTATCATTCAATAAATTGTTGAAACAAACTTAGATACCCCATGGAAAGCATTGATATCCAGCACAGGACAGATACTCTTGCCTTTACCCACTGAAGGCCCTTCTTCCCAGGATGGCTCTACTGTATAAATGCAGCATATTCTTCAAGGCTTTGTTCAAAGCCCCTTCTTATATGAAGCCTCCACTAAGTGTGAACCAGTTATTCTCCTCATTTCTAAGGGGACAATTATGGGTTTCCATTGATACATGTTTTATTAGCCTGCTTCCTTTACTGGGTCATGAACTGCCTGGATAGCAACAGTCTCATTCATTTCTGAGCCTTTATGGTTCCTAGCATGTGGTTAGTCCTTAACTATCTAAGAGAAAGGGGAGGAACACAAGGGAAAGATGAGAACCAGCCAGCATGTGGAGGCTATGAGAATAAGGAGCCCCCCTAAGGGCCTTCCATTTCTTCTCACGAGAGGAGAACCTCTATTGTAAGGTAGCTAGATTGCTGGCATTATGAACCTGTCTGTAGTAAGATGTTAGAATTGAATTCTTCACCCCACATTCCTTCTTGGAAACATTCAGTTCTCATGAATGCCAGCCATCCCAGAAGCTACAGCCTATCTGACACGTGTCCTTTTGCTGACAGTGAAAGCAGCCCTGGCTGGTTTTGAGCCCATGATGATAGCTCTGCTTCCTGATCTGGCCATTTACTTTTGTGATCTCTCCAATGTTTTTGGGCATCTAACATTCTCCTTTGCCACCCTTTCGCCTCCACCATGCGCTTGGTATATAGAGTGTCTGCCCCTTGCCTGTTCTGAAGGTCATACCTGAAAGCCCACACCTTGGCTGAATGCCTTTTCCCTTCCAGAAAGTGCAGGAGGTGACTTCTGTGCAGTTTTAGAAAGTGGGTGTGCTTTTATTTTTCTTTTTTCTTCAAAGACACTTTAAACTCTTTGGTCAACATTTTTCATCATTTTTCCTTTAGATACCCAAGGTCAAGTACTATTTTTAGCCATTGTTCTCCCCAATGGGGTTCTCCTCAGAGCATCCTGGCTACTGGGGCTGTACTTTTATAAGATTCTTCAAGGGATAATACACAGGTAGCCACATCTCATTTCTCCCCCTTTTAAGTAGGTTAAGTCTTCCACAGACCATTTGCTTGTCACATGTCTAGTTATTCTTGAATGACTTGGATATGGATAACTGACTGGAGGGATAAGAATAAAGAAACATAACTTTCTTTGAGAGAGTATATTATTTACCAAATATTCTCTTGGGGAGAGCACTGGGAGTATTTGAAAGAAGTACTTTGTTAAGCCATTAGGACGCAGATGAAACCCCAAGTGGCCTTGGTGAGAACAGGATTGTCTGTGAAAAAAAGAGAAGGAATCTCAGGTTGATTTGAGTTTAGGAGAAGAGGAAAGTAGAGGTCAATGGAAGAGGGAGAGAGAATGAGAAAATAGCCGGCAAGATGGCCTAAAGGCCACCTGTTCCAAGATGTGACCCTTTGACATAGCTACATCTCACCAAGGATTTGTGAGACCAAGTCACAGAATACTTGACATGAGTAGATTCTTGTGGGAATTGGTAAAGCCAGGTTGATGCAATGCAAATTTAGGACAATTTAATGCTGCTAGTTGAAAGCTGCGAGAGATAAGAGAATATAAGCCACAGGAACTCATAGACGCTGTGGAGAGGGCAAAATTAAAATCAGAAGCAAGTCTGCCTCAGTTGGCTCCAAATCCATGAATGAGAACTATTGTTCAGGGGTGGTTTGTTACACCTCAGTTGTGCAGCAATAGCTGAGTAATACAACCCTTCTCCTGAGATGACAATTCACGCACCAGCTCTGCCCTGACTCTTCAAAAGCCTTCTCTTCTACAGCTCGTGTTCTCCATAGTATTCTGCTCCTCTAAAATTCTACTGCCTTTGTACCCTTTGCTACATAATTTAGTGCTTAGAGTTAATATCTGTGTTAGTAAGAAGAAATTCAAAAACACAAAGTCTTCAGTGGACTTGTAGAAGTGTTATAGAGAAGAGATACTATAAATGTGTCAGAGATGCAAACAAGTGGAAATAGAACAGAATTGTCCTTGGTAGACAGTTGGTCCTTGGTGGTGATTCTTGAATGCCACAGGTAGAAAGACCAATTTTCTGGAGGCAGAAATGGCAACAGTATGATAAGCTGTGATCAGAGCACAATTTAAAATGTCCAAAGCTGGACAGTGGTTCTATAAGGTAGTCACTAAGTCGTATCTGTTGCATGAATTTGGGCACTGTTCCAGGCCAAATAATCTTTTAGGCTAGATTCTCACTCTCCTTGGCATTCTTCAAGGTACTCAATATCCCTTTAAAAACTTATATCAGCCAGACTTAAGTTAAAACAACCAGATTTTGTTGCTTGCAAACAGTAACACAGGTTCTATAGCTACCTTAATGCTGTGATAAAAACCCTTGAGTGTGCATTCCCAGCCAACATCTTTGATTATTGCCCTGGGATAAATTCTGAAATCTGGCTTTTAGTTTCTGAGTAAAATGACGAAAGCACTTTTTCCATTGATCCCACTGAATATGACTTTAAAACCTGGGCAGAGTGTGTGGCATAGCTATTTGAAGACTTTGAAAGATACACAGCAGCAGGCAGATTGGGGAAAAACAACAGAAATCAAAGTACCATCAAACTACCAGTGAATTTACCATTTTTCCCCCTCCAGTATCTCCCAGTTAAATGCAATTCAGCCAGAAACTCAAAAGTGAGCACCAAGGCACAGAAGGGCTCCAGGAGAATCCTTCTGGCTTGAAGAATTGGAAAGGGAACTTCTAACACACACAGAGCAGAAATCCTCCTGAATTTAATCTTCTCTTCTCTGTATTCTCTCCAAGCCCAACTCCTAGGAAATCCTATAGTGTAGAGGCAGTGGTAGATCTTTTATACCAACAGGGTAGAACTAACCTTTGTTGCTTTTTAAAATCTGTCTTCCCACTACTTAGCCCAACTGTAAACCTAATTATGGAAGTGTGAGGCAGAGTAGGATAAGTATAGCCTCGTGTTTCTGACCTAAAAGGGGGAGACCCAAGAAAATAAAGTATCAACTGCAGAGAAGGAGAAGCTCAAAAAGTGATTCTGTTTATGAATAGGGCTGTGACAAATAGTTGTTTATGAACTTCAAGTCTTACTCCTGAGACACGATGTGTGCATCTGATCATAGTTAGCATACTCAAGATCTGAAGAACTAAAGTATGGATAGCTTATCCCCTGGGTTCCACACTGAGTGGTACACAAATATGACAGATCTGAAGAGCATTGCCAAAGTTTGACAACTGAACTGGTATTGGAAACATAGTCCTCATATTGGAAGTTTCAGCCTGAACCCAACCAGGCCCATTGCCTGTGAAAACAAAAAATATCAACATACCCGTAGTATTTAAACAAGACCCAAAGTCTTATAATACTTAAAATGTCCAGGATACAATCCAAAATTATTCAGGATATGAAGAATCGCAAATATTTTAATGTGCATGGGAAAGTACAATCACAGCAAGAACACAGATGACAGAATTATCTGTCAGACTTCAAAGCAGCTATAATTGATCAAATAAGCAATTGTGAACACTTTTGAAACAAATACTAAAAGTCTCAGTTAAGAAATAGAGAACATAAGACAATATAAATTTTAGAACTAAAAATTACCACAACCAAAATAAACTCGGTGGATGGACTCAATGATAGATGAAGGAAAGTCAGTGAACTTTAAGATAGATGAATAGAATGTATGTAAGCTAAAAAAGAAAAAAGTGATCAGAGCCTTGGGAACCTGTGAGATAATAATAAAAGGGCTGGCAGATCAGAAATTAATAAAATTGAACACAAAAACAAATCAATGAAACCAATGGATTGTATTTTGAAAAGATCAATAAAATTAATAAAATGCTATAAGGACTGACAAGGCAAAGAGAGAAGACATAAATCACCAGCATTAGAAATGAACAAAAGAGGAGATATCACTACAGATTCCACAAACATTAAAAGGCAAATAAGGGGATACTACAAACTACACATAAATTGGAGAATTCAGATGAAATGGACTAATTCCTCAAAATCCACAAATTATCAAACCTCTTAGTTAAAATGGGAAAGCTGAATAATCCTATATTTTTAAAATAAATTGAATTTGTTGTTAAAATCCTTCCAAAAAAGAAATCTCCAGGCCCAGATGGTTTCATGGATAAATTCCACCAAATACCAGTCCTGAACACTGTCTTGCAGAAAATAAGGAAAGGAATATTTCCCAGCCCATTTTATGAGTCCAGCATTACCCTGACATGGGTTTGAACTGTGCAGGTCCATTATACACAGATTTTCTTCTGCCTCTGACACCTCTGAGACAGTAGGACCCACCTCTCCTCTTCTTCCTCAATGTGAAGATGATAAGGATGAAGACTATTATCTACTTCCACTTAATAGTAAGTATGCTTTTCTTATGATTTTCTTAATAACATTTTATTTTCTCTATCTTTAATAATATAGTATATAATATGTATAACATATAAAGTATGCGTTAATTGACTATGTGGTTAAGATTTCTAGTCAACTGTAGGCTATTGGTAGTTAGTATTTTAAGGTTGTGGGGAGTAAAAAGTTAAATGTGAATCTTGACTGCACAGGGGTCAGTGCACCTAATCCCCACCAACCTCCCCGCCATTGGTCAACGGTCAGTCATACATACCAACATTGTTCATGAGTATAGATGAAAAAATACCCAATAAAATATTAGCAATGATAGAAAAGCAATATGTGTAAAGGTTAGCACCCTGTGACCAAATGGTATTTAGCCTAGGAATGCAAGCTGATTTAATATTCGGAAATTGATCCATGTAGCTCACCATATTAACAATCTAAAAAAACCCATATGATCATATCAATAGATGTAGAAAAAGCTTTTGTCAAATTCCAGCATCCATTACTGATAAACACTCTCAACAAATTAAATTGAAGGGAATCTCCTCAATTTGATACACAGCACCTACAAAAAAAATACAGCTAACATCATATTGGCAAAAGATTTAATGATTTCCCCCTAATATTGGAAACAAAGCAAGATGTCAATTTATCCACTGCTGTTCAGCACTATATTGGAAGTCTTAGTGCAATCAGGAAAAAAATAAACACCCCCTCCAACAAAACAAAAACTACACAGTTAATAATAATAATAATTTCCTTTCATTGACAACTTGATTTTCTGTATGTAAGGTCCCAGGAAATCTCCAAAATTCCTAGAACTAATACATAAGTTAGGCAAGTTTGCAGGATACAAGGGCAACATACCAAAAAAAATTTCATATTTCTATACACTAGCAATGTACAATTGGAAAGCAACATTTTAAAAAATAATTTTCAGTAGCTTCTCCCAAAATACACATAAATCTGACAAAATATGTACAGGGTCTGTGTTTTGAAAACTATAAAACATTGATGAAAGAAATCAAAGATGACCTAATAAATGGAGAAATATACTGTGTTCATGGATTGGAAGGCTCAACATAGTGAAGATGTCGATTTTGCTCAAATTTATCTGTAGGTTTAATGCAATACCAATTGCAATCTCAGCTGAGCTTTTGGTAGATATAGACAAAACTGATTTTATGGAAAGTAAATGAACTGGAATAGCTAAAACAATTTGGTAAAAGAAGAATATAGTTGGAGGAATTATACTAATTTATCTCAAGACTCAACAGTAACCAAGAGAGTATGGTATTGGTAAAGAGATAGACACATCAATTGAACATAGCTTAGGGAGTACAGAAATGAATCCACACAAATATGCTCAATCGATTTTTCATAAAGTCTCAAAGCAATTCGATAAGAAAGAATGGTCTTTTCAGCCAATGGTGTTGGCACAATTGAACAACCATAGGCCAAAAAATAAATCTACACTTAAACCTCACGTTATACAAAAGTTAATGAAAATAATTATAGACCTAAATATAAAACATTAAACGATAAAACGTGTAGGAGAAAACAGGAAAAAGCTTCATGACTTGAAGTTAGGTGAAGAGTTCTTAGACTTAACACCAGAAGCACAATCCACAAAAGAAAATACTGATAAGTTGGACTTTACTAAAATTTAAAACTCTTGATCCAGGGCTGGGTGGTGTGGTGGCTCATGCCTATAATCTCCCATCACTGGAGAAGGCCAAGGCAGGAGGACTGCTTGAGCCCAGGAGTTCAAGACCTGCAAATAACACTGTTAAGAGAATAAAAAAACAAGCTATAGACTGGCAGAAAATATTTACAAATCACTTATCTGACAAAGGACTTGTATCCAAAATACATAAAGAACTCTCAAGCTCTAACAATAAGAAAACAAACAACCTAGTTAAAAAAGTGGGCAAAATACATGAACATTTTATCAATGACGATATATATGGCAAATAAGCACATGAGAAAAGTCCAACATCATTAACAATTAGAGAAATGCAAATTAAAAACATGATGAGATATCACTGCATACCTTTTAGAATGGCAATAATGAACAATATGATATCAAGTGCTGGAGAGGATGTGGAGCATTTTGTACATTGCTGTTTGGAATGTAAATCTTGAAAAATAGTTTGGCTGTTTACCAAGCAAATGGAAAGCAAAAAAAAAAAAAAAAAAAAAAAGCAGGGGTTGCAATCCTAGTCTCCGATAAAACAGACTTTCAACCAACAAAGATCAAAAGAGACAAAGAAGAGCATTACATAATGGTAAAGGGATCAATGCAACAAGAAGAGCTAACTATCCTAAATATATATGCACCCAATACAGGAGCACCCAGATTCATAAAGCAAGTTCTTAGAGACCTACAAAGAGACTTAGACTCCCACACAATAATAATGGGAGACTTCAACACCCCACTGTTAATGTTAGATCAACAAGATAGAAAATTAACAAGGATATCCAGGACTTGAACTCAGCTCTGGACCAAGCAGACCTAATAGACATCTACAGAATCCTTCACCCCAAATCAACAGAATATACAGTGTTCTCAGCACCACATTGCACTTATTTTAAAATTGACCACATAGTTGGAAGTAAAACACTCCTCAAAATGCAAAAGAATGGAAATCATAACAGTCTCTCAGACCACAGTGCAATCAAGTTAGAACTCAGGATTAAGAAACTCACTCAAAACCACACAGCTACATGGAAACTAAACAACCTGCTCCTGAATGACTACTGGGTAAACAACGAAATAAAGGTAAAAATAAAGATGTTCTTTGAAACCAGTGAGAACAAAGACACAACGTACCAGAATCTCCGGGACACAGCTTAAAGCCGTGTGTAGAGGGAAATTTTTAGCACTAAATGCCCACAAGAGAAAGCAGGAGAGATCTAAAATCGACAGCCTAACATCACAATTAAAAGAACTAGAGAAGCAAGAGCAAACAAATTCAAAAGCTAGTAGAAGACAAGAAATAACTAAGAGCAGAACTGAAAGAGATAGAGACACGAAAAACTCTTCAAAAAATCAATCCAGGAGATGGTTTTTTGAAAAGACCAATAAAATAGATGACTAGCCAGACTAATAAAAAAGAAAAGAGAGAAGAATCAGATGCAATAAAAAAATGATAAAGGGGATATCACCACAGATCCCATAGAAATACAAACTACCATCGGAGAATACTATAAACACCTCTACGCAAATAAACTAGAAAATCTAGAAGAAACGGATAAATTCCTGGATACATACACCCTCCCAAGAGTAAACCAAGAAGTCGAATCCCTGAAGAGACCAATAACAAGTTCTGAAATTGAGGCAGCAATTAATAGCCTACCAAGCAAAAAACGTCCAGGACCAGATGGATTTGCAGCTGAATTCTACCAGAGGTATGAAGTGGAGCTGGTACCATCCTTCTGAGACTATTCCAAAAATAGAAAAAGGAAGACACCTCCCTAACTCATTTTATGAGGCTAGAATCATCCTGATACCAAAACCTGGCAGAGACACAACAAAAGAAAATTCAGGCCAATATTCCTGATGAACATTGATGTGAAAATCCTCAATAAAATACTGGCAAACCAAATCCAGCAGCACATCAAAAAGCTTATCCACCACGATCAAGTCAGCTTCATCCTTGAGATGCAAGGCTGGCTCAACATATGCAAATCAATAAATGTAATCCATCACATAAACAGAACCAGTGACAAAAACCACATGATTATCTCAATAGATGCAGAAAAGGCATTCGACAAAATTCAACACCGCTTCATGCTAAAAGCTCTCAATAAACTAGGCATTGATGGAATGTATCTCAAAATAATAAGAGCTATTTATGACAAACCCACAGCCAATATCATACTGAATGGGCAAAAACTGGAAGCATTCCCTTTGAAAACCAGCACAAGACAAGGATGCCCTCTCTCACCACTCCTGTTCAACATAGTATTGGAAGTTCTGGCCAGGGCAATCAGGCAAGAGAAAGAAAGAAAGGGTATTCATTTAGGAAAAGAGGAAGTCAAATTGTCCCTGTTTGCAGATGACATGATTGTATATTTAGAAAACCCCATCCTCTCAGCCCCAGATATCCTTAAGCTGATAAGCAACTTCAGCAAAGTCTCCGGATACAAAATCAATGTGCAAAAATCACAAGCATTCCTATACACCAATAATAGCCAAATCATGAGTGAACTCTCATTCACAATTGCTACAAAGAGAATAAAATACCTAGGAATCCAACTTACAAGGGATGTGAAGGACCTCTTCAAGGAGAACTACAAACCACTGCTCAAGGAAATGAGGACATAAACAAATGGAAAAACATTCCATGCTCATGAATAGGAAGAATCAATATTGTGAAAATGGCCATACTACCCAAAGTAATTTATAGATTCAATGCTATCCCCATCAAGCTACCATTGACTTTCTTCACAGAATTAGAAAAAACTATAAATTTCATATGGAACCAAGAAAGAGCCTATATAGCCAAGACAATCCTAAGCAAAAAGAACAAAGCTGGAGGTATCATGCTACCTGACTTCAAACTATACTACAAGGCTACAGTAACCAAAACAGCATGGTACTGGTACCAAAAGAGATATATAGACCAATGGAACAGAACTAGAACTAGAAATACCATTTGACCCAGCAATCCCATTACTGGGTCTATACCCAAAGGATTATAAATCTACTATAAAGACACATGCACATGTATGTTTATTGTGGCACTGTTCACAACAGCAAAGACTTGGAACCAACCAAAATGCCCATCAATTATAGACTGGATAAAGAAAATGTGGCACATATACACCATGGAATACTATGCAGCCATAAAAAAAGGATGAGTTCATGTCCTTTGCAGGGACATGGATGATGCTAGAAACCATCATTCTCAGCAAACTAATACAAGAACAGAAAACCAAACACTGTATGTTCTCACTCATAAGTGGGAGTGGATCAATGAGAACACATGGACACAGGGAGGGGAACATCACACACTGGGTTCTGTCGGGGCGGTGGGGGGTAGGGGAGGGATAGCATTAGGAGAAATACCTAATGTCGATTATGGGTTGATGGATGCAGCAAACCACCATGGCTCGTGTATACCTATGTAACAAACCTGCATGTTCTGCACATGTACCCCAGAACTTAAAGTATAAAAAAAAAATCCAGACATTGTTGAATAAAAAAAGATGCGGAAAAGTATATATCATATACTTAAAAACAACTTAAAACATAAAAACAAGTTAAACCATATTTCTATATTTTTGAAAATATGCATCCCAGACTGATAATAGTTATCTATGGGACTGGAATTTGTCTTTAGCCTTATCTGTATTGTTTGAACCTTTAAAAATTATTGTATGTTTCACTAGAAATAAACTTTTTTAAAAATTAAAAAAATAATAGTTTCTTATAAAGTTGAACATATACTTACTATATGAGTCAGCAATCCCACTTCTGGGTGTCTATCCCAGAGAAATGAATACTTATGTTCACACATAACCTGTATGTGAATGCTTATAGTAGATCTGTTCATAATTGCCCCAAATCGGAAACACTCCCAAAGGTCATTCAATTAGTAAATGGATAAACCAACTGTAGTATGTCTATATTATACCATTCAGCAATAAAAAGAAACAAATTATTGATAAATGCAATAACTTAAACTTCATACACATTATGCTGCGTGAAAGCAGTTTGCAAACTCCGTGATTTCACTGATATGATATTCTCAAGAAGACAAAACTATAGAGATTGAAGAACAAATCAGTGGTTGCCAGGGATTACGGGGGTGGGGAGAGGATGAGTATAAAATAGTATAAGAGTTTTTTGGTGTATCCTTATTGTGTTTGTGGTTACAGGAATATATGTATTAAAATTAATTGAACTATACATCCCCCAAATTTCCTGAGCATGGACTTTGTTGGGGGAGGTCAAAGTATATGCATATATTAAGTCTTTTGAAACATATTCCCATATTGACTTTCAGAAGGATTGTAGTAATTTACATTCCCATCAGCAGCACCTAAGAGTATCTAGGCTCCAATATCCTAACTCACTGTCACTGGGATTTGTGGTTGATTGCTTTTTTTTTCTTGGCAATTTTATATGTGCAAATGTTATGTACGCTTTTTAAGAAGAGTATGTGTGTGTAGCAATCAATCTTCAGCCCAGTTTGTTTTGAATTGCATGTGTTCACCTTAGGTCATATTGTCAAGAGCCTTTTTCTACTTAGAAAGAATGACAAAGTGCCTGTGCTTGTTTCTAAGTAGGTATGGAATAAATTTGGTAACAGTGTCATTCCGTATTCAGGAATAAGGTAGATGATTTCTCCTGCTGGAATTTTTGAGTCGTGAGTGTGGAGTAAAGGACCTTATCATGAACTCCTATAAGATTTGTTTTTCTTTCTTTCAGGACTTGCAGAGACCTCTGAAACATAACCTTGTGTTTTATTATGGTTGCCCAAAGAACGCAATTTTAGACATTTGAAAACATTAGATATAGCCAATAGAAATGACCAGGTGAAGGTGACAGGCAAGGTTGTTTCTTATGGAAAGGGCTGCAGGAATGCATGCCACGAGTAATCACTTGAGACCTCCAGGCAAAAATTTAAAGGGCCTCTGTTAGCAGATACTGTCAGCACTCCATCCATTTACCATTTTTGTACATGTAGGTTCCCAGTGGGCTTTCACTCCCAACAGCCAGCACCTGTGCCTCTTTGCTGGAGGGCTGCTCAGACTGCTGGACCCTGCTCTGCTTGTATGCATGGATATGCAGAAGTACTCAGATATTTATGTTTTTATAGGAGTATTGCTTGACTGAGGACTGGCAGGTGTCAGGGCTATAAATTCTCCAGCTCCCTTGCCTGTGATTGCAACACACTTAGGTCCTGCTGATGCCATCCCCAGAACTCCCTGAGAGACTGAACCACAGTCACCCTCCATGGACCTTCTCTGGTACCGAATTCTTGCTTGGCTGCCTCCTCTTCTTACTTCCCTTATCTATCCCTAGGTTTTCCTGGGAACATTTTCTAATCATAAATCACTTTGACATGGATGATCACCTCAGGAGCTTTTATGGGAAATACAACCTAAGACAGCCTCCTTTCTCTTTATCGATGACTCAATTAGAATATTCATAATCCCAGCTCGGCGCGGTGGCTCATGCCTGTAATCCCAGCACTTTGGGAGGCTGAGGGGGGTGGATCACGAGGTCAGGAGATCGAGACCATCCTGGCTAACACGGTGAAACCCCATCTCTACTAAAAATACAAAAAAAGAAAAGTTAGCTGGGCATGGTGGCAGGCGCCTATAGTCCCAGCTACTCGGGAGGCTGAGGCAGGAGAATGGCATGAACCCGGGAGGCGGAGCTTGCAGTGAGCCGAGATCGCGCCACTGCACTCCATCCTGGGCAACAGAGCGAGACTCCATCTCAAAAAAAAGAAAAAAAAAAAAGAAAATTCATAATCCACTGCATTCTAAGGCAGTGGTCCCCAACCTTTTGTGGAAGACAATTTTTTCACAGACCTGGCAGAAGCACGGAGGGGGCTGGTTTCAGGATGATTCAAGTGCATTACATTTATTGTGCGCTTTATTTCTATTATTATTACATTGTAATATATAAATAATTATACAACTCACCATAACGTAGAATCAGTGGGAGCCCTGAGCTTGTTTTCCTGCAACTAGATGGTCCCAACTAGACCAGGTGATGGGAGACAATGACAGATCATTAGGCATTAGATTATCATAAGGAGCATACAACCTAGATCCCTTGCATGTGCAGTTAATAATAGGTTTTGCACTTCTATGAGGATCTAATGCGGCCTCTGATCTGACAAGGGGCGGAGCTCAGGCAGTAATGGGAGCAATGGGGAGCGGTTTTCAATACAGATGAGGCTTTGGTCACTTGCCTGCCTTTCACCTCCTGCTGTGCAGCTTGGTTCCCAACAGGCCACGGACTGGTGGTCCTTGGCCTGGGAGTTGGGGACCCCTGCTCTAAATAATTGTATTAATTAGAATATAGGTTTGGCTGCCCTAACAAGGACTCAGACTAACTTGGCTGACATTGACAGACAATTCTTTCTCTTTATAAAACAGTCTAGGCAACTCCATGATGTTGAGGACCCAGATCCTTCTTTATTGTTTTTCCTCCATTCTTCAGATGTGGCCTTCATCCACATGGGCAATGATGGCTTTCCAGCATATCTGCACAGGGCAATGGAGAAAGGGAGGCATGCTTTGGAAGCTGTGCACAGCACTTCCGTTCACACCCCAGTGGCGAGAACTTAGCTGTGTGGCCACATCTAGCTGGAATGGAGGCTGGCTGGGTAGACATGTATCCAGTTTATAACTGGGGGCTTCCTGGAAGGGAGAACAGACTTTGGGGTAGCCCATAGCTTCTGCCACAGGTATGCTTGTCTGTTATCCACAGCTCTGGAGAGAGGAAAGAGGAGCACCTGACTGGGTCCTGTTCTCCACTCTGGTTCTAGCTTATTCTCTTTGGCCTTGTCCCCTTGCAGGCTCAGGTGGTAAATGATGTATGTGCCAGTGGAATAGCTGATCTTTAAGTAAATAGATCCCTTCCAGAAGTGTAGAGAAGTTAACTGAAATTTATTGTTCACCTCAAAGTATAGCACCTACCTTCTATACTGAGATCTCAGAGCCTTGGGTACAATGCTCTCAGGTGGGGTAACCAGAAGCAGTAATTTTATTTAAAGGATAAGACATCAGTAAAGGAGTAGGAGAAGCAGTTCAAAGAAGGAGAAGATGCTCAGAAAGGGGTGATTTCAGGCAGAGTCACAGCCTTGCTCTCATTCTACAGAGGAGCTCTGGAGCACAAATGATACTTAGACTAGAAGGAAAGGAGCTGAGCTTCCATATTCTTTTACCAATTGGGCACTGGCTAAAGGTAGCCTCCGGGGACACACTCCCAATGCCTGCAGGCAAGCCTGTGCCAGCAGCCCCTGCACAATCCTCCCAAGAGAGTTGTGGGCACAAACTTGGGGAGGGGTGCACAGAACCCATAAAAGAGATCTGAGGAGATCTGGGAACAGTCTCAATAGTGTCTGCTACAGGTGAGGTTTACCAATGAGCCCAGCAGCAGTTTCTATGGGACTGTCTTCTTGGAAGAAGGGGTGGCCTGCCAGCTCCATGGGGATGGTGGGGCTCAAGCTTTGTGGCAGCTCCTTGGACAGTCATTTTGACCGCAGGTCAGGGTCTTCCCTCTGGGTTCCTCTTGCTCACATGGGAGGCAGGAGTAAATTGGGATGGATCCATTAAAACCAGAGCCCTGCAGATTACAGGAGTGACAGATTTCCCTGTCTACCTACAGGGACGAAGTAAATATCATGACACTGGCGCTCCCAACCAAGGCATATCCCATCAAGCGAAGCGGATGGTTGATATAGCTTAAGTGATTTTCCCATGTGGCTGTTTCTAGGTACGTCTTTTAAAATTAGTTGTGCTTAAATTAGCAGCGCCTTACTTTTAATATTCCTCTCTTGAAGCAGCTAGCACAGTTTCAATCAGGCACCTGATTAATATGCAAAAAATGATTTGTTTTGATTTCGGTCTAGTGAGTTTTTTTTTTCCTTTGCCAGGCAACTTCTTTATCAAATTCCTCTGCTTTTAAGGGATGAAAAGAAATGTATCTCCTTAAAGTCAGAGGGCACAGTTTCCTTAAAAGTGGAGGTGGGAAGGCCTCTCTGGGAGCTGGTTTGAAATCTTAACAGCATAACTTTGCCAGTGGCAAAACCTCTTTTTGTAATTTTCAGTCTATTAAGAAGTACCAGCCCCACCTTAAGGTAAAATCAGCTCCCTGACTAAGCCGCATGAAGGCTGGGCCGTTGGAAGTCGCAATTGACGTATTTGTCCTTTCAAAGTGTAGAATATTTTGCTGCTTATTGTATGGCTTCGAGCAAGTTACTTAACATTTCTAAATCTATCTTATTGTCTTTAAAATGAAGGCAACACCTACCCTTGGGATCTTGTACCATGTAAGTCTGTAATCTTTCATCCAAAACCTTGATGTATTGCAGAATTCAGAATTCAACATATATATATTATTAACACCCCCACTGGAGTCTGGGGGAGCACCCTATCATCAAGTACATTAATATTTCTGCCGTCAAACTTATAAATATTCATGCTGAGTCTCATAATGACTAAAAATAGACTCCCATCAGTCGAGGGCAAGGTTTGTAACTCAGTTACAAATCTTTCAATTTTTCAATTTTCAGAGCTTTTTGGGTTTGGGGATTGGGAAGCAGAGACTGAGGTCCTGTGATGAGATGGTTTCTGTGTATATCCATCCATGTCCCAACTGGTTCTAGGAAAGACTGAAGTTGTTGCAATGATGGGTGTGAAAAGGTTCACTCCTGGAATAGTTCTGTTTTCCTCCCTGCTTGTGATGTGGGGGGGCTCTTGGGCATTTTCCTTTCTTCTTTGACATTTTAAAACCTGATTGACTTCTCTGAGGGTCTAATTTCAAGTATAACTCTACTATTTTGACATAAATAAAAGGACACACTGAAAATTTTTTAGAGAGGAAAAAAGTAATATGTGAACAATTGGTGGGTTCATTAAGCAATAAATCAATTTGTCTAAAAATTAGTAGGAAGTTTGAAAAAATTCCTCAGGTGACAAGTTTCAGAAGTTCAGAACTAAATACACAGTAAGAGTTTATCATTATACACAATAGGCTGGAAGCCTGTGGCTAAACCCCCAAAGTCTCATGGTATGCTCCCTGCTCCTCACATCCTCAGCAATCTCTGAGGACCCTCTGAACTGGGCTTGAGCCTGTGATGATATTTAATTTTTACTTTTGTCAAAATATATAATACGTAATATTTATGATATCTAACACAATACATTTTCTACAAGATTTTTTGGCTTCCATTTATAGTATATATTCTCCTGAAATTTTCTTGTCAAAATTTAAGTTGAGGTAAAATTTTGACAAAGGGATAGTAAATTATTGGCCTTGATCACTTTGGGGGGCATTTTCTTCTTTCCCTAAATTTGTGTTTATCTTAGTAGAAAATAATACCAGTTTGCATTTATGAAGCAGTGACTTTTCTAGGGACTGTTATTAACACCTACATCTACAGGCTCAAGGATCCTTTATCTAAATTCCTCAGGGCTAGATGAATTTTCAGGTTTTAGGTAGGCAAGATGTGATAGATGGTGACTGCAAGTTATGATCCTGTGGGGAGCGGGGGGGGATTTGTGGTACCATCCCCAAAATCACAGACAGTAATTTCTTTTGGAAAATGTATAACTGAGATAAAAAGATATAAACAATCTCATGTAAGCTTTTTCCACTAAATGATTTATGAGAAAACTTCTGGTTTTCAGAGCATTTGGGATTTTGGAATTGCAGATGCGGGATGATAGACGTATTTTCTCATTTAATCCTTACAATGACCCATGAAATAGGAACTATTATTCCCTGTGTAATGAAGAATTAACCTTACCCTAAGAGAGGTCTGGCTTTTGCCCTAAGCTACTAGGAGGGCCCTAGAGAGTCCTGCCGGATAGAAATGTCCTTATTTGCCTGGGGGTTTAACTATTGGACAGTCTAACAATGGGATTTATAATGGGGACTTTGGGCCATGCAGTATACTTCTGATTTCTGGAGGAACGGATGACTAAAGGTTTTAGCCCAACCTCTGAATGGGTATGGGGACTAAAGGTCAGCCACCTGGGCAATATGTGATCAAGCCCCAATAACAACCCTGGACATCAAAGGCTCACATGACCATCTCTGCTTGACAGTACTCTATGCATATAGTCATACATCATGGCTGAGAGGTGGTAATGCCATCCACGACTCCAGGGGAGGAGGACAACTTGAAGCTCCGCATTTGGACCCCTCCCAGACTCTGCCCTGTGCATCTCTTCCTGTGGCTAATTTTAACTTGTATCATTTTCCTGTAATTAACCATGAATATAATAGCTTTCAGTAAGTTCTTGAGTCTTTCCAGCCAATTATCAAAACTGAGAGTGGTTTTGGGAATTCCCTGAATTGCAAGTGGTGTCAGAAGTGAGAGTAGGCCAGGCAAGGTGGCCCATTCCGGTAATCCCAGTGCTTTAAGAGGCTGAAGCAGGAATCTCGCTTGAGCCCTGGAGTTTGAGACGAGACTGGACAACATAGCAAGGTTGTGTCTCTGGGAAAAAAAATTAGCAGGGCATGGTGGTACACACCTGTAGTCCTATCCACTGAGGAGGCTGAGACAGGAGTTCAAGGCTGCAGTGAGCTATGATTATGCCACTGCACTCCAGCCTGGGTGATAGAATGAGACTCCATCTCTAAGTAAGTAGTCTTGTGTAGAGGACTGTTCTTTAAACTGTATAGCTGCCTAAACTCACTGAAACAACATTTTCCAGAAGAACAAACAGATGCAAAGAAGATAAAATAACTTACTGCAGGCCACAAGACTTATAAATGGAGAAGCCAGTTCAAACCCAGGCCATCTAGCTGCAGAGTAAACTTGTCCTTAGCCACTGTGTGATACTTGTATAATGTGAATGGCTCTCAGTAACAATTATCTTGTTAAGACTTAGGAGGAGGAGGGGGCATACTTTTGAGGTGGCTTAGCTAAACAAGTGACTGTTCTATTGCTGAATGTATATTAAACTGTAAATGGGACATCTCTCAATGATCCTATTTCTTGATTGAATTTCTTTTTCTCCTTATGTTATTGTTAGAATCATGCACATAGTATGGTCATTGTAAGAGTAAAAAACTGGGAAACAACATAAGCAAAAACATAATTGATCTCTCACAGTATATGGACAAGCCAGGTATTATGAGGCCTGATTGTAGGAAGCCATGTTTTGTGCCACATGATAACACAGCTAAACCTGATTGGATTTGAGGTAGGTAGATCCAGCCAACCCATAAGCTAGCCTGATCCTGGCATGTACATATGAATGTTACTAATTAGATCTGCCTGGGAACTCTGAATTAAGAAAATCAGATAAAAATGAGACAGATGGTAGTGGAAACTGAAGCACAAATGTCTAAATGGGCCAAATAGTTCAGGATGGGCTGTTTGAAACCCTAAGATATATGGGAGCAGAAACTATGAGAAAATAGAGGATATCAATCCATAGAAGAGAATGAAGCAGAAACACAGAAGAAATCAGAGGTACCAAATAATATCCTACTTTGGATATTATTCTTTCTTTGTATGTCTGATAACATTATTACCCTTCAAAATATTGTTTTAGTTCATATATATTTCATTAATAATAAATTTGAACTTTAAATTTTTTTGAGACAGAGTTTCCCTCTGTTGCCCAGGCTAGAGTGCAGTAGCGCAATCTCAACTCACTGCAAGCTCCACCTCCTGGGTTCACGCCATTCTCCTGCCTCAGCCTCCAGAGTAGCTGGGACTACAGGCACTCCCCACCACGCCCAGCTATTTTTTTGTATTTTTAGTAGAGACAGGGTTTCACTGTGTTAGCCAGATGGTCTCGATCTCCTGACCTCATGATCCACCTACCTCGGCCTCCCAAAGTGCTGGGATTACAGGTGTGACCCACTACGCCCGGCCTGAACTTTAAAATTTTTATTGACCCTCTCTATTTCCTCTTTTTGAACTGCCTGTTTATGTCTTCTGCCCATTTTCTGTTAGTTTGTCTTTTTCAGTCAAAATGACTATAGGACTATAGAAGAATTATAAATGGGACAAAACAGCCAGTGCTGTGGCTCACACCTGTAATCCCAGCACTTTGGGAGGCTGAGGCAGGTGGATCACTTGAGCCCAGGAGTTTGAGACCAACCTGGCCAACATAGAGAAATCCTGTCTCTACTAAAAAATACAAAAATTAGCTGGACATGGTGGCACACACCTGTAATCCCAGCTACTTGGGAGGCTGAGGCAGGAGAATCGCTTGAACTGGGGAGGTAGAGGTTGCAGTGAGCTGAGATCATGCCATTGCACTCCAGCCTGGGCAACAGAGTGAGACTCCATCTTAAAAAAAAAAAAGACAAAACAAAGTGTTGAGTGGATGAGGTATTAATGTAGGTAGGGATATTGTAGGAAAATGAAGTTAGATGGTAAAGGCTAAAATAATTTAGACATGTTAGAGTTAAGTTAGAAATAGTAACACAAAACTCATGATGCTGAATGTAAATGTGTTTCCAACCTTAAAGTGACCCAGCAGCAGTGTCACTCCATCTTCTGCCAGTATTTATGTGGAATAATCTGATATGCACCTCTGGTGTGGTTTCCAGCACTAGTCTCCACTAAAAGGAACCTGGCCCTTGGAGAGCAGCTCATATCATTTTTGTTTTTTTGTTAAGGAAAAGTCCATATGAGCCTGAAACATCTTTTTTTAAAGCAAGAATACTTTAAAAAATGTCTGTGGTAGCACTGAAAGGACAAAGAGGTCAATTTAAAGGGCCTCCCACTGGCCATGTTGTGACAACTTGAGAATCAAAATGAGAATAATAGTAAAAAGTTAACTATAACAACTTGAATCTGTTTTGCTATGAGTTCATAATGATCCTGAAAGAGTAACAAATTAATATAAAGGATATACAAATGTAGCTCTATGACAAGGCTGGTGAATATACTAGAATATTTAAATTTTAAGTGCATCAGATTGGTCATCGGCAATTATTGCATCTTGGAACAGCCTGTTGTGGGGGAGAAAGGGTGGCTTTCATTGATCTGGTGGCTCCTTCCAAAGACTTCCCAATGGGACATTCACTCTCTCACGCTCCAGGGAAGCTGATGGGGAAGTTGGAGCTTTGCACACTCAGAGCAGCCAGTGCACAGGCACAGCAGTCAGTCTCTCCTTGTCAGTCAGCCCCAGCATGGGGGCTTCTCCCCAGTCTGTCATGATGGCAGCAAAGGCAGGGAACCATCCTTTACAAGTGTAGAAAGTGTGAACCATGGCTAGGGCTGCTCGGGCCAAGAAGCAAGGAAAGTGGCCAACGCCCTTGGTGGAAGTGGGAGGCAGAGCCTATTGGGTTAGCAATGGTGCACGGACTGGGTCAAGAACAAGTGATGAGCAAGAACTGTAAGTGCTGTTGAAAGTGGATTATTAAACCAGAGACATTTTATCATGATATTGAACTGTGGAGGTCTTGGTAGAAAGTTAGGTCCATTGGGGTAAAAGTAATTCTGACTCTAAGACAGAATAACAATTTGTACGCTTACATAATAATTTGTATTTTTAAAAAATATTTTTGCATTCATAGTCTCATTTATTCCTCATACCACTCTAAACTGGGAAGGCAGCAAAGTTGAAAAAATACAGATATTGACGCCTGAAGGATACAGATATTGAGCCATTTCCTGGCTGAGTCATGTGATGTGTTGCTTAGCCTCTCTGAGCCTCAGCTTCCTCCGCTGTAAAATGAGGATACTGATGGTATATACCTTGAATGGGGGATGGATGTGGAATATGGATGTGTGCAAATCACCTGATGTACCACAGGTGTTTAATAAGCTCATCATTTTAGAGATAATAAAAATGAGAGATGTTAGGTGGCTTTCTCCAGTCACACATAATTGGCAGGAGCCAGATTTTTATTCTAGTCTCATAGACTTTTGAAAGGTAAGGATAGAAAGGACCTTAAAGATCACCTGGGCCTAAGTTTTGAAACTTTTATTTTAAGCTTTAAAGAAAACCCTGGAAAACCCTAAAATGGGAATCAGAAAGGTGAGTCTAAGTTAGCTGGACTTGGCATACTCCCCCAACCTGCTGAGTAACCCCTGAAGGGGCTGTGGTACCCTAGAGAGTTCCTTGGAGCACTGTTTGAAAATCTGTAGTCTAGTTTCACCTATGCATTACAAATGAGGCTGCTGAGGCTCAGAGAGGTGACATTACTTGCCCAAGGCCATATAGCTGTTTCCTGGCAGAAGTTGGACTTAAGCCTGGTTGGCAAGACCCAAGCTCAGTGCTGTCCCCTCTCCATACTATTACCTTTGTGGGGCAAAGAACCTGACCCCACATGAGACAGTGCCATCTGATGACACTAAAGGGTACGTTGTTCTCCATCCTGGGAATTGCCTGTTGGTCCTCACCTTCATTTCCATTCTTCGATTCTCTAGTGCTCTCCCTTGCAGTGTGCACTAAAGACTAGTGCTCTCCCTTGCAGTGTGCATTAAAGTGTGGAACTGCTCTTCTAGTGAATCTTGCCAGTTGGGTTTCTATCAGGCTTTGCCAATACAAGGAACTTGCAGGAGGCTGGAAAGGAGGAGGAGTGGAAGCCACTCTGCTCCTTGTTCTGGAGCTGTGAATGACTGAGGGTGACTGCAGATTTCAGCAGCATCTGTGTTTCCAGGAGCAGCACCCATGGAAACCACTCTTTGTGTTGTCTTGTGGCAACCTCCTCATATTTTCCCTTTGGCATTTGAAGAAATCCTTTGAAAATATCAGCTATTTTCCCGGGCTAAAGAGAACCAAGGGAATATGCTGCACCATCTAATGGTTACCCAACCATAAAGGGAGAACTCAGATATATTTTATCCCTACATCACGTGTTCTTTGCTACTTCTCATGTCAGCACCGCAGTAGTGGACAGTTCCAACCCAGGCGATGGTGTTCCACAAGCTTTGTGTCAATTGAGGTCCTCCCAGAAGAAGAGGATAAAACAGGATTAGAGTTAAAAAGGATGAGTTCATGTCCTTTGTAGGGACATGGATGAAGCTGGAAACCATCATTCTCAGCAAACTATCGCAAGGACAAAAAACCAAGCACTGCATGTTCTCACTCATAGGTGGGAATTGAACAATGAGAACACTTGGACACAAGAAGGGGAACATCACACACCAGGGCCTGTTGTGGGGTGGGGGGAGGGGGAGGGATAGCATTAGGAGATATACCTAATGTAAATGATGAGTTAATGGGTGCAGCACACCAACATGGCACATGTATACATATGAAACAAACCTGCACATTGTGCACATGTACCCTAGAACTTAAAGTATAATACAAAAAATTTAAAAACAGGATTAGAGGCGCAAGAAGTTTATTGGGGGAACACCTGTGAAGGGTAAAGGGGAGGAAGCAGGAGTCAGCAGGGCTTCAGACTGTGGTGCAGGTCTGATAGTCGTGAAAGAAGAGGAGAGCTTCAGACCTTCTGAGTAGTTCTAAGACAGTCTTAGCCAAGCCAAGGGTGAGTCTCTGAGTAAAGATTGCTCTTTAGGGGAGTGTTGCACTGGGAAGGAATGGTTTTGTTCCAGAACCCCATTGCAGTCAGTTGTTGGCTGGGAGCAGCCAGGGAAAGAGTGGTCTTAGGGTGAGTGCTGAGGCATATCTGAGGGTGCAGCAAGAGGAGACTCCCTGCAGCAGATCCTGTTGAAGGAGCTCTGGATGGAACACCATCATGACTGCCATGAGTGGGTCCATAGCTTCCCTGTGCTTTTCTGCTATGAAGCTTTTTCCAAAGCTGGTGAGGCCCAGTGGACTTGTATACACACTCGGCCTAGAAGTGCAAGGCCATTCATGCCTCTGGAGGATGGACCTGTGGATGAGTGTGCAGCTTTCCATCTGATACAGATTCCATATGGTGCCTCAGAAGGTCCCCAGCGGGATAGAGCCCAGTTGCCCATAGCAGTGATCGTCTCATCAATGCATCCTTTATTGTCATTTCCTCCATTTCCCACTACCTCACTCCTGCTTGGGGGGATCACTTTACCTACCCTCACACAAGCCTTCATCCCAGAATCTGATTTTGTGGGCAGATCAGGATGACATGACTGAGAAACTGAGCATTCGGGTTCTCAGGCAGTCCTCAGAGTGAGAGAACTCTAAGATGGGGATGACACTCCACGGTACAGGGAAACTGTACCCCACCAAGGTGAAACTCGGATGGTGCCAGGCTTGTTTTCCTAAGGGAGGCTGGGTTATCCAACACACTCTATTTTAAAGTGCCTCATCTTTTTGAATCACAAGGTGGTTCTCATCTACTCAACAGGGTCTCTGGTCACATGGTATTCAGCCTCTTGGCCTCATTTTGCTGACAGCACATCCCAACCTTTTAAAATCCATGCTACTCCTGGATAATCATCAAACTTCTCAAGATCTGGCACCTGTCCCAAGAGTCTATTCCCTAAGGCTAACCAGCTTGGGGATCACTGTTCTGTCTTCTATGTATGGCAAATAGTGAGACTTCCTTGAACACTTCTTCCTACATTTATATTATAAAAATTATTGTACATCATAACCACATGTGAAATTATATTACAATGCTTTCATACAAGTTGTCTTCCTCTAGAAATGAACCTTCTTGCTTTATCTTAATGATTGCTACATTAGAGAAATGTAAGAGAGTGGATTTCCTCCCCTTCTTCCCTTCCATCTTCCCTTAGTTTCACTACTGATAGGAAGTGGTCTTTGATGAGATAATAAAGAGCCAGAGAATTTTATTAGCCTCAGAATTTGTAGTTCCTGCTGCTGGTGCCCTGCTCACACCTTCCCAGCTACCTGCACATGCATTCTGTTGCCTGAAGTTTATTCTGGCAACAGAAGACATTTTTGTTGATGGCAGGAAGTTCTGGGGAATTAACAGCCTCTAGGAGTAGCCCTCAACTAATGAATATCCCAGTTCTTTGAGATGTTTATTCTACACCAGCTCCCAGAGTATCCCTATGGGGGACATTAAGTTCCAGCGGCCCCCATGGGTAACTAGCTTGAACCCTTCCACATCCCACTTTCCCACTCCTCTAACCATGTTTCCTGGCCACTTCCCACAGAAAACTTTTTGCACCCAAATCTTTGTCTTGGGGTCTGCTTCCGAGAGAACCCAAATGAAGATATAACCTGCTGGAGCTCTGCTCTGAGAACAGTTGAGTAATCCCATGGGAAAGTGTTTGGAATACACAGAACAAGAACTTCCTCCAGCAACATCATGCTGCCTCTTCAAACAGAGCCAGGACCTTGGGGAGGGAGGAAGAGAAAAAACTGTGGGGCTTGGGAAATCAAGAGATGGAGGAAGGAAGCTGATAGGAAATATACTGATATGGTAGTTGTGAATGCCACCTGATGAGAACTGATTGAGATATGATAGAAAAGTAAGTGATGTAACACGCCATGTGCTCAAATCTTCTAACGATAAGAATGATCGCTTCTTGGAAGTGAGTAAACCTAATCCTTCTTTGGGAGGAGGCAGGTTTAATGAGGGCTATCCTCCATGTCTATGTTTGGGGCTATGGCTCCCTCTGTATGTATGATAGCATTGGTTGATGAGGATGGGAATATATTGGATCTTTCTCTTTAACTGGGATTCCAGGGCTGTTTGACTCCAGGCCCTTCCCTTCCTATCAGTTTAGTCTGTAATGCTAACCTAAAACATGTGTCCAGACCAGGAGGCTCCTATCCCCTAAAATCACTCCCTTGATTCATTGTGAAGGAGAAAACTTTCGCTTGGTACCCATTGGGAGCTGACAAATCAGCTTCTCTAGGTGGTGCTGCTGGGCTGGATCATGCTGAAAGGTGATCAGTTTTTGAAAAATTTGATTAGCAATTTCGATGCTGATATTTATTTTTCTGAATCTTCATCCAAATGGAGATGAGTGTGTGCCAAAGAAGAAGCCTGGGGAGTGTAGAGATGGAAGATTTTGGAGCAGAATTAAGCAAGAATATTGGATGGAGGTGGAAATGTTCTCCTTCTGATGGCAGGAAACCCCCAAGGGCTCCTTTCTGCAGAATGCATACCTGCCATGTCCATGCCAAATACTTCCAGGGGCAGCCTGTTTCTTCTGTTACTATTTTATATAATGAAGTTTCTCTTTAGGGGGTGTACATTATAGCTAGCTCATAGTTCTGGAATGTCTATAAATAATCATGGATTTTAAAATCATATTCATGCAGGAACCTGCCAAAGGAAACAAAGACAGGTTCCCTCAAGACATGGAATATGTGCCGGTCTCTGTACCCCTTGGGGAAAACCTCCCACTCATCCCAGGGCAAGTCGCACTTACCACACCCCCAACAGCAGAGGGCCATATTCTGGCCTTGTTAATACTATACAGTGATAATGTGTGGTGTGGTGTGTCCATACTATATTGATATCAAATGAATCAATACACATGGTTGTGCATGCTGCTGTGAATACAGCAATGTGCACAACCGTTACTTGCAGTATCACACCATCATTACAGCAACATTTTCCTGTTGATGACCATCTAACCCAAACTGATGAGAGTCCTTTAACTTGGTTACCAACGGGATATGGAATGAACACATGCAAGATTCCAACAGTGCTAGATAATATAGCACACAGGCTTGGATTATATCGTGCAATGCTACATATTCTTATTGGCCTTTACAGAGATTCACAAAACAACTCCCATGTAAGGGCTGCTGAAAATAGATTTAATGCATTCAAAGCTGCTGCGGGAATCAGTGACATGCACGTCAATTACCCACAGCTTGACGTTTCTGCCTATGTTGCAAAAATGGCGGGATACAGCTGGTGTCATAAAACCTTGATAGGAATACTGTGAAAAATTTGGAGGACCTGGACAACAACTAATGGTTGAAGTTCACTTCGTAGCCTGTGAGTCACAGATGACAACAATTGTGGCAATAAATAACTTTCTTAAAGATATTGATTCTATAATCATTTTGATTCTGTGGGTAACTGATGAAATCCCCAAATTCAGAGATGCTTGGAGATCCCTTGAGAAGCCATGGATCCTGAATGGTTTCCCTTTGTGAAGGCAACTCCTCATCTGGATGCTGTGAAAATCATTGCAATAGCCTTTCCTTGCCTTGCCTCCACAGCATTGTACCATGCCTCAGAAACAAGCTCCACTGTGAGAAACTACTGCTAAGGGAAAGCCATTCCAGGAGGAATACCTGAAACTAAGCTCAAGGATGCATAATGCAGAAAGTTCAGATGGGCTGGTCAATCAGCATTTACAGATGAGCAATGGGAAATGCTGTAATCATGTGGGGTGACTCATGAAATCATCCACGCAACTCTTGGAGACAAAAGAAAGAGAAGAAGCGAGTTACCATCATCTGCAACAGGCGATGGTCTGTAGGAATCGAGAGGATAAGAAAGAAGATTGTATTCATGCAATAGAATAGAAATGAACAAACTGGTTCATTTGTAGGCTTGTAATCCTTGAGGTACATGATTCTTTGTGAAGCATTCAATTTTCAAGCTGTTCGCTTTTGACAGGCAAAAAGCAGCACTCTCTGATCCGCTTGAATATCTCTGGGAGCTTAGTGGAACCACAGCAGAGGTGGGCATAGGAGTGTTCTAGGGACACCTCTTTGTGAGAAATACTGATTTAAAGGAACAAAGTGAAAATCCAGAGATAACTTTCATTGCAATAACCAGCATCCCAGCTTGGAAAAAAAAATCTCAAAGCCTACCCCTGACCAAAAACATCAGCCTCCTGGAGTGAGTCTGAGGACTGCATTTTAAAAATCTCCTTTCCCCATGACTCTCATCTATACTAAAGTTTGAGGATCTCTGCTCTAGACAGGACAGGAAGCCATGAGTGGAGAAGGCAAACCTCTCTTTAACTTTCTGATTCAAATATTCTGTTGCATGTGTCTGATTTCTTTTTTCTTTTCTAAAAACACACAAAGCAGCCCTGTGGAATTAGAGGATGAAAAACCCAACAGCTTGAACACAGTCAAGGCGTTTCATATGAGAGGTCAGGGAATGTGACTCGTATTCAACATGTTGGCAGGCTTATGACCCTAATTCTATTTTTTTCTAAAATATGAGTACTTATGGAGTCGAATTCAAAAAGCATGTATGAGCTTCAGCTGAAGCAGGACATTCAAAAGAAATTTTAAGGCTTGTAGAAGTGTAAAGGGGAAGGAACAACCTGCTTCCAGCTATCCCTGACCTAGGTAAACGCTCACTCCACTCCTCAATTAGAGCTCCCTACCACAATGGAAGTCATTCACACCTGAGTACAGATTTGTACACAGTATACTTTTATTTTCAATAGTTAAGCTAAGTTAGATTTAGGGAGTGCAGGGTCTCTCCTGCATAGGGGAGGGTCTCTCTTTGGACAGCAGGAAGGTAGTTTGAGTCTGAAGGGTGAGTGGAAAGGGGTGTTGACTGCATAATTTTGCCTAAGGTCTTATGTGTTCCATGTGACTTCTGCTTTAGGTTATAGGGAAATTTTATTAGAAAAACTGACCTAGAAGATAGAATATTTCTCAGTGATCCATGTGAGGATAAAGAATTTGTTGGAGGAGTATCTACAGCCAAATTTAAGCCCAAATTAGAGGCCTTCTAGGTCAGGGAATTTAGAATAACTAATGAGCTCATAAATGTGCAAAGTAAACCCACAGCTAAACTCTACTCTATCCCTAAGTATTCTACATAGCAAGAGATAGCCAACTTTATTAAAGTGTTCACTGTGTGGAGAGCTGGACATGCATCCTCGTTCAGTTCTCCCCAAGCCATATGAGGTGGTATCTTAAGTTGGCTTCTCTCCAAAGAAGACCCCGAGCTGAAGACTCGGGTAGCTTATTGGGGATGTGCTCCCAGGAAGCCTGTTAATGGTGTGGGGAGGTGATCGAGGGATGGGAGGGAAGCTGATACAGGCGCATTAGTGTGTGGGGTATTCAGTGGTCACCCAGGGTGTCCACCCACTACTTCCCAGCCCTGATTGGCTGAGAGCTGCTTTTGGAGCATTAGTACTGTGGCACTTTTGCCTCCTACCCCCACCACCTGCAGTTGAGCTCACTTCCGTAGCCAGAGGACAGCCTCAGGCAGGAAGTCGTGGTCTTTCTGAAACTGTCCCCTAACAACCTGCTGTGGGTGAGGCCCGACAGTGTCTGCTACAGGTGAGCATTACTTCCACTTGAAAGATGAGAAAATAGAGACTTCTGGAGGTTAAAGAATTTCCAATGTCAAACAGATCATCTTGCCCAGATCTGTCAGACTAAGACCCTACTTGATGTTTTTCTCTGTTAGAACATTCTCTAAGAGGAAGTGTTAATGGGGTCCAGGGCCCATTGAAACTGCCTCCATCTTCAAAGCAATGCCAATGGCCACCAGAGTAAGGAATAGCAGACTGCAGCTTTGACAGGGCCCTGCTGTAGCCCTGGAACCTCCTCTTGCCTCTGTGACACTGCTGGTGGCAGCAACCATAGGCAGGAGCTGTCCCACAAGAGCCCCTATCTGCCCCACAGAGCCTGGTGCTCATGAGGGTCCTCACTCTGGAGGACCCCACACTTGTGGCCCAGGACAAATGTTTCAATGACTCAAAATACAGCAGCACCTTCTCAATTGTCCCTCTGGGCCCATTCTGCCCTCTTCTAGGTCTGGCCACTGAATGATAGATATTGATAATCTGGAAGAGTCCTTATGGCTGCCAAATCAGGCTTGGGGGTGGGGGGTGGCGGAGAGACGATAACGATGGCAGGCACAGATCTGAGACTAATATACAAGCAGCCAGCCCTGAACTCTCTTCAGCCCTGTCATTACCCACAAAGCCAGGGCCGGCGCCGCCCTGCTTCCACAAACATCTCTTACCTGCTCTTTTGCCACCATCTTCTTGGGTAAGGCAGTCCCAGGTGATCACTTTCATAGCATGATGTCTAAAAGCACATATTCAGGAGCCAGATCCAGGTTCAAGTCCCAGCTCCACAGCATACCAGCTGCTTGGGTAGGTTATCTACCCTCTGTGATAGGGAAACTAGAGTTTCTCACTGTGTATGAACACAGATCTTTACAGAATCACTGTCAATATTAAATGAGCCAGGTACTTGCATACACCAAGTGTCCAATAGATACTTGCCATGGTTATATTGTAATTATTGTTACCAAACCATCGGGGAAAGGGAGAAGCTCTGTGTGATTTGTCCACTTGGTGCTTCTCAAGGATGATCTATACCTACCCCTCCCCGAGAATCATATCAACAATTACTAATCAGTGGTTGCTGTATGTGTCAGGTACTTTACAATCATCATCTAATCCTTATGATAAACCTGTGAAATGGGTACTGTTGTGCCTGGGGCATAGATGAAAACTCTGGCTCAGAAATGGGAAGTAACTTGCCTGGCATGGCATAGGCAAGGCATGCCGAGCTCCCCTGGCAGCCAGACTGGTAGGCCCCAACCTGAGCTGAACCATCATAGCCTCTGTCCAAAGCTCTGTAGGCCTCACAGGGACACTCAGGGGTCCTCAGTGTCTCTGAGGGCCTCAGATGTTAACATTGTCTGCCTAGGGCTTTTGCTAATGAGGAAGTAAAGAAACTGCTATCGGTGCATAAAAACTGAAATCCTGATGGCCCAGGTCAGGGAGGGCATGCAGGGGGTGGGGGCTGCTACAGAATGAGCTTTCCTTCTGGTCCTTAAAAGCTAATTCCTTTTTGATTTTTCCTTTTCTCCTCTGGGGGTACCCTCCAGGTGGCATGGTCCAGACCAGGCCTTCCCATTTCAGGATGGTGGGGATGTAAACTCCCTGCCTCCTTAGCTGCTGTGGAAAGCTGGCTGCAGCTGGAAGCCTGTCCTCCTGCACACTTCACCACCCTGTGCCTAGGGCTGAAGGTGGTTCTTAGCACCCATCTTGACCTGTGGCTGAGGTCACTCTGGAGGAAACTTCTGACCTCCAGAGAAGAGCTGCAGCCCACAAGGCCTGGGCAGATCGCAGCACTCTCCATAGGCCTCTGAACATTTTCATCAATTGCAAAGTGAAACAAACCACAGGAAGACTTGGGCAGGTGTTTGGAGGAGGAGCTCAGACAGGTGGGCTGTGGTGGCATTTTCTTTTCCAGGCGCTGCCTGCTTGCTATTTGATTCCCAGGGCTGCACTGCACTCACACAGTGCTTCTCTCATTCCTTCCCAAGGGTATTTTCTGTGTGACTTAGAATAAGTATTGGGTCATGTGGATGTTACTATGGCAACCGGTGTTTTAAATAAAAATAGTGTTACACCCCCGGTAGCCTGTCAGTGTGAAATGTGCCTATAGGCAGTGAAAGGCTGTTGGCATCTGCATCCCTTCCATTCCTAGCAGCATCCTCCTAGCACCACCCAGGCCTAGAGGGCAGAACCCGCCGCTCTGACGCAAGGTCTGGGCTCTTGAGTAGCTTAGGGGAGAAGGTGGGTGGCTTGCACAGATAGGTGTCCCCTCAGCTGGCCAGAGGCCCCTGCCTGGTGCTTCCTTCCCTGACTTCTGCCAGCAGCAGAGGGAAGCTGCTGTGCTCTAAGTGTTTCTAGACAGAAACTTTAACTGGTTAAAGATGGGCTTTGTCTCGGAGTCTACTTCTAGGGGAACAGACTGAGACAAGGATTTATGTGCAAGTAATTTGTTTGGGAGGGGATCCAAGGAAGCAGCAGTAGAGAGGAGAAGTGAGACAGGAAAGGAAGGCGGCCAGTACAGGTGCATTTTCAAAAGTGACTGCTGTGGGCAAGTGGAGCTTAGTCCCACCGAGGAACTTGGAAGACCATATAGCACACAGTATTCCCCCAAGGACAAGGGAGTTGGTGCATTTATTTAGTCCCCATTTGTCACTGGATGAGGGCTTCTCCCTAGGGGTGATTTACTCTCTGCAGTTCCAGTATGACCTTTGAGCAGTCAAAACAAAAATAAAGCCCTACAAAAGTTCTGAGGCAGAGAGTGGGCAGGCAGCAGCCTGTACGGTTTAAAGGTGAATACCTGCCTAGAGGATATGGGCAGGGTGCCACATCTCCTGCTGTGGACCTCTTGGATGTCAATGAATTTCCCCAGCTATCAGAAGTGCTTTTGTGTTGGGATGAGGAGCTTAACTTGGAAAGTTAAAGGAACATGAAATGGCCTTTAAAGATTTCAATAAATCCTGAGACCTTTGAGGGCCTGATGATGAAACTGGTACTCTCAAGGCTGATTGTCCTCCATCATGGTGCTGGTGGCAAGTGTGGGAAGGGTTGGGTCAGGGAGGGCTTATTTTCTTTTGGAGGAAAGAAAAGCAGCTTGTTATATCCCAAATAAGTATTTTTGAGAGTGTTTGAACATATCCTTGACTCCTGATACTTGCGAGGATGAAAAATTTAAGATTAGGCACAATGATACTGAACCCAAGAAACTCAAATTAAACTCTTAGGGTAGGAATAGATGGTGGTTAGGTGGAAATGAATTGGAGATACATTTGAGCTCTTGGCAGTAATTGGAGAAGGGGGGACACTTTTTCTTCTCCCATTAGATTCTGTTGGATGATGTGGGTAGAGTTAGCCACCTGGCAGATCCATCCACCTTCTGATGGCAGGTGCCCTGATCTTGCTTTGGACACAAGGTCAGTGGGTCTGTCCATCAATGGAAGAATAGTTGCTTCTCAGAGCACCCCACCACCTCCTGGTTCAATTAGACACCTTCTCCTTGGAATCTGAGCCCTGAGTGGGATGTTACAAGGACAAAAATTTGACAGGAGCTTATTGCTGTCAACAGTGGTGGTCTGAAAAAAGAGAGCTTACTAATTCTCAGAGATTGTGAGCCATCTGGTTCTTACCCTGGTTCTTTAGCTTTCCTTAAGTTCTCCGAGTATCCCATAGTATTCCAGTGAATTCTTATGCCTTTTCTTATCCAATGAACTGGGGTCTCTCTCTTGGTTGCATGGAAGAGCCCTGAATGATCCTGATTCCTTTGGAGGATCCCACCAGGATAAAATATCTAGAGATTGTCAAATGAAACCCAATGAAAACCTGTCTCTGTTGCTGCTATTTTGTGCAGTAGGTATAGAAACAAGGGAGGAAGGGAAAGATGTGTTAGCATCCTCTTTCAGTGAACCCAGGTGAGAGAGAAGCAGGAGTGAGAGAGGTTTGCATGGGGGCAGGAGGAGTGGGATGCCTGTGAGAGAAAAAGGAGAGGAGGCAGGTTTGGGCAGGAGAACCTCAGCCTGCAGTATGACCCGATGGTCTCAGCCAGTTCAACACAGAGCTCCTGCACACAGGTTTCCTCTTAGAGAAGCCCTATGTTGGATAGAAATGGCCAGGCCCTAGTACTCTGCTGTGCCTCTGTCTTTAGCTGGCGACTGCCCGGAAAGAGTACGGCCTCTGCTCAAAAGCTGAGGCATACTTGAAGGCTCTGCAGCAGGAGGCTGCCAGCTCACTGTGTTCCTTGTGGCTGAACAGGAATTCCTTCCTGGTAGGGAGATCTGAGCTGCACAGCTCCATGGCTGCCTTCCACTGAGCACAGAGTTTTATCTTGACACTGTTTTATCTTGTTCTCAGGCCTCTCACTTATCCTGTGAAGTTGGTGTTATTTCCACTCCCCCAGTTGATGAAATGCAGACGTAGCTAGTTATCCCCTAAGATTTTCCTGCTAGTGAGTGTGAGTGCTGGGATTGGGACATAGCTATGTCTAACTTGAAGGCTCCTGCTTTGATGTCCTGTGGCAGAGGCCATTGCTTCAACTGCCATCATCCCCATAATAAGGACTTGGGCTCTGCAGCTTCAGGGGCTGCTCATTGCCCCCTGAGCAAATGTTCTATTTGGGTGGTGTGTGTGTATATGCACCTGGGTCTGTCTTGGGTTAAAAACAGAGCTTTCTTTTTAGTTCTGAATAATATTCCATCATCTGGATTACCATGGCTTATTTATCTGTTCACCTACTGAAGGACACCTTGGTTGCTTCCAAGTTTTAGCCATTAAGAATAAAGCTGCTATAATATAAACATCAATCTGCAGGTTTTTGTGTGGACATATGTTTTCAACTCCCTTGGGTAAAAAAACAAGAAGTGTTATTGCTGGGTCATATGGAAAGAATGTGTTTAGTTTTATAGGAAACTGCCAAAACATCTTCCAAAGTGACTGTCTCATTTTGCATTCCTACCAGCAGTGAATGAGAGTTCCTGTTGCTCCAATCCTCACCATTTCATGTTGTCAGCGTTCTGGACTTGGATTATTCTAATAGGGGTGTAGCGGTACTTCACTGTTGTTTTAATGTGCATTTCCCTCATGACATATGATGTGGGGCATCTTTCCCTATGCTTATTTGCCACCTGTATATATTCTTTGGTGAGGTATCTGTTCAGGTCTTTGGCTCATTTTTAAATCGGGTTGTTTATCATTGTTGAGTTTCAGGAGTTCTTCATATATTTCGCATGACAGTCCTTTATCAGATATGTCTTTTGCAATATTTCCTCCCAGTCTGTGGCTTGTCATTTCATTTTCTTCACAGTGTCTTTCACAGAGGAGAAAATTTTAATTTTAGTAAAGTCTAGCTTACCAATTCCTTATTTATTTATTTATTGAGACAAAGTCTCGCTCTGTTACCCAGGCTGGAGGGCAGTAGCACAATCTCAGCTCACTGCAACCTTTGCCTCCCAGGTTCAAGCAATTCTCCTGTCTCAGCCTCCCCAGTAGCTGGGACTACAGATGCACGCCACCATGCCCAGCTAGTTTTTGTATTTTTAGTAGAGATGGGGTTTCACTATATTGGTCAGGCTGGTCTCAAACTCCTGACCTCAGGTGATCCACCTGCCTCGGCCTCCCAGAGTGCTGGGATTATAGGCGTTAGCCACCATGCCTGGCCCAGCTTACCAATTCTTTCTTTCCAGGATCATGACTCTGGTGTCATATCTAAAAAGTCACTGTGAAACCTAAGGTCATTTAGAGCTCTCAACCCACAGAAAACATGGAAAGACCTTAAATGCATATTACTAAGTTAAATAAGCCAATCTGAAAAGACTGCATGCTGTATAATTCCAACTATGTGGCATTCTGGAAAAGGCAAAATTAAGTAAAAAGATGAATGGTTGCCAGGGGTTAGGAGAAAGGGAGAGATGAATAGGTGGAGCACAGACAATATTTAGGGCAGTGAAACAATTCTGTATGATACTATAGTGGAAGACACATGTCATTATATGTTTGTCAAAACCTGTAGAATATACAACATCAAAGGTAAAAAGATCAGTGGTTGCCAGGGGTTAGAAGAAAGGGAGAGATAAATAGGTGGAGCACAGAGAATCGGGCAGTGAAACTATTCTGTATGATACTATAGTGGAAGACACATGTCATTAAGTTTGTCAAAACCTATAGAATATACAACATCAAGAGTGAACCCTAATGTGAACTATGGACTTTTATGTGATAATGATGTGCTAAGGTGGGCTCATCAATTATAACCACTGTACCACTCTGGTGGGGGACACTGATAACAGAGGAGGCTATGTAGGTATGGGGGAGGGAGTTCATAGGAAATCTGTACCTTCCACTCAGTTTTGCTCTAAAAATATAATCTATTAAAACAACAACAACAACTCCTCCCACAGCTTTTTCACATGCTTTAGTTTGGGTTCCCTCAAAGGCAAATGCTGTGGCAAGTAGTTTACCTGAGAGGACATTCCACGAAGCGGTCCTGGAATGAGTTTGCAGGGGAGGGAGGTGTAAGAGAGGAGAGGAATATGAGCCAATAAAGGGCATCAATGAACCAGTCCAGATGGGCAACTGGGGTTCCATCCTGCTGGAGACCATCTGGGGAGCTATGCAGAATGTTGGGACAATTCTGACTTCCATTCCTCACTGGTGGAATACAGCTTCACGGGCGTTGGCTCCCAGGTACTTAGCACCTATGGCCTGTATGTAGGCTGAGCGGCTCCCAGGGCACCAGCAAGAGCTTCAAGTATATATAGCTGGAGAGGGGTGGCGTGGATGCAGTCAGCATGCAGGGAAATGTCCATCACAGCCCTGCGTGGGGCACCCATAGCATCTGCCACATGCATATTCAAGGATTATGGAAAGAATCTGACTCCAGTTTTAGGGTATCTGACACTTGTGGCTTGGGATTCAGGAGAAGTAGCAGTGATTGCTACACCTGTTGGGGCACTGTATGAGTGTTCTGCCGTTGCCATAATACCACAGACTGGTTGGCTAAAACAACAGGAAGGTATTTCTCACAGTTCTGGAGTCTAGAAGCCCAAGATCAACGTAGCTTGGACTGTTTGGTTTCTCCTGAGGCCTCTCTCTTTGGGTTGTAGAAGGCCACCTCCTCGCTGAGTCCTCACATGATCTTTCCTCTGGTAACTCACCTTTTTGGAGTCTCTTCCTCTTAGGAGAATACCAGTCTTATTGGATTAGGGTCCCGCCCTTATGACCTAATTTAACCTCTATTGTCTCCTTAAAGGTCCCATCTCCAAATACAATCACATTGGAGGTTAGAGCTTCAACACATAAGTTTAGGAGGACACAATTCAGTCCCTAACAGACATGATGGCTGACAACAGGACCTGGTTCTGGGCCCTATTTCCTCTTTTTACTGATCCCAGAAACAGTTAAGTGAGAAGCTTAGGGTCACACAACTTGGGTTGAAATACGATGCTGAGTCATGAGCAAATCTGTCCACCCAGGGACTGCCAGACCAGGGACTGCACACACCCATGGTCTACAAGGCATCATGCCCCTGAAGTCTTCTGACCTTGTCCGTCTCTCCTTGAGAACCCCGGAGGGGCCTGGCCTTCCATCTTGCCACCTGGGTTCCAAGGCTGGCCATGCTGTATGTCCTGTGCAAGTGCTTCCCTTTGTTCTCTCATCTTGGAAACAAGAGGGCTGGGCTAGGTTACCATTCCTGTTCCCCAGTCTTTTTTTTAAGTGTTGGTGAAAATTTTAGGGGGTGGAAATGGGTACTCTCATTTCTTGGGATCGTACATTGGAACAGTTCATCTAAAAAGGCGATTTGGTGGGAAGTTTCAAAAGCTCTAAAGATGTACACAACCACAGATACTCCAAGACATTCCTAGAAGGGGAACATCTGGGTCAAAGATTGAGCTACAAGGAGAATCACTAGTTTTGGTTTCTCACATTTTACTGTTATAAACATGCCGAACACCAAGAGACTGAATAAACAAATTATGTGCCTTATTCAATAAAACACAAATACATAAAATGTAATTCTGCAGAGAACATTTAATGATTTGGAAAGATTTTTCACAATGCCAAGTGTAAAGGCTAATTTCAGAGCAACCCATATTGTGGTTCTACCCACGTTAAAAAAAATACAAAGATCTAGAAAGCTAATAAACCAAGAATAACAGTCATCACTCCTGAGTAATGGGCTTGTTGAAGATTTAAAATCTTTATTTTTCAAAGTAACAATATATATGCATTGCTTTTGTAAGAAAATCCACAAAAATACTATTATGTTAAAAAATAATTTACCTAGTTTTGGCAGATGCTGCTGGGCAGGAAACTCTACAGCAATTACTGACCTGTTCTTCCCTTGCTGCTTGTGCTTCCACTCTCTATAGCTGAATGCTCACCCTTCCAGCTTCCCTGACTGCTGGGGTGGCCAAGTGATAGGAGTTCTGCCTAGTGAGATGTAAGTGGAGGTCTGCTGGGTGGACATGGAAGTTTCTGGGAAAGTTAATGGCTCCTGATAAAAGGAGGGGATACTTCTGGCCCTCTACCTCTCCTTTCTTCCTTCTGGAATGTGGAAGTGATGACTTGAACAGCAGTAGTCCTCTTGTGACAACAAGGCAATAAGGGTGGTGCAGCAGAAGGGTAAAGTCTAAGCTTTTGATGACACCTTAAGTCAATCCATCAACCCTGGACTCCCTCCAGGCTTCTTGTCATGGGTGAGAATTCTGATGTAACAGTTCTGGCTAGCTCAGGTTTGAAGGCTTTTGGCTGCAAGTAAGACTTAAGGTCTCTCCTCTAGGTCCTAGATCATCCCTATCATTCCACACTGCCTTCATAGAGAGAAACAGTGCCTTAAAGGCACTCTTTTCCCAAGCTGATGCTGCCTTCTTTTTGGCATTAGTATCTGAATTTATTTGGTGGTTCCTGGAGAGGAGCACTGTCTTTTGTAGCATAGGAATGTGTTAAGCAGCCCTTGTGCCCAACAGAGCAGGGCCTTGTATGAGACAGCCAGTCAGCTGTCTCTCAAAACACTATGTGCTGGGCATTGTGCCATGTGCTGGGGAAGGCAAAAGAGCAAAACGGACTCATACCTTGTCCTTCTGAAGCTTATCACTCGGTAGAAAACAAGAATATTGAGAAGTCAGTTAATCCTTTGCATAGTCGTTGGTGTGCAGTGTTTTAAAGAACAGGGTGCCATGCAAGTGTGTCCTGGAGGGGCCTGGCCCGGGGCTCAGGGAAGGCAGCCTAGAAGCTCTTTTCTGTCTCTAGGCTCAGCAAGATGTATCCCAAATTCCCAGGCTTGTCTGTGACAGCCTCTGCATCACAATGCCAAATGGAAGGAATCTTTCCTTTTGTCAGAGCCCTTGCCTGTGGGCTTTATCATCCATATATGCAAAATGAGGGAAGTGGACTCCACAAACTTCCAGCTTCCCAGAGCTCAAATCCCACGTGAAAGCAGCTGGGAGAGGCCACCACAGGAATGGTGCAAACACAGGCTGACAAGGCAAAGTGGGGGCTGTTTGCTTCCCAGCCTTGGCAGAGATGGGTCCCACATTTGTTCAGAGGCAGAGGCCTCTGCAGGGAACAGAGTATGCAAAGGCCTTAAGAGTAGGCCTGTGTGAGCAGCAGCAGGAAGGCCAGTGGGGCTGGGGCAGAGTGGGGCACAGAGACGGATCCCATGTGGCAGTGAGCAGTGGAGGTCAAAGCCCTAGGATCCAGCTTGTGTTTCAAAAGGATTTCAGGTCAGCCCTTGCCCATTCTGTTTGCTCTCAGAGTAAAAAATTGAGGTCAATGTTGGAGAGATCTGGTAATCCACGCAGCAAACTGCATTGATGGATGTGGTCTCAGACCTTGCATGTACCAAGGTAACCTAAGCAATGAAGCATTTATTTTTATTTTGTATTTATTTTGAAGTATTTTTAAATGTGTATGACTTTTATAATCATAAAAAATTGAAATTGTAAAAAAATGGCAAGTGGTTATCCCTAGGGATAAGATTATCAGGGACTTTCACATTCTATGCTGTATGTCAGCAGTCTTTTTAAATTTTTGGTCCTTGAACAGTGCTATTTTCTATTGTTCTCTGCCTCTAAACATTAATGGGTATTCCTCTAGGTGATGTACAAGAAGAAACAGGCAAAGACAGAAGAGTATTAACTCAGTTTCATGGTCACAAAGTCAATTACACACACACACACATATACACCCTGCTTCTTCCAGTCGAGTCAGGCCCAAGGGAACAACCTTGGAGGGAACAGCTCTTTTTTCTTCCTCCACTTCCAGTGCTCTCTTCCCTCAGTCTCCAGTGCTTCAAGCTTGAAGGCAAGTAGAAAACTTTGAAGGCAATCACACCTACGTTGCCTGTTGGTGGGTGGTTGGGAGAACTGCCTGGGAAGGAGGGAGGAGGATGAAGTCCCTTTGGGCAGGGTTAGCAGCACACATCTTTGGAGTCTGACAACCTACTCACCAGCTGTGAGACCGTGAGCAAGTTTCTTGACCTTTCTGAGCCTGTGCCTCACCTGAAAAATGGGAATGATGACACTGCTTCCATTCCCAGGGCTGCTCTGTGCTGCAATGAGACAACACAGGCTGAGTGCCTGGCACACAGTAAGTGCCAGTGGGTTAATGGGGTCACTGTCTTTGTTTCAGAGCACAAAGACCTCTGGCTCTGGAAACAGAGGACCAGGCTGCATGGTCCAGGACAGGTTGCTTTGCTTCTGCTTCTCCAACTGTGAGATAGAGCTGCGGTGGGACAAGGCGGGGGGCAGACATTTCTGCAGCAGGATGCAGGTGTCCCTCACAGCTCCTTCCTTCACCTCAGTGGGCTCCACCTTGATGCCACTCATCTGAGACTGTGACTGATGGACTGCTGGCAGGTGTCTAGCCCTGGGCTCTGTGGCACCCAAACCTGCTGTGCCAGGAAGTGAGGATTCCCGAAGCTGAGGCTGCTCCCAAGTTTCATCTTCTGTTGGGCTTCAGCCTCAGGTCTCGTTTTTGGCTCCTGTGCCACCCCCTGGAACTAGGGAGCAGTGGTCCAAGTCTCTGGAACTGAACCAGGATGTCAGGCAGCTGGAGAATGTTAGGGATGAGGTTTTACTGCTTATTTTGCTCTACTTTTCTATCAAAATTCTTTTATGCTATGCCTCTTAAAATAGCGATTTCAAACTCTCTCATTGGTCTGTGAGGTTTCTTCTGAGTTTTAAGAAGACAAAGGGAATGGTGAAATAAATCTTTTTGCCTCCCCCCACCCTTAAAAAATCCATAAAAAATTAACATGAAGGTGAAATTTTTTGACTTCAACTCTGTCCTTGAGACCCGTAAACTTTTCCTGAAATTTCAGCAGAGTGATGTGCAGTTTTCCTGGGGAGGGTACCCAAAGCTTTCCTGATAGTCTCACTGCAGTTGGTGTGATGGAGTACATAGGAACACTTCCCTTGTAGCAATGACACTCAAATTACTGTATTTTCTTAATGAGAGAAGCCACTTGCCTGAAGCCAGTACCTACCAAGAGACAGATGCTTGGGGTTGAAAAGGTCTTTGGCTATGGCTTTCATGAGGAATACATAAAAAACCACCTATGAAGTCTAAGGTAAATGGTGATAATTACCAGCAAAACAAGGATATCTACCCCTGCCACTAGCAAAAAAAGAAGTCCACCTCGAGAAAAGAGTACGACAAATTTTGTCAAGTTGAAATGATATGATCGCCCAGTGTGTTTGGTCTTTATGGCATTATCTTTTAGGGTCAAGGTTTCTCCAAGTTGACCGCCAATCAAATGGCTTTTCATTGCTCAGACAGAAACAGGTGCTCTAAGTAAGCTGGGCACAGCTGACTTTCATGATCCCCACTTGTTCATTAGGGAGGTAGAAAATCAAAAGCAAGGGCAAGTGTGGGTCTGGGAGTATTGCCGAGCTCAAATCTCTGCTCCCGCAAGTAATGTCTCTCATTCCTGAGGTACAGGCTGGCTCCTAAATCTCTCTGGCTCTAGTTCCTCTCCTTAAAATGGGGTTGCTGTGGGCTCAGATTAAAGAAATGGAAAGCCTTTAAAAGGTAACTGTGCCATGTACTGTGTTAAGAATTTAGTAAATAAAAATCTAAGACTTTATATTGGTAGAAAATAACTTTTACCTTCCAACTTCCCTGTTGTGAAGGAGAAAAGGATGTTCTGGGTATGTGTATGCAGGTGAAAATGGGAGAGTCAGGTTATCACTGCCCAGCATTCCTAGGGATTTACTTTTACAATTCACAAAAGTTTTAAGAGAATCATTATTCAACATACAGTAGTAAACACCCTAAACCTTCCACATTCTGCAAACAGTAGGCACAGACGCTTCACTATTGTGGCCTTCTAAATTTGATACTCAAGGGGTTTTCTCCCCCATCTTTTACTCTATATTGGTAGTTCCCAAACTTGAGTGCACTGGCCTCACCGCAGAGCTTCTAACTCAGCAGGGGTGGGTGGGGCTGGAGGATGTGCATGTCTAAAGCGTTCCCAGGAGATGCTGGTGCTGCTGCTGCTCCAGGGAGCACACTTTGAGAACCATTGCTCCATTTGATATTAAATACATTCGGGGAACTCCTTTTCCAAACGCAGCTTTTCCCAGAAGAGCTGACTGGGGCCAGCAGATGGTAAGCAGCTTAAGACAAGGTGGTGAGTATGAAAGTGTGTGTCTGGCGAGCTCCCTTACATCATCAGGGCTTTTGGTTGTCTACAACGGGCTTCCAGAGAGAGTCTTATAATTTGGAATGTGGCTAGCTGCAAAGGTAGGATCCCAAGGAAGTTATAATACAGTGATTCTAAACTCAAAGGTTCAAACGATCACAAAATCAAGGTTTTAGAAAAGGGGGAATGGACACTGTTTTTTTCTGGCCAGGTGGCATTAAGTCAGCCTGAGTGGAATGTCTGGAATGTTCAGGAGGGGAGAGGCTGTTCTCAATGAGGTGAATGCACTTTGGAAAAGAAGCCGCTATGGGGATGGAGGTCTGTGGCCCAGCAGGGGGGCTCTGGCTGGATCTAAGCATGCAGGGGAAGCAGCCCAAGGTTGTGCTCCCCTAGGCTAGCCTTGAGGAAAGAGTTCTGGGCAGGGGTGGGGTGAGGTGGGTGGGGAGCACAATTTGCCTTTGCAGTCTCAACCTCTGAAGGTCACTGTACAAACTTCAAATGAATTCAGCAGCTCAATACCAAAATTAAGTAGAGCATCCTCTGGATCTTAAATGGTTCTCTCATTCTCTCTCTGGACTTGACCCCATTTTATATTTTATTAGGTTTTTAATCAGGTTCCATTATGAAGTGCTTTAAACAAGGTTAGAATCTACAAATGCACAAAGGGAGAGAACACTGCCTGGTCTACCTGGTTTAAGAAACCAGAGTGGAAGCCTCTGAGAATGGAGAAGGCTTTGCTCAGTCCCTGGGAGCGGCCCTGGACTTCCATCATCAGCTTTGTCCCCTTCATGCTGGCTCCTCAGCAGCAGGGAGCAGTGGCTCAGCACATGGACTCTGAGGCCAGAGTGCTTGGGTTTAAACAGCAGCGACACCAATCACCAACAATATGGATGGTGTGGTCTTGGTACTTACCTGATAGGGTGGTTACATGACCTGCCTGCTTATGAGGAGGAAATGGAGGTACCGAGTACATGGCTAAATGTAAATGGAGGGCTCAGGGCAGTGCCTGGCACAGTTTCTATTCTGTAATTGCCTGCTGCTATTAATGATGATACCACTGAAAGGAAACAAAGACCCAGGGCTTCAACAAATAGCAAGAGTGTCTGACCTTGAAGGACGCTGGGCTTGGGCTGTGCTCATCCATTCATTGAACAGATTTATTCAGTGTCTACTCAGTGCCAGACACTGAACTAGGCTGGAGGGTACAGCAGTGAATGAAGCTGAATATTCCTGCCCTCAAGGAGCTTATGACCAGTGGGAAAGACACAGATTCAGCAAAGATTCCCACTAATGAACGAGTAATGACAAAATGAGATGAATGCTCTGAAGGGATGGAATTCAGCTTGCTGAGTGCACGGGAGAGCTGTTACCTGACCTGGCCTTCTGGGTAGTGGGAGTTGGCTCTGTCTGAAACTTGGAGGACGGTCAGGCATCAATGATGGGAGTCTGGAGGCAGCTGGGAGCCTTCTAGATAGGGTGGAGCTGAACGAAGGCCCTGGGGCAGGGGCCAGAGGGATCTTATAAAAAGGGAGGAGGGTAGGGAAGGGAGTGGATGTCATTCATGGGTCCCACTGAAGTTAGCGTGAGGACAACCCTTTAAGCAGTTATAAGGCCAGGAATGGGAGGCATTTGCGTGATTTAGGAGTGCATTTTGAAAAGATCATTCTGGTTATAACATGTGGAAGAGATAAGGCTGAAATGGAAGCTGGAGAGGTTGTGGGGAGACCCAAAAAGGGTGGAAGTGGTTTTGAAGCATCCCCTGGAGTGCCTGTAACATAGTTCCTGCCCAGCTTGCTGTCCCCACTGGAGATTTTTTTTTTTAAAACAGGGTCTTGCTGTTACCCAAGGTGGAGTATAGTGGCACAATCTCTGCTCACTGCAGCCTCAAACTCCTGGGCTCAAAACGTCCTCCCACCTCAGCTGCCTGAGGAGATGATGAGACTACAGGTGTGTGCCACCACACCCCTGTCTAATTTTTAAAAACATTCTTTATAGAGATTAGGTCTGGCTATGTTCCCCGAGTTGGCCACTGGAGATTCTGATGGAGCAGGTGCATGGTGGTCCCTGGGATCCTGCTTTTCCAACATGCTGAAGCTGCCACCCATGGACCACACCATGAGTGGCTCTAGCTTGGACTCCGTTGGTCGTAGGGGAGTTGGTAACTGGATGAATTCTTAGGAGACAGCAAGAAGCCCTTTCTGAAAACTGGGACTATTTTGCTTTGAAGATATTTGTCCCTAAACATAATTTAGTACAAATTTCAGAGATGCCCTTAACGATATAGGGATGGAGTGAGGGATAGAACTTTACAGAAGTAGACTCACCCTCCATAATTCTAAGGTGATACAGATGCAGGTGGCTCTGGTTAACTCAGGCTCTATGTAACCTGGGTGCTATGCAAGGTTTGCATGGTGCTTGTTTTTATCCGTCTCTCTGGTTTTCAGAGCAGCAAGAACCCTATACAAACAGACTATAGACTGGGCCTGAGTTAATCAGAGTGGCTCTGGATCTTTGTCCTGTAGAAAACTAGAGAGAGGAATATCCTCCTTTTTATTAGCGTTATGGAAAGGACACCAGCCAACCCAGCCACTCTATCTTGAAAACTCTTGCTTGGGCTCTGAAAAATGGTGATGTCACATATAAGATTTAAGTTAGGCACAAAATACTACTCCAACTCTAGAGACCTCCATTAGTTTTCCAGCTCTGCTGGGTCCATGGCTGTAAGGACCTGGGGAAAGGAAGCCCATCTGTCAGCACAGGTGATGGCAAGTATTACCTTTGATGGAGTGTCTGGCAGATCAGTGCCCTAGGAACAATCCCATGCTTGGTTCTCGTCCAGCCCTCAGGTCACTGGGACATGCACTGATGGAGAGCTGTGGAACTCTCCCTGGCCAAGAAAGGTGTTTGCTTTCCAGGGACCCTGGGACCATCTAGGAAGTGGATGCATTACCTGCATGTGTGGCTACAAAGAGCCTTCCTCTCTCCAGGAGGCCACCGTCCTATTACTAGGTCCTCCCTTCCCTCTACTTTGCCCTATTCAAAGCTACCATCACCAAGTATCAAAACAAAGGTCCCAACTCCGCAACCATTGTGTGTTTTGGCACCTAGGAGGAAATGTTCAGTTGAGTGGCGCTTAACCCTCCTGATGGCCCATAACTTCATTTTCACAGTGGGAAACCTGGTAGCACCATTTTCTCTGTAGGAAGCTAATGTTACCAGGAGTGTCTTTTTCTTTAAAAGTGGAGCATTTGTGTTGGGGGATAAACAGCAGCCTCAGGAGGCCAGTGTCTGCAGGGGAGCTGCAGCAGCCAGCCCAGAACTGGAAAGCCGCGTGCCTGGGTTCTGGAGCCGAGGGTCCTCTGTGACGGGTGTAGCTGCCTCGCCAGAGGGCGCCCTTGCGGGTTCTGGAGCTGGAATGCTGCCTGTAGTGTGGTGTGGCCCTGGTGTTGTGAAGTAGCCGTTCTCTGATTGGCAACGGCCTGATTCACAACACCAGCTGCCCCACCACACCATGCCAGGGAGGTCTCTGGGGCAGGCCGATGGGCGTAGAGATGCCTTTGTGCTGCTGCTGCCGGAGGTGGAGAGAGGACAGAGAACAGCCAGAAGTGAGAACCGGGAAGCAAGCATATGCTAACATTTCACTGCCTTCCCCAGCCCCACCTGAAAGACTTTTTTTCGTTGTGCCTTTTGTGAACTTCCCCATCCCATAGGGGTCATGGGTGGGTATCCATGGCTCCAAGGAGTCCCGGGTCCTGAACACAAACTTACCTGTGTGTTGGTATTTCTCTGGGAAGAGGATCTGCCTTCAATAAATGCTCAAAGGGAAACACAGCCCTCCACAGCTTAAGTATGTCCAGTGTGGGCCTTCATAGCATTTGATGATCACCATACCTCCCAGAACAAAGTTTTTTCCCCACCAATGCTTTTCTGGGAGAAATGCAAGGAATCCCATTACTGTGTTGCCAAACACAGAAACCAGAAACCAGACATGGTTCTTACTGCATATTCTGAGTAATTTCTTTCCCTCGGCTGCCCCTCACCCCTCCATTTGTATGCTGTCCAGGGTCCCCAAACCTCCAAGGCCACGCTTGGAGTAGCTTCCATGTCTACTGAGGATGATCAGGGTCAAAATGGAACCCTTCAAGGATGCACAGCAATCTCCCTGCTCAGTCCTCTACAGAGTGGGGAACACATTCCAGATAAAAAATAAGGGTGACCACCGAGGATTTGAGGCAGTCAAACAAACCAACCAAAGCTGAGACTGGCTGAAAAGAAATCAGGTAGCCAACATGGACACACTTAACCATCACGGCGCCTGTCCTTCCATCAGCCAGTGACCCGCCAGGGTGCTTCCTCCCCTGGCTTCAGCGGGTCCAGGATCCTGAATGTCTGTACTACGGAAACCCAGTAGTAAGATCACTTGGGAGCTCTCCTTTTGGTAGCTGCCTGGATTTTATCACCATTATGAAATTATATAGCATAAACTTGATGTGAAAATAGCATTTGAAGTTTAAACCCTATTTCCAGGTGTCAATAAACACTTTAAATGAACAGCTCTTTGGCCCAAAATGGCTCCCGCATGCTGTGTGGTTCTTAGTTACCCAATCAAGAAAAATCACATTTCCCACTTTCTGCCATCTATCTTGGAACCCACTTTATTTTAAGGACATAAACTTGGCAACTTCCTAGTACTGGATATGGCATAGAAGTTCTGCCAAAGTTCTTGCCAGAGTTGGGGGAAGCAGAAACTTTGAGTAATATATCAATCATAGCTTATCACCAGGCCACATAAATCACTGTGGTCTTGGAGTTCAGAAATGTCTGGATTTTTCCTATCTGCAATCAGTGATTCTCTGCTGGGACATTAGGCTATAATCTCTACACTGGGGCCTCTGGCCCACAGAATCCCAGGCTGGGAATGTAGGTTGGGAACACTAGATAAATGTGTGTATTTGATGAGCATTGGTGTTGACTAAGTTAACATGGCTGGCTTTCCAAGCATCAGGTAGAGACCTGGAATTTTTTCTTTCCCATGGGGCTGAAATTTCTGCGGACTGTCTTGAGGACCAATAACCACTCACTTTGAGAATGAGCAAGTTCCAGAAAGTGGGATTAACTCCTTGTAAAAAGTTGCTGACCAAGAGGGTACATGGGAAGGTCACGCTGGTACCAGGTAAAACCTGTACAAACTCCAAGAAATTAGACAACACAAACCCACATCCTGGCGCTATCCCATCTCTGTGTCTGAGGGGCAAAAGGTGACTCAGGAATAGGTGAGAAACTGGGGCCATGAACAGACTCATCTGCAGCCAACTCCACTTTGTGGTTCTGTCGAGAATCCGCTAGTGCCCAAGGGGATACAGAGAGATCAATAAATCATCAATAAATGGCCATCATGTTTTAACTTCCAATGCTTGCAAGGACTTGGCACCTTAAAGGGCAGGGCCAGGCCTGGCACAGGCCCTACCCCCTCTTCCCCTAACCCTCCCTATTCTCCTCCTCTCTGTGCTTTCTTAACTTCTCAAATGAACCATGCTCCCTCTCACCCCAGTGCCCTCACACAAGCTGCTTCCTCTGCCTGGAATGCCTTTTTCCCAGTTCTGCATGTTGAATACCAACTCCTTCAAGCTTCAACTCCAGTCACTTCCTGGACCTCCAACCTCAGACCAGACCTGACTCCTCTGTAACATGCTCTACAGGTAGCTGGTCCTCTTCCTTGCACTTCTCATGGCATGTGAGTGAAGTCTCCTCCAACTTCAACACTGGGTTCCCAGCGTTGGCCATGTGGGAGATGCTTGATGAATACTGGTTGGATGAATGAATGATTTCAACCAAGACTCAATGGCCCAGTTATTCTTTTCTAAGTGCTCAGATGAATCCCTCAGGAGAATAAATATGGCACCAAGTATTTTAGAAACATACATGGTGCTATTCTGTAATGAATAATTTTACTTCAATAGACTGTCAGACCTCTTAACTCATCTTCCTGACTCTAGGCTAACTTCATGCTGATCTGACTCACCCTCTCCTAAACTCCCCATTGCCCCAGGATAGAGTGAGTCCCAGATCCTGCAGCCTCTTTTCCAGCATGACCCTCCCCGGTGGTGCAGTGGTGCCCCAGCATACCACATGTGCATGCTTCTGTGGATCTGAACCTGACTGGAAGGCCCACACCCCTTTCTATCGAGAAAATTCCTCTTTCTGCAGTCCCAGTTCTGGAGCTAGCCATCAAGGAGGCCTTCCTTGCCCATTGCTCAGCTTGCACTCTTGGCCTGGCCTCTGACTCTTGTACCTTTTGTGTCCTTCCATTACTACTTACATCTTCAGTCTGTCTTAGTTGATGGTGAACCTGAGGACGGAAGCCATCGTGGAGTCGCCTGGCAGGTCAACACTCACACAGCATCTGGAACACAGGGGCCTTCAGCCTGGATGTGCTTCCATTCCATAAGGAGTTCCTGCAAAGCAGGGGGTGTAAGGGCACTATGATAGTAAAAATCTGTTCTTTGTGTCCCCTGTGAATCATCAGAATGTCCAGAAAGTTCCAATATTTTGCCATATTAAGTGCATTTCTTCATCTCCATGGCCACCCAAACTCCCAGTCCAGACCCCTGCCAGAGCAGGGGTCTTCAGGCTGCATGTGGGCTGGCTGAGTGCCAAGGAGTTAACATTCCCAAGGAGCATCAACCAGTGACGGACGGGGGTTAGTGGATAAACACCCGGCTCTCTGGCCCCCTGGGTGGGATAACCCTGAGATGTGTTCTACACCAGCTCACAGAGGTCCGCATGTGCCAGCAGCAGTAACCTGATGGATAACCTTTACTGGCTCCCTTCCTCAGTCTCTTACAACGCTTCCTGGACTACTGCCCAACACTCAGCAGTGCAGTTAGTGTCAGTGTGAAGTGTATTCAAGTCCACTCATGGTTTTGAATGGGTGGATGTTATGCTGTTGCCAGGATGGGGCCAGGGCGAGAGGAGAGAGGCACCCTCCGTGCTGATCCTGCTCTCGTCTGAGCTAGACCATGGGTGCTTCCTGAGATTCTGCATCTTGGACATCTTGCCTGCTCACTCCAGACCCCCCCGACTTTCAGGAAATCAGAATATAAAACTCAGATAAAACAACCTATCCCAAGTAGGTGTTTTCCAGAGTGTGCCGTATCTATATTTCTTCACTGCTTTTTCATAGACAATCACCCTCTAAATGGAGGACCTTTTGGCTTCCAAATTCTGAGGTATTAGGATCATTCTACATGGTCAGTAAAGCATACATGTTATTGTAGGCATTTAAGACAGCATGTCTACTTTAAGATGATGGCAAAAAAACCAAAAGGCAACCTGTAAAGCTTGTTTGTTTTAGCCTATCTTGGCAGAAGCCTTCTAGGTGAAAAATAAAACCCCTGGTTCAAAGAGGCTGCCTGGCCTGCTGAGCTCAGCCTGGAGTTTATTAGCACAGTTAATATTGCATGCAAATAGATTTCCCTGCTTTGGTCATGCCAATCCATTAATTCAGCCCCTTGTCTGCTACATCTTTATCCTTGGCAGGTTAATCCTGCCAAATGCCTTTGCTGTACCACCTGTCACGCTGTGCCTATGTCCAACAATGCAATTTTGCTAATCCTGTTGTATCGGCTTTGTGGCCCTGTCTGGTCAAGCCAGTGGTGGAAAAAGTGCGTATAAGGTTTTTGCCAAGATCTTTCTCCTACTCTGGCACCTACCCCTCCTTTTAAAAAAATGATTTCAATTAAATGGTTTGAAAGTCAACCACAGTGTTGGATGCCAGCCAGCGGCCATGTCTTTCAGACAAGGATGTCACGGCACTCAGCATGCCTCCAAACTGTTTCTGGCAGCCCCACCCAGCGTCAGCTGAATACGCTAAGTGAAAAGGGTTAAAACAGGAAGATCAGCTAAACATCTCTTTTCCATGGCTGGAAAATCCTGTCCTGTCCTGACACCAAATAGGTTTAACGTTCTACCCTCACAGTTACCATAAAGGACATGAAGGGCTTGAGGATGGTTGAATGGAAAGCATACCTGTCACTTGTCTTTGGTGCTGTCCTCTTTAAGGCTTGGTGGAATCATTCACATGAATTGTTAGATGAGGCACATCCCTTCCTGCAGTCACCAGTGTCAGGTATTCACCTGACACATGGAGGAGCCGAATCTCCAGGCCCCACAGTGTGCTGCTCTTCTAGTTCATGTCCCCGTGCAGGTAAGAGCCTGGGTGGGCCTTGTAGCCACATTTGCTCAGGTTCAAATCCCAGCTGGACCGCTTCTACCTCTGTGACACTAAGCATGTTGCTTTACCTCTCTGGCCTCATTTTGCTTATCTGTAAAATAGGCATAACCATAGCACCGGCCACACAGGATTGCTGTAAGGATTCTGCGTTAATACATGTCAATCACTCAGAACAGTGCTGGTACACATATAGCAGGCAGTGGGTAAATGTAAGCTGATATTAGCATAGACTGGGAAATTTGTCAAAACTCACTGCCATTTGCATAGTACATAGGCAGAGCGCATGGTAAAATTCCACAGGGCATATCTTTTAGGGTCTTCAGATATTAACTGTACTCTCTTGCCTGCGAATTACAGAAATCTGGCTGCAAGGATGCCTATCTAGTCTTCATGCCTCCCGCTGGTCTCTATGTTACCTTGGTAGCCTTTGGTGGATGTGAGGAAGCATTCTGGGGGTATAAGCGCTGGGACTGTGATTAGGTTCCCCGGGGCCTGAGTCCTAGGCCTGCTGCTGTGTGACTTTGGGCAAGTTGCTTGACCTGTGAGACTCTTACAATCCCCACATTAGCAATGGTGAGACTTGGTTTTACACAGCAGGGTTATTTTGAGGATTAAATAAAAAAGTACACGTGAGGTGCATGGCATGCCGCTGGGAACACCATAAGTGCCCCATAAATAATGGCCATTATGGTTATGGAGCCCCTGCAAAGCACCTGGGCTTCCCTCTCCAATTCTCCATCCATCTGCTTCCTCATCTCCTCACAGCCTTCATGTAGATGTTGTGAGAGTTATGTGGGACTGGGGAGGGAAAGCTGCCAGCATGGGGCCTGGTTTCCAACACAGACTCTAGAGATGAGGCGGTGCTCACTGCTGTTAAACCACAGTTCACCCTGGCTGATTTCTTGCTCCAAATAGCCTTCAGCTCCATACAGTCCTTTTTGTGTTAGTCTAGACTAATTCTTGCTAAGACCTATGAGTGGTTTTTAGATGATGGTGTGCATGTATAGATTTGAAAGTCCCATGTTTGGACAGAGCTGAATATGCATCCTGATGTGAGTGCCTAGACATCATTATGGTAACTGTGAGGGGAGGACATTAAACCTATTTGGTGTCAGAGGTGTCAGGACAGGATTTTTGCCCTCTGTGTGAAAAGTATTTTGCTACACAAAAGAGCAGTATGCTTCCCTTGCCAACCCAGCCACTGAACACTGCCCTTTCCCTCCTGCTTTTCCCAGGTGCTACTGGAACGTCTAACAAATAGCCTTATCATGAGTTGAGCATGTACTATGTTTCTGTTACCAGCCTGGATGCTTCACATTCATTATCTTCTTTTTTTTTTTTTTTTTGAGATGGAGTCTTGCTCTGTCGCCCAGGCTGGAGTGCAGTGGCGCGATCTCGGTTCACTGCAAGCTCCACCTCCTGGGTTCATGCCATTCTCCTGCCTCAGCCTCCAGAGTAGCTGGGACTACAGGCGCCCACCACCACATCCAGCTAATGTTTTGTATTTTTAGTAGAGATGGGGTTTCACCATGTTAGCCAGGATGGTCTCGATCTCCTGACCTTGTGATCCACCCACCTCGGCCTCCCAAAGTGCTGGGATTACAGGTGTGAGCTACAGCACCCGGACCATTATCTTCTTTAATTGAAATAGTACTGTTTTACCAATTTCTCACTTAAGGAAATGGAAACTTTGAAATGACAATTAGCTTACCCAAAGTCATAGCTAGCAAGTGGCCATAGAGACCAGGAGCTTTCCAGGCTACAGGGCTACACAACACATCTTTGGTGTGATGCCATTTCAGCTGCTAGGCATCAGAGTCGAGGGTGGACCTCCTGAATTACCAACTCTCTTTGTCATTTATTTTTTCCAAGGTATAGCTATGCCACATGGAATATTTTCCTCCTCCTTTTATTGTTTTGATGAATCCCATACTCAGTTTTTAATTTTTCTCCCGGGGGAGGATGTAGCAAAAAACAAGACTTCTTTTCTGTAAAAATTAGGAAATTCCAGCATCTTAGCACATTTCATCGGGTGTGCTAAGAGTACTCTCTCGCCTGCCAATTATAGAATTAGCTGCAAGGACCCCTATCTAGTCTCCATACCTCCCACTGGTCTATACATCCCAATTCTAACCCTATATATCCCAATTCTGCTGCACTGATCTTAATCTACTTTTCATTCACCAATCTCTTGAATATAATCAGTTTGCTAATTAAAACATGATGGAATCAAGCTATTTGCAAAATTAGGAGTTCTGACCCTCTGGCCTCTGTGGCCCAGGTGAGGTCCTCTGAGACACATACATGTGTTGCCTTGGCGAGAATTCATGCTGAGAAGACAGTCCATTCATCTTAGGTCTTGCTTAACTAGCAGAATGTAAACATCTTTGAACTTTGCTTACTGGATAAAAGGCAGCAAGCATTAGCTTCTCATTAGCTTCCCACTGCATTTCCTCCTGCAGGATCAATCACACATCCAGCCCAGACACGTGGCCCCTGCTTGTAATTAATCTTGGAAAGGCGTAGCTCTTCTGTGGATGGATTGCTGTATTTGAGCGCGGCTTTCAGAGGGGAGGGGTAGGAGAAATAAAGGCTGGAAGCAGAATAATAAGCACCAGTGTTTGAGAAGTCTGCTCTGTGCCCTGTGCTGCAAGCAGCTTTTTTTAATGGTTGATTCACTGCCAGAAAATTTGCTTTTGCCTGAACGCGACTTAGCATCAGGGAGGGAATTTATGATTTCTTCTTTTCCACAGTGTGAATTTCATGCCTTAGTTAGTTGCGTTTTTTTTTTTGGCCAAATTGAAGTTGTCTAAATCCTATATTTTGGGTGGTTGTAGAGTTATGCTCCATACTCTCTCAACCTGTCTGAGGGATGGAAGTTCCTGGATTCTTCTATTCACAAGGATTTAACTGTGACACTTGCATACAACTGAAAGAGACCTTCTTTTGACCTTGTTCTCAGAACTCTGCTTTTCTAATTCTTATTTGAATTTTAAATGCTTTAAGGTGGTTGGATTTTTTTCTTTTTTAAAAAATTGTGGTCATCTCAGTTACCAGGCTGGTAGAGGGCAGTTGGGAAGGCAGTAATAACAAGGAAGTGAAGATCCCATGAGTATTGATCATCAGAGATGGCTAGGACTTGAGGCACTAAGGATTGTCACCTCCTTGCCTTTACTGAATAGTATTTGTTGCTATTTTGGAAACCAAATTGCAGAAAAACCTTTACGGAAACTCAATTTACACAAAACCCACCTAAGGAGTGACGTCCTCAAAAGCTCTAGGAGGACTGTGTGAAAAGGCAAGTTTCCTTGCTGCCCCGAATATCATGTGTGAGACACACTTCATTTTAAGGGCCATGCCCATTATGTAAAAGGAGGTGCATCTGCATTTATCTCCGAAAAGGGATTTCTTCTGACAAAGCATTTCCCTCCCCTGCAAGCCTTGAAAGACATATAGACAACACGAGGATTAAGATATATTGACAATGGGAGGATTATTTCCTTACCTGGTATATGACAAATGCCTACTAATAAGTGAACGAGACAATCCTGTCTCCATTTTCTCTCAAATGCCCTGACCTTGTGGTCAGTACTCATGGGGTTACTGACCTCGCTTATCCTGCTGCCTGCCCAGGACCCTGGGGACAAACCATCCTGGCAAGCCTGAGACTGCCCGCCCAGACAGAGGGGGCCCTTGGGCTCTGCCCACAGGAGCAGGTAAGCCGTTCTCACTTCCTCTTGCATGCCCACCTCTTTTGCCTCAGCTCTTGCATTTCTGTTGCCGGAACTCAAAATGCTTTCTTGTCAGACAAAATGTATATTTGGAAAGTATATTTGTTGGAAAACTTGACTGGCATTGAGACCTCAAAGGCCTGGCTGGGCATTTCTGGTTAGCAGCAGAGACCTAATTTTTCTTTTTGAAAGTCCTGCTTCCTCCCCACAATTCCTGGCCTTGCAGCCCTGTGAAATTTCCTAGGCTGCTTCCCCTTCTGCCATGATTGTAAGTTTCCTGAGGCCTCCCCAGCCATGCTTCCTATACAGACTGTGGGACCGTGAGCCATTTAATTCTCTTTTCTTTATAAATTACCCAGTCTCATGTAGTTCTTTATAGCAAAGCAAGAACAGGACTAAAACAATATGTTTATATTCTCTTCTCTCCAGTAGTTCTCCCAAGAAACTCTCTCTTAAAAAATGCAGCAGCTAATAGAGTTTTGGAGGAAGAAAACCCTTTAATGAAACATGATTTCCTAGAGTAGCAGTAAGGGGAAGTTCTGCTTCTGAACAAAATGAGTTACCTCAACACCACCACAAAATACTCAGGGAAAGGTAACCAAGAACAGGCTTCTGAGAACGAATGAGTCACCCTCTCTTACACTCTGCAGCCTGAGCTGGGAGACACTGGCACACACATGCTGACACCGGCAATGACTCACTTCAGTCTCACCTCCAGACCTGTCAGATCTCCTGGCCATTATTTAGAGAAATCACTAGCAAAATTGAAGGACAACTTACAAATCCAAATCACCCTATAGTTCTTAACCAACTTCTAAGGGCTGTGAGCAGTCGCCTCATGGGGGGGTCCTCTCCCCAAACTCTAGGCTGAGGCACAGAGGTTGACATGAATCTTCCAGAATGTCATTATTGGAGCAGCTCAAGGATCCACCTCTGTTCGCCCCTGAGGGAGACACAGGTGAGCTGGAGCTGGTGAATTCTGGAACTCTGGCTCTTTGTACCACACCTCAAAAAAGCCTCCAGTCCTGGGGTTAGGGGGCAGCTTTCCTGCAAATGGATGTGCTCACATGCCTGGGGAAGGGGCTTATTCAGATGCACAAACAGGAAGAACACGAAAGTGGGAGAGACCAAGGCAGGGGACAGAATTCAAGGGGTCCATGCAGCTTTCTTGGTAACACTTTTTAAAAAATTATTTGTGCAATTATTTACTGACATAACTGAATGAGGAATGCTTAGAAAAATATCCCTGAGACTTTGCTCAAAGTAAAACACTTCCATAACCCTAGGTATTAAATTTTAATGTTGACACTGAAAGACCATATTCTGAGACAGTGTCTGAAGCACAGACAAGAGCAAAGACCCCTTCCCCATGGGAAGTGAATCCCAGGGAGAGGGTGGAGAGGGGCAGGGACATGAGTCATGTCTCCATGCCCCAGAGCTGACCACTCCCCTGACTTTGCTATGTTCTACAGCCTTGTAACGCTGTCCAGTGCTCACTCTGGGCTTGTTTTCTTATTGCTAAGATGGAAATAACAATACCCTTGAGCCTCAAAAGCAGACCATCATGTGTCTGGCCCAACGCCATGGCTACAGCAACTCAGAACCCAATCATATGGCACAGAAAAAACCTACCTACTGACCTGTTGGTGCTGCTGAGCCTCTCCATCCTTGTTCTGGACAGAAACTGAGAAGTCCAACCTCATCCTTCATTCTGCAAGAAATTTTCAGGAATCAGTCACTCTCTTGTCACCTTAACTTCAAGGCAAACCTTTTCAGACTCAGAAAAAGCAAACTTGGGACTCAGTTGAACTTCATAGGGACCATGAAAGATGGTCCACTATATAATGGACCTGCCGTCTTAACCCTGGGCTAAAAAACTGTGGGTGGGGGTGGGTGGTCGAGGTTGGGGGGGAGGGTGTGGTGGGTGAAGAGTTCTGCCTGCCTGGGCACTCACTGCTGGATTCTCCCTGCACTTGCACATTCTTTAACAAAGTGACAAGGCACAGCTAACATTATCATGCACCCTCAAGTGCCTCTTAGTTCACTTCACGCGATGCTTCTAGTGACATGCTTTTATGAATCTTTGAAGCATAGGTGGTGAGAGGATGAAGATTTTTCTGTTTTAGGGCTCGGTGCTCTCAGACTGTGTGTTTGTGACACCATCCTTCCCTACCCCCCTCTCCCTCCCATTCTACATCACTAGAAAGAAAAAAAAAGGGATGGGATACTCTTTAGACAAGCATCAAGCCCACAACTTAGCTGATGTCCTTCCTTTGTTCCCTACTCCTGAGGGCTAAGGCAATAGCTACAGACCTGGGGGCAGGAGAAGGGGGACTTTCACGTGAAGCTGAAGAGACGGGTGAAATGAGAAAATCTTTAGCAAAGCCCATCTTCTCAGCTGACGATATGGTTGCACTTCAGTTCTCCTTGTCCTTGAGAGGCAATAAAATGGGATGTGAAAAGATGGGGAATAGGTCAAGGTTTTGTCCCCATCTTGCAGATGGGGGAAACTGAGGTAGTGGAGCTTAAAGCAGCCAATTAACCTTTATGAAACTACAGGTTGGTAGGGGCCATACATATTTAGCAAACATCTTTAGCTTTCCTTTGAAACTAATGCTTTTTATTTTCTTGACTCCTATGATGGGTCCAGACCAGCAAAGTGAAGATGAGCAAGTCAGCTCCTCCACAACATTGATTCAAACTAAGTTGGCAGGGGCGTTAAGATGAGCACACTGCACTTGAGGAGGTCTGAAAGGGGCTCTTGCAGGGACACTCTGGGTACGTGGGAGAGAAGGAGAAAGCTCAGCAACACACACCTAATGATTAGATGACAGTTTCTCCATCTGTAAAATGGGATGACATTCTCCTTGGCTGGTAGAGGGAATAAAAGATAATCCTTGGGCTCAATCAACAGTTACAGTAATTGGCAGCTCACCAAGAGGTGCCTCTAATACCACAGAAATAAGCCCAGATACCAAAATGGGGAGTTCCCATCGCCAGCTCTGTCCTGAAGGAGTGGCACACGCTTGGCACATTCATTCTAAATTACGCCCCTGGCCTTAGGGTCCATTATGCCAAAGGATAATGTATTTGTGGCACCCACTGTGTCCTTGGAAGAGGTTTTCTCCAGGATGTGGAAGAAAAATTTAAAAGGATCAAAATAGAGGTATCAGTTAATTCATAGCCAAGATAGCGTATATGGTGTTTAGGTAGTTGTAGTAAAAGCAAAGAAAAATAATGGAGAGAGGAAACCTCACACAACTCATGTTGGTAGAAGAGCTGAATGGCAATATTGAAAAACATTTTGATGCTCATTAGGTAACTGTGCCACTTTGTCCCTGGCAGTTAAGTGCCTATCTCTGGTCTCTGACACAAAGTGATCTTACCACCTCCACTGAAATCGGAGAGCCCATCTCAATGACAGCACCCCCACCAATGTGTCCAGCTTATGGAGCTCAGCCACCGCAGTGATCTCCCAGGCCAATGGGGATGTGAAAAGTCACTGACAGGCCGCTCAAGGCCTTACTGAAGGGAGTATCCTCTGAGCCTGCTCCAGGGACAGAGTGTGAATGTGGGTGTGCAGGGCTCACATTATAATTTGATTCCCACATCCCAGCCTTCTAAGCCTTTGATTCTATCCTCTTACATGATGCCAAGGAAGTTTTGGAAACCGCATGGAATGTAGAACCATTGAGTCTCACTTTCAGCTAACCAACCAAACTTTTTTCTATCTCTTGGAGCCACTTCCAGCTGCTCAGCTGACATATAAAATTCAGGATCTCTCAACTCCATCTTTGGTCCAACATCCTTATAATCCATTCCTATGCACATTCTTCAGGTTTTCACCAACATAAATTAGCAAAATTTTGCAATCCTTTTGTAGGGATGCCCCTCCTGCCCTAGGAAGCAGACAGTCCCCTGCCTTCCACTTGGTGGAGGGTCTAGGCTGAGGCAAGGCTCCTGGGCTGCAACCCTCCTGCTCCTCTAGTGACCGCTGGTGTTTCTGCCTGCAAAAACGGTTCTTCAGGAAGCAAAACTTGCTGACAGAGACACTCTGCTCTATTTGGTGTTTTGCCAGAGATTTTACTTTGATTTAGAAATTGAAGAATCCCTCTGATCCTGAGAAGGTCCCAGAGGAAAGAACCTGAGGAGACACCCTGCAGCTTTCTGGCCTGACAAAGCTGCTTTTCTGAATTAGTCTTTCCAGGAGGGGGCTGAAGACTCAATATTCACCTCCCTGGCACCTTAAACTCCCACCTATATACTCCCTCCAAATGCAAGAAGACTTGAATTGTTATCAAAGACAGACTATGAAAAAGCAGCAGTAACTGAGTTCAGGTTGGCTGAGGAGGGCTAGAGATAGCTGGCTTAGCTGGAATCTTCTGCAACCCCTCTGTTGCAGTAGCCATCTTTCACCAAGCCTGACCATGCCTGGTGCTCCACAAACCCCCTCCCCAAGCCTTGCAGCAACCCTGAAAGGTGGGCATCATTGCCCCCAATTAATGGGTGAGGAAATGGAGACTCGGCCTCACTCATGTGCTTCCCCTGCCTCCACCATTCTCCCAGTGATAGTGATGACAAGCCCAGGAGGCTGGTGCTCATTCCCCAGATGCCGAGACAACAGTGTGCCTCTGGATCATGATGGCGGGGAGTGGTCATGGGCTTCTGGGTCAGTCACGAGCATTTGGCTTGTGCTTGAGCCATAGTCCTCCTGTCCCCAGGCGTCTTCAGGGAGTGTGGCCCTTCCTTTCCTCACAGGCAGGCAGGTTGCCTACTCTTCACTGCTTTTCCAAATGTCCCCGATGAAGACGGGAGACTGATTCATGCCATTCCATTTTATTCATGTTTTAGAAGCACCTCTTTAAAACTTTAGTTTTGAAAAGCTTGGAACTGGCAGCAAAATGGACATTCTTGGTTATCCAGGAAGGTGAAAACTCACACGGCCTCTGAAATGTACATGAGAAAATGTATGATTCCTTTAATGCAAAGTGATCCTCTGCCAAGTGGACTCAGTTCTCGGAAATCATGTTTTTTGCTTTGAGACGAATCACTGACGGGAATGTGCAAGGTTAAAACATTTAAAACAGGATTCAGCATCAGTGTACAAGTATAACCAGAAGGTTGTTTTATCAACCTTTTTTTTCTCTCTCTTTTTTTTTTTTTTTTTTTTTTTAAAGCAAGTAAGCTCAATTCCTGAGTTACTGTTGGAAGCTTTCCGAAAGATAAGGCTTCAGTGAGAGAGCTGGACTTTGGATCAGACAGACCCATCAGTCTGCCTTGCTCTGGCCTCCCTAGCCATGCAGGTTCTTGAGCAAGCTAGTGAGCTCAGTTTCCTTTGGGTGAGCTAGGGACAGCAACCCCTTCAGAGGGTTTTTCTGCAGATGAGGTCGGGGAAAGGGAATGAGCATGGGCTACATAGGAGAACAGAGGAGCCCAAGACACCTTAGTTTTATTCTCCTTGCTCTTGGGACTTCCATTTCTGGAAGATAATTTTTCCACACCTCCCAAGAATTTCTTTGATTCAACATCTAAAAAGGCTGGGTTTGACACTACAAAATTTGGTAAGCAGTGATTCCATAAAGCAAACCAACAAGAAACACGTAAGCACCAAAGCTGAGTCAATGGGCTGGTCACTGCGACTGTGAAGGGAATACCAATGTAACTCACTAGACTTTGAATACAGAGAGATGTTGTTCACAATGATTACCAGACAGAAGTGTTCCCTGTTACCTACACAACCATAAAATTAGTCAGCAATTTCCAGTTAAAGCTCCTATTCCAGGCAGTAAGAGAATAAGCGAAAACCAAATCCTCCCAATCAAGCTTAAGAACAGGATAAGAGAAATAAGTACATTGCACATGCCAGTTGTGAGGAAGGTGAGGATTTAAATCCCTGGGTGATAGAATTCTGCTGGCGCTTCAGTTTTTATCCTACTCTTCAAAATTACCCCACACTGGGAGTTCAGAATGCAAAATTGCAAAGGCAGTGATGTGTGGGGAAATGAGATAACAAGGCTCAGCCTGTGGGTTTTGCAGCCTCGGGTTTGTATCAGGATGGAACTGACTGGAAAGTGTGACTATTGAGAGACTTGCTGCAAACTTCCCAGTTGAACCAAAGACTTAGACCCCAGCAATGCAGCCAGCCCCTTCCACTGGAGTAGAAGCTGCCTGGCAAAATCTAAACGTGAAGAAATCCTTCACCTAGTGGACCCAGCTCTTAGAAATCATGTTTTCTGCTTTGAGCCTAATTAACAACAAAGAGTCATCTTCTCTGGGCATCCTGATTTTGTTTTTGGTTCACTTTCAATTTCCATCAGTATGAATCAAATTAGTAAGAAGGGGATTATGGACCAATCTTCCCCATCCCTCCCCTCCACACACACAGATAGCCCCCTAACCCCCCATTTCTTAGACCTTGCTGCGAGGATGAAATCTACAAGAGCGTAAGTGCCATTAACTGACATTCATCAAAACACTCTCCATTGTTCACAGACATGAGCGGCCGAGAGGTGGAAATTACTTGGCATTTCATTTTAATCTGTATTGAAGACTTGCCTGACAAAACATATTAAGTGTAAGAATTGCCAGCTTGGGAATGAAGCTATGTCTATGGCTTGCCCCACTTCCCCTCTCTTTTCCAACCTTCTGCAGCTTACCACCCCACCCCACCATCCCTGAAACCTTAACGTTTAATTTTCCTTCCTGAGTGAAGCTTTTGTTAGAGGTGTCTATAAAATTATAATAAACATCTTGTGCCCTGCACTGGCATCTGAGATTAAAAAAACAAAACCCAACAAACTTTGTCTTTAATATGGTGTTAGCAGCAGCATTTCCCTGGGGGAGGTGCGTCCTGGCCATCTAACTGCAGGCCACGCGAGCTGTGTGCTTCTCTGGAGAGACTGTCACCAAACGCTTCTGACAAAGAATGGATGCCATGCTAATGGATGCGCATAATTACCAAGGGACAATGATTCTCCCTGCTGAATTTTGACAGTCGTGGAGTGCAATCGTGTATGTATCATGCTTGCCACTACAGTTCATTTTCTTTGGAATCTCAAGTTTTTACTTTTATCTTTTAGGTTACTTTCACATTGTGCTAAAAAAAAAAAAGGCTCTTGCAGATGAAAGATTGTTTCTCTTCTCTTCCTTGTTTGGGTCTGTCTCTCTGGATTAGGAGGCTGCTCTTGGGGAAAGGCACCATGTGAGTGGTCCACACTTTCTAGGTCATAGCTGGCTGTGTTTAGGATTCAGAAGAAGGAAAAATGGTGGCAAACCCATGGGGTAGAGGTGGGAGGGCTATTAAGGTCACCAGGGAATCACAGGGACCCTCAGGTTTTGCCAGTTTTATGCTTTCTTTGCTTAGGAACCTTATGATGTTGCAGACTGGTGCTGCTTAGGTGTGGGAAGGGTAGAGAAATCTTGGTCCATGTGTTGTGTTGTACTGTGATAAAATCTGTGCACGGGGCCATTCAAGGGACCTCCTTTTTGAACTTTCTCTCTCCAGAGGTTAAAGGGCTACAAATCCCTGAAGGCAGGAAGTTTGACCTTCTGGCCTTGCTTTGTTGACCCTGGTGAGGGTTATGTGGGCCACAGTCTCTCCAGGGAGGCCTCTGTTGTCCCTCATGGGCCACCTCAGCTGAAAATGCAAAAAAGGTGTTCATTTCAGCTCTACCATTGGGCATCTGCCATTTTCAGGAGTTTTGGAGTCAGGAGATAGCAGAGGAAAGGAGAGCAGTGCCCTGTGTCCCTCTCAAAGCAAGGTGGGGGCATCAAAGCCCTCCAACCAGTGCTTCCCTGGCCCGGGGCTGCCCACATAGCCCATGGATTGCAGGACAGGGTGAAGGTCAAAGAGAATCTGAGCTTTGTGCTATGGCAGGACTAAGGAAGCCCTTTTCAGACTATGGAGAAGCACCACATGTAAGTGAGTTTGGCCTGGCTGGATGCAGTGGTTCTGTCCTACCAGAGGCATGAGAACTACCTTGCTCTCTTACTCCCCAAATGAATGCCTTAGGTTAAGTTTTGGTGAGAGCACATGTCTTTTATTGGACAATGTGTATGCTCTTTTATGTACTATACAATGTAAAATTGCTCACAGCTAAATTCATAATACAACAATCTCTGGCATCAGCCTGAGGAAAAGAATTCATTTCAATGGCTTAGAGAATTGTTACCAATTAACCCCTGAACAGATACAGCTGTTCCTTCCTCTCATGCCCAACCCAAGCCAGCTAGATGCATTCCAAAATTCAAACCTTAGCCCAAAGATGTGACCTTTTGAAAAGATGTGGGAAAAATAATGCCTACACTGTTTAAAGTCATAATTTCAGTCTGTTACCTTTTCGTTTTGAAAGATAAATAATATATGAGAGACTTGCATATGGCCCGATTTTAGGGGCAGATGTAATTGAAACGGTAATTACTAAGAGTTACAGAAATCACTGAGTTAACTACAGTACAGTATAGTCACATCATGTCTAGAAAGTATAAGCAAGACGTTATCTAATCTAAATTTGTTGTACCATAGTTCTGATTTTTTTCCACATAAAAATTAGGTTAAACAAATCATGCTCTATTAGCTTCCCCTTGAACGAACTAAGTCTTTTTCTTTAGGAAGTAAGTTCTCAGATTATCGAATGGGATCATTCAGTTCCTTGACCCCCAGGTTATGCCTGTGAGAGATACACACCCTGTCTTGTCTCCAAGAAACTCCAAGTAAGTTAGCATTTCCTAAGCAGCTCCTGGGCTCTTGCTGGCATCTCCCCCCATACTTACCCTGGATCCAGCCTAAGGGAAAAGAGGGAACAGATGAGCAGCTTGTGCAGAGGAGTACCAGAGCAAAACCCATAGTTAGAGAGGGCATCCTCTCTGAGAGGACAGACTGGGAAGCCAGGGTCAGTGCCCTAACCATTTCCTGCTATCTTTCATGTTAACCCATTTGATTCTCATCATAATGCTTATCTCCATCGGAAACTATGAACTTCCTGTATTTACATCTTAGTCTACCCAGTGATTCCCACTGGAATGTAAACTCTGTGAGGGTGGGGAGCTCATCTGACCTGTTCACCTCTACCTCTAATGCCAAGAACAGTGCCTGGCACTTAGTAGATGCTCAATAAATGCTTTTTGAATAAATAAAAGACTGAGAAGCAACATCTTTGTTCCAAAGAGCTGCCCACTCTTCCCTTGGTCTTTGCACAAAGCAGAGGAGAAGGGAAGCAGTTGAGAAGGTACTATGGAAGCTGAAGAGAGCAGGTGAGAACTTAAGCTCAGAACGATGACTTAGGTTCAAGCCATAATAAAATAAGAGTTGCAAATCAGAAGGATGCACAAAGCATTATGGCGAGAAGTCCAAAGAACTTGACATCACAGCCCTCGGGCAATTGCTATAATGTTTCCAGCCTGCATTTTTGAGATTGGCAAAAACTGCAGAAAGATGAGAATGGAGGAAGAGAAGGAAAGAGCTGCAGAAAGGAATGAAGTTGGACACTAAAGAGGTTGCATACAGAGGCCAAGAAGAACTGTTTGACACTGTCCAGAATTTATAATGTCCACATGCCTGTGGATGTGGGTGATAATAGGCCATGCCAGTGAAAAATCTGTGGCCCTGGGGCACTTAGACATGAAACTCTTACATCCTGAGAACAAGAAACAGGTCTTTGAATATTTCCTCTTCCAAATCCAACCACATGTAAACATAAGCTCTTACATACACACACAGTTCCCACAAAAACCTTCCCTAACCTAATCCATCATTGAAAACGTGGATGTGGGGGCAAAACCTGACTTTAAGATGGGCAGGTTATATACATTTAGCCCACTGGCCTGAATGTGAACTTCCCTTTTTAGCCTATTTTACTAACTTATTTCCATTGCTAGTGATGTTTACTCATAATTCTCACCCTTCAAATTATCAGCCAACCTTTCTTTAAACAGTTCAAGTTGGTATCAGTTTAAAACCTTTTCACAATAGCAAAGACTTGGAACCAACCCAAATGTCCATCAATGGTAGACTGGATTAAGAAAATGTGGCACATATACACCATGGAATACTATGCAGCCATAAAAAAGATGAGTTCATGTCCTTTGCAGGGACATGGATGAAGCTGGAAACCATCATTCTCAGCAAACTATCACAAGGACAGAAAACCAAACACCGCATATTCTCACTCATAGGTGGGAGGTGAACAATGAGATCACTTGGACACAAGGCGGGGGAACATCACACACCGGGGCCTGTAGGGGTTGGGGGGCTGGGGGAGGGATAGCATTAGGAGAAATACCTAATGTAAATGATGAGTTGATGGGTGCAGCAAACCAACATGGCATACGTATACCTATGTATCAAACCTGCACGTTGTGCACATATACCCTAGAACTTAAAGTATTTATGTGTGTGTATATATATACACATATATATGTGTATATATATACACACACACACATATATACTTAACTTGCTAAGTATTAGTAATAGAAGAACATTTAGATAGCCCAAATATTTTTGCTAATGTTTGTGGCCTCTTCTTTTATGAGCTTTTATATTTCTAAAAGAGAGTGGAAAAAATAGGTTTCATGCTCAAATGATTGCTTTCCTATTTTGGAATGAGTCCCTGCATACTTCGTTAGGAAGTGCCTACTGTGTGCCAAGTGGTGATACACCAGAGAGCCGGGGCCATAGCCCTCAGCACATGGGCCTGGGCTGGCAAGGTTGCCAGCCACCCCCAGTCAAGAGCCACACCTGACCCAGCTACGCTTTGGACTGACAGGCTCTGATGTTTGCTAACCACCTTCTACCTGATGGTCCTCTTAAGGACTTAGATTATTCAAAAGAAGATGGCAATTAATGACTGAAAATGTGTCTTCTATCTAATCATGAAGAAATATCACAAAAACCCAAAATAAGAGACATTCTTGGTTTTCTTCAAAAACGTCAATGTCATGAAAGACAAGAAAGGCTGAGGGACTGTTTCACATTACTGAAGATCAAAGAAACATAACCAAATGCAATGCACGCTACTGGACTGAATCCTGGATCAAGGGAAAAAGAAATGTCTGTAAAGGACATTATTGGGACAAGTGGCAAAATGTGAATATGGATAGTGATACTGTATCAATACAATACTAATACAATTGAACCGATACAATATTATACCAATGTTAAATTTCCTGAATTGTATAATTGTGCTTGGTTATGTTCTCAGGAAATACATAATGAAATATTTAAAGACAAAACTAATTCCCAAATGGTTTAGGGGAGAATGTGTATATATGTATACGCATACATTTGTGTGTGTGTGTGTGTGTGTGTGTGTGTGTGTGTGTGTGTGTGTGTGTGTAAGAGAGAGAGAGAGAAAGGGAGACAGGGAGAGAAGTTATAAAGTAATCAATCTGGGTCCAGAGTATATGAAATTCATTGTACTAGTCTTATAAGTCTTCTTTAAGTTTTACATTCTTTTTATTTGGAGGGGAATAATTTTTTCATTTTCTTTTTTACTTACTATTTTGTAATATGTCATCTGTAAATACTTTTTTTAAATTTTTTTAATGGAGACAGAAAAAAGTAATATTTGAAGTAACTGGCATCACATTTAATGTCAATATCATGGTATTTCTTTGAACTGTAATATATGGCCCCCCAGTAATTACTTCACGTACACAAAACATTAAATTGTTTAATTTTTTTGTGTCTTGTTGAAAAGCTGCTTGATATTTTTATTTTCATGAAAATGGGTAAAGCAGATGGTTTATACTTTTCTTCTAACAGTACAATGTGGCTGAAATCACATAATGTCCTTTGGCTTTTTAATTAAGACAGAAAAATAAATTGCTACTAGTCAGAGTTTCTTCCATTTGGTGATTTTGAGGGATAGTGTGGCCAGAGGTCCCTGGGAAGCCAGATGATTTCTCATATATGTTCAGTTATCAAGCAATATTCACTTTTTCCAAGAAATGTCAACACAAATGTTGCCTTGACACCAAAATACTCTTTCTTCCATTCAAATCGCAGATGATCAAAAGGATATAGCAAGAATATTTTGCTTGGCACGTGGCCTAAAATTTCTAAATTTATGTATTCTATTTTTGCTTCTTTCTCAGATTGGATTAGTTACTAGGCAACTGAAGTATTTAATTCATTTGCTAATAGTAGTTACATTTTAATAGAGGCAGACAGTGTATATGACCAATGCTGCCAATACAGGCTCAGCCCCAACACTCAGCCTCTGTAGGGACAGTAGTGCTCACTACTTCATTCTAGTCTTCGACAAACACTACTACATTCCTATATTTTATTTATGTGACTAACATTTAAAGGAAAAGAGATGTCTCTTTTAGAGTTATTTATAGAAAAAATATTTTAGTGATTTGTTTTTTCACTCAAAAAGCTATGTTTGTAACATCCTAAACCCCCTTCTAGACTTTTGGTTCAAGATGGCAGACCAAGCATAAATGTTTTCTTCCCTTCACCAAGAAAGAAAATAAATTCTTAATAGCATTGAAAGGTGGGCCCTATTAGCACCCCAGGTACATTGATGAACTTCTAGAAGGCAGAAAGCAGGTGGGGCAGGTTGATGGGAAAGTTACAGCAGTGAACTGCTACCCTGCACAGGCCCAGTGGTAGACTCAGCAGAGGTAAGAGAGTCTTCACAATGGTAGGCTGAAAAAACTCCAAATGTGGAGGACGGGCAGACTAAGTTAAAAGATAGTCTGCACACAGGGACCAATCCTTCCTGCCCCTTCCCCAGCTGTGTAGAAGGCTGGAGGCAGTGTGTGTGACCAAGCTTAACCCAGCTTGACCCATGAGTGTAGCCCTTAAGGCTGGGAATTGGTCTAGAATGTGGAGGGACTGTTCTCCGGGATACTGAGTCTAGAACATCAGTCAGAGGGCACAAGGTACCTCAGTAGACAGCGTCAAGGATAAGGCAAGGAAAAGAGAAACACAACTCTGTTCAGAAGTAAGCTCTGGGAAACTGCTCCACAGGATGAAGCTTCCCTATGACGCCCCATGAGGGTCCCAGCAGTGGGCTGCTCACTTCCCGGGCACCCCAAAGGGAAACCTGCTACTGACATGTGGCTCTTAGTCATCCCTTACCTCCAGAGGTGAGATCTGCAGTGGAAACCAAGGCTCATGACTGCTGAGGAAACACATGACAATCAGTTCACACATTTCTGTATTTAAAATATGAATGGACAAGCAAGAATCATCAGATATTTGAGGAAATCATTTGCACAATAGAGACAGTTGAGGATAAATAGAACTAGACTCCAATGCAGATAACAGAACTTATACACTACACACACACACTCTCTCTCTCTCTTCAAAGATACAGTGCACTGGTAAAACAACAATAGGTTATTGTGAAAAAAGAACAATCAGGAGGCGAGAAATCCTTGGAAGTTAAAAACATGTAAAAATGTGCTAAAGATTTTGTCTTGGTGGGGGAGGGTAGATTACAAGTTTTGATTAAAATTATAGTTTCCCATCAATGATAAGGATTAAATACTCTGCTTTAAATAACTAAAGAGTCAGCCGGGTGCAGTGGTTCAATCTTGTAATCCCAGCACTTTGGGAGGCTGAGGCAGGAGGATCACTTTGAGCCCAAGAGTTTAAGACCAGTCTGGGCAACACAGTGAGACCCTGTCTCTAAAAAAAAAAAAAAAAAAAAAGGATGGTGGTGTGCACCTGTAGTCCTAGCTACTTGGGAGGTTGAGGCTGCAGTGAGCCATAATTGCACCACTGCACTCCAGCCTGGGTAACGCAGCAAGACCCTGTCTCAATAAATAAATAAATAAAACAAAAAATGAAAAAAATAAGAAGAATAGGATGTAGAACTTCCAAAGCACAGAAGGATGAAAAAGAAAACATTATGAATAAGCAATGAAGAATAGCAATAAAGAAAAAGGAGGCAGGTAGAGAAACAAGAAGTGTGTTAAGTAGAAAATGAAAATGAATGACAGGGATAAGTCCAAATATACCAATATCTATAATAAATACTGTTTAGAGTCTCCTGTTAACAGACTTTCAGATGGGAAATGTACAGAACCAAGCTGTTTGTTATTTTCAAAAGACTTAAAATGATATAGAATGACTGGAGATAAACCAACTAAATGTTGTCAAAAAGAAAGCAAAAACCACAGTATCAATGTCAGACAAAAATAGAATTCAAGGCCAAAAGCAAGAGAATGTTTTATATGGATTAAAGATGCAATCTAGAAGATAATAGTAGCCACAAACCTTTCCCCACTGAACAACACAGCATGGAACTGTGTCACAAGTGTTAGAAATGCAAGCAGAAACTGTTAACCCATAATCATGGTGAGGAACTTTAGCACATCTTTCTCAGAAATTGAGAGACCAAGCAGACAAAAAAATAGGTAAGGGTATAGATGATTTGAACACACAATCATTGAGCTAGATAATTTTCATATGTAAACTCAGTTTTCAACAAACATAAAATACATGTTTAAATTTCTATTAAACACTTAAAAAATCTGACTCAGTATTCAGCCAGAAATAAAATCTTAATAAAACCCTCAAAAGAGAAATACTACAGATCTCTTGGAGCTCTAACCCAAGAGTAATTTATAAAAGAAAATCAAAGCTGAAATTAGAGACCATATAGCGATGAGTAATAATCAGAGCACTCAGCTCAAAATTTACAGGACGCATCAAAGACAGAGTCAAAGTTTAAAATGCAAAATAAGAAAGATTGAAAATGTGCTAAACAATAATAAGGTTCTTTAAAAAAAGTAGAAGAAAGGGATTCAATAAAGAAAAAGTAGGATGATGAAATAGAAAACAAAAAAGTCGGTTTGATGATTAAAACCCAAAAGATGTTAAGATCAATAAAAGACCAGTATGAAAAAGAGTAAACAAAACAAACTTAGGAATAATACAGAGGATATAACTACAGACATGAATTTGATTTCGAATTATTAGAGAGTACATATGCAAATACCAGTATATTTAAAAGAATTTTGGAAGAATAAATGTGGGAATAAAAATTTTCTAGACGTATATGAACTACTAAAATGATTAAAAAAGAGACAGAAAACCTGAAAAGATCAGAAACTATACGAAAAAAAGTTGAAAAGATAGTCAAAGATCCCACCCCCCCACCAGCCAGGTCCCAGGCCCAGATGGTTTTACTACTCACTACATTTTTTTTTTTTTTTTACTTTTAACAACCTTTAAAGTGTAAAGTACATATTAATTCCTGTGCTAGACTGCATAGAACATAGAAAATATATAGAACGTCTCAATTCTACTACAAAGCTAGCATAACCTAGATACCAAAAGTGGATAGTATGGCACTAAAATAGCAAAGTACAGACCAGAGTTCAACAACTCAAAATGCCTGCAAAAGCCAGGCAAGGCATTTAATAGGAAGAAATTTAATATTTAAAAGGAAATTTGATATTAATTTAATAGAGTGACCATAGGAAGAACATATGACCCCTCTGAAAGAGGCTATTGGTTTGGTGTGCAGGAGAGGTTCTAAGCACAATCTTATTAATGCATACATAAGCAAAAATCCTAATATAATTTCCTAATTCAAAATCAGTAGTGTTTTTAAAGAGTAACACAACACGATCTAGAAGAATTGATCCTAGGAATGCAAGGATGACTCAACATTAGAAGAATCCATTACTATGATTCAACTAATTAATAGAAAAACCACACAATCATCTTGATAAATTCAGTACCGACATTTGATGACTCAAAACATCAATTCCTACAGAAACCTATAAAGCAATTCTATTTAACACTGAAATACAAGAAGTAAGAGAGGGATAAATGGCCATCATTGTGATTACTTCCACATTACACCAGTGGTCTTGGGAAAGGCAGTGACCAGAAAATGAAGTGAGGTACAAATATTGGAAAGAAAGAGAAAACATAGTACTTTTCAAAGTTTGTGATTATTATCCTCCAAAATCCAAGTTCATCCACTTGAAAGTGGTTAGAATTATTAAATTGTTTAGTAAGATGCCTACATATAGCTGTATCTATATCTGTATTTTCACATCATAGAGATATAGATATGAAAAGAGAAAAGGAAGAAGTCTAGCGGGGGACCTTGGACCCTAAAGAATGACAGTGATGACTTTACTGGCTTTTCTTTTTGCCTCATCTATTCCAGACCTGGAGGTGAAGAAGCCATCGACCTGGAAATGCCACAGGGCATAGAAAAAATGGTTAAAGGTCCCCCCAAACTCAAAATTATCTCAGTAGCCAAAGAACTAGGAAAGGGGCATCATAAATGCTTATATTAGAAAAGAAGAAGAGTTCCAAATAATAATAATCTAAACTCCTACCTCAAGCACCTAGAAAAAGAGCAAAATAAACCCAAAGCAAGCAAAGAAAGGAAATAGTAACAAGCAGAAACCAGTGAAATTGAAAATAGAAAAGTACAGAAAATGAATGAAACAGAAATCTGGTTCTTAGAAAAGAATCAAGAAAATTGACAAATTTCTAGATAGTGACAAAGCAAAAATGAAAGAAAACAGAAATTATCAATATCAAGAATTAAAGCACAGAAGATTTTATGGACTGTATAGACATCAAAAGGATAGTAATTACTATGAAAAGCTCTACACACATAAATTTGATAAACTTAGATAAAATGAACCAATTCCTCAAAAAACACCAAACTCACCCAATATGAAATAGATAATCGGAACAGCCCTTTAACTATTAGGGAAATTGAATCTGTAATTTATTTTTTATTTTTATTTTTTTGAGATGGAGTCTCGCTCTGTCGCCCAGGCTGGAGTGCAGTGGCGCAATCTCCGCTTACTGCAAGCCCTGCCTCCTGGGTTCACACCATTCTCCTGCCTCAGCCTCCCGAGTAGCCGGGACTACAGGCGCCCATCACCACGTCTGGCTAATTTTTTTTTTTTTTGTATTTTTAGTAGAGACAGGGTTTCACTGTGTTAGCCAGGATGGTCTCGATCTCCTGACCTCATGATCCGCCCGCCTCGGCCTCCCAAAGTGCTGGGATTACAGGTGTCAGCCACTGTGCCCGGCCTGAATTTGTAATTTAAAATCTCCTGAAATGAAAATCCCCTGGTCCAGATGTTTTCCTAGGAGAATTCCACCAAAGAAGAATGAACCCCAGTTCAACACATTGCCTTCCAGTAAATAGAAGAGGAAGAAACAGTTCTCAACTTATGAAGACAATATTACTCTCATATCAAAACCAGACAGGGATAGTACACAAAAGAAAACTGTAGACCAAAATATGCCTCATAAAAATAGATACAAAACTCCTTAACAAAACATTAGCAAATAAAATTCAGCAGTATTAGGAAGTGAATTATACACCATGGCCAAATGGGGTTTATTCCAGGGAAGCAAGCTGGTTCAATATTCAAAACTCCATCAACAAATATCAATTTATGCAGAAAAAGTATTTGACAAAATTCAATACCTGTTCATGATAAAAACTCTAAGAAAAATATAAATATAGAACTTCTTCAACTTGATAAAAAGCACCTACCAAATATTCTACAATTAATATACTTCATGGTGAAAAACTGAATGCTTACCCCATAAAATGAGACAAGGCAAGGATGTCTGCTTTCACCTTTTTTATTCAACATAGTACTGGAAGTTCTAGCCAGTGTAATAAAGCAAGAGAAAGAAATAAAAAGCATGAAGAACAAAAGGGAAGAAATAAAGCTGTCCGTATATCTAGAGAACATGAAATTATGCAGAAAGTCCCAAGGAATCCAAAAGGAAAACAAGAAAACCCAGAAAACTCCTAGAATTCATGAGGAAGTTCAGAGAGGCTACAGAATACAAGATAAACATAGTAAACATGTAAAAATCAATTGTATTTCTATATGCTAGCAATGAATATATATATATATATATATATATGTATGTCTCTGCCCTCCCAGTTCCTGGCACAGACCTCCTAAAAACCCTTGTAATTTCCCGAGCAATAGGGGTGCTAGGAGGATCTTTTGTTCTAATATTTGGTCTCTGTCCTAGTTCCTAAGACAGAGATCCTATCCTTACAAATGGGGTACTAGGGGAATCTTCTGTTCTAAAATTTGTTCTTTGACCCAGTTTCCTAACACAGAGCTTCTAAATCTCTTGGAAGTTCCTGATAACAGACACATCTTTTATTCTAATAAGGTGACTCTTGGTGGGCTCCTAGATGGAGACTGGTCACCAGAACCATAAACACAACCAAGCTTTAATGATAAGCTTGGAGGTTTGTTTGTTTGTTTGTTTGTTTGTTTGTTTTTTAAGACAGAGTCTTGCTTTGTCCCCCAGACTGGAGTGCAGTGGCACGATCTCAGCTCACTGCAACCTCTGACTCCCAGGTTCAAGCGATCCTCCTGCCTCAGCCCCGCTAGTAGCTGGAATTACAGGCACGTGCCACCATGCCCGTCTAATTTAAGCTGGGAGCATTTAGCCACCCCCACCAGTCTCCATAGAGCAGAGAGGTGCTGGAGAGTTAAGAATTCATCATGCCTATGTGATGAAGCATCCATAAAAATCTCTGAACTATGGCATTCAGAGGTGTTCCAGGTTGGCAAACACATCTGTGTGCCAGGAGGGTAGGGCACCCCAACTCCATGGAATAGAAGTTCCTGTGCTCAGGACCCTTCCAGACCTCGCCCTAAGTACCCCTTCATCTGGCTGTCCATCTGTATCCTTTATTAATAAGCCAGTAAGTGTAAGTCAAGTGTTTCCCTGAGTTCTATGAGCCACTCTAGCAAATTAATAGAGCCAATAAGAGGGTGTGGGAGCCCAGATTTAGAGCTGGTCAATCAGAAGTATAGACAACAACTTACTACTTGTGATTGGCATCTGAAGGTGGGGGAATCTTGCGGGACTAAGCCCTTCAACTGTGGGTTCTGATGTTATCTCCAGGTAGATAACTGTCACAATTGAATTGAATTATAGGACGCCCAGCTGGTGTCCTCTGAAAAACTGCACCGAGTGTGGGGAACTACCTCTACACAGCTGGTGTCAGGAGTATTATGTGGAGTGGTGTGTGAGTAGGGGGAAAAACTGTTTTATTCGTCTTACACATGTAAATTTAACAAAACTTGCATAGAACTTGGATGCTGAAAACCACAAAATGCTAATGAAAGAAATACAAAATCTAAATAAACGGAGAGGCATATTGTGTTCATGGATTTGAAAACTCAACATAGTAAAGATGTCGATTCTGCCCAAAATGATACAGATTTAATGCAATTCTTTTTTTTTTTTTTTTTTTTTTTTTTTTTTTGAGATGGAGTTTCACTCTTGTTGCTCAGGCTGGAGTGCAACGGTGCGATCTTGGCTCACCACAACCTCCGCTTCCTAGGTTCAAATGATTCTCCTGCCTCAGCCTCCTGAGTAGCTGGGATTACAGGCATGCACCACCACACTGGGCTAATTTTGCATTTTTAGTAGAGATGGGGTTTCTCCATGTTGCTCAGGCTGGTCTCAAACTCCCGATCTCAGGTGATCCACCCACCTCGGCCTCCCAAAGTGCTGGGATTACAGGTGTGAGCCACCGTGCCCCGCCTTAATGCAATTCTTAACAAAATCCCTGTATTTTATAGATACAGACAAGATTATTTTAAAATGTATATGTAAAAGCGAAAGAACTAGATAGCTCAATTTTGAAAAAGAATCAAGTGAGATGAATCAATCTGCCTGATTTCAAGACTTATGATATAGCTATAGTACTCAGGACTGTGTGGTATTGGTTGAGGGAAAGACACAAATTATTTCCCAATTGATTTCTGACAAAGGTGCAAAAGAAACTCATTAGAGGAAGGGTAGCATTTTGACAATGGCATTGGAGTAATTGAACATTCATAGACATAAAATGAACCTCAACTTAAATCTCATCTCTTACATAAAAATTAACTCAAAATGGGTAATGGACTTAAATATAAAACTATAAAACTTAGAAAAAAAGCATGAGAAAATCTTCAGATTATGGGGCTGGGCAAAGAATCCTTAGGTATAACATGACACTATAAAAGAAAAAAATTGATAATTCGACTCTAACAAAATTAAAACCTTTTGCTCTGCAAAAGACTATTAAGAGGATGAATAGACAATATATAGACTGGGAGAAAATATTCAGAAATCACATATTCTACAAAGGATTATTATCTAGAATATACAAAGAACTCAAAATAACAAATAATTCAATTAGAAAATGGGCAAAAGACATGAACAGACATTCCACTGCAAAGGATATATAGGTAGCAAATAAGCACATGAAAAAATATTCAACAGAACTGTCCATTAGGGAAATGCAAATTAAGACCACAATGAGATATCACTACACACTTCTTAGTATAGATAACAAAAAACAGTGACAGCACAAAATGCTGGAGAGGATGGGGAGAAACCACCTCTCTCATACATTGCCTGTGGGAGTGTAAAATGGTACAGCCACTCTGGAAAACAGTTTGGCAATTTCTTCAGAAACTAAACACACACTTGCTATGTGACCCAGCAATTGTATTCTGGGCATTTGTTCCTGAAAAAGTATGATTTATGTTCACATGAAAACTTGTATATAATAGTTCATAGCAGCTTTACTTGAAATAGTCCTTAACTGGAAACAACTAAAATATCCCTCAATAGGTAAATGATTAAACAATCTGTGATACATCCCTACTATGGAATACTACTTCACAAAGACGGCACAAAGTACCGATACACACAACAACCTGAATGGCTCTCAAGGGCATTATGGTAAGTATAAACATACTCAACATATGTTGTTGAGTATGAACATGTACCTCACTCACTTATACCTCCATCATTCCAAAAGAAGGCCTTCTACCTTGATGATTTTTTAAAAGTATGATACATGTTTATCCTTAAAAAAGTAAATATAAGGCACTACCCCATGTCTTCATTCTACTATCCTAAACAGTGGTAAGTCTTGTGGCATAAACACACAACAGTGAGTGAGTTACAACAGTGACCAGGCCTTGATGCACCACTATACTTCCCAGCTGCAGCACTTCCCTGCTTTCCAAGGTGTCTCTGACAAAACATTGAATGTTAACCTCAGGGTGGAGAAAATATGTTACATATAAAACATATTACAATTAAACAATTTCAGTTAACTTTAAAATAACTTGAACAATTCAAACTCAGTATATTATGTAAATATCTACCTATTTGAGAATCCCTCGCTCTTCCCAACTCCCCTGGCCTTTCTGCTATGATGTATGGTGCAAGGCATTTTTAAAGCATTGTCATGAATGTTGGGGTGTTTCAACCAATTAATTACCCTCTGCAAGTCATAATGTAAATTCCCTTTGCCATTAGGGAAACAGCACTGAAAAGTTATCGGTTATATTATTAATTTCCCTTTTAACCTCTGTTCTTCTGCTAAATCATGTCTTCATGGTGCCTATTTTAGGGCAGACTTGTACCCATCCATGTACAAAAAGGCCACTGCAGACAGTGCAACCTTAATTAACATTTTAAGATTTACATCATATCACACAGTGTGTTAGGCTTTTTGAGGGGCCTTCACCTATATCTCTTTGGAACCACATAATAGCCCTGTGAGGTAGGCAGAATAGAAATAGTCTTAATAAATGAAATAGTATTATACCTAACATTTCACGTTTAGATAGTGGATGAGTCAGAATCTGAAGCAGAGATTTCTGCCTCCCATTATACCATACTTATGTGTTCTAGAAAGCATATTGGTGGGGACATAAACACATTATTTATTACAGTCTTATAAAAAAAAAAGGAGTGGCTGATTGCCATGACAGCTGTTTCATTTTGTTCTTCCTGCTTCACATAGTACTTCAACTTTATACCTGTTGTCCTTAAATGTAAATTTTTAAAAAAATCAGTAGAATGTTTTAAAAGACCTACTGTAATCACTGGTAGAAGAATTCTAGAATAAAGGAATTTTCTGGCCCCAAAGTCAATGGCATCCTTAATTTTAAAAGAATTATAATAATCTTTTAAAGCCAAAACACATCCTTGCTTTTAGAAAGAAAATCTGGTTAAATACAACAAAACAACTACAATGGAATCGTGAAGTCTTCATTACCATTGCTTAAAAGACAGCAGATTTACTAAGTCAGACAAAGAGTATAAGCTCATATACTGCTTAAAGCTTTAAACTGCCTTCTTGGTGAGAACCATGACTATTAAAGCTTGTGTCTGACTGACTGTAGAGGGAAACTGAAGCTGCAAAATAAATGTGTCAAAAACAAAGTAAAAAGCAATGGGAAAAGTATGGAAAACAGTGACCTGTAGAGCCTGCTAAATACAAGGGGACTAGGATGCAGGCAGGTATCATTCTGAATCAATCTCTTCCCAATGCTGCCTCGGGAGGTCTGTTGAGATCAGTGGTTCTCGAACGTGGCTGCACAATGGATTCATGTGGGCTGTTCGACCAAGTATTGATGCCTGCATCCCTTGCCCCAGAGATTTGATTTATTTAGTCTAGGGTGAGTCTGGAAGAGGGTTTCTAAAAGGCCCTCCCTGCCCCAGGTAATTCTAATGTGCAGCAAGGTGTGAGCCCCTTAGCCCTAGGCACTATAGGTTGGGAGGCATTCTCCACACACTTCCTCCACCCTGTGCCTGGCCTTGTAATTACTGCAAACCTGGGGATGAAAGAGCGTTGAGAATGTGGGAGCCAGAGGGCCTGCCTTCCCAGGAGGGGTGGGTGCCCACCTTTACAGGTGAAACCTGTTGTGAAGCATCTCAGGAAGCCCTGCGCACTCACAGCTCCCCAGATCCAGGGGGCTCCTGTACCTCTGTGTTAGAAAGGGATCCTGAAGCAAAGTAGAAAACTGGCAGTGTCCTCTGTGTCTCCCAAGGAGCCAGTAGCAAGGCAGAAATGTGCTAAAGATGGGATCCTAATAATTTCTTTTAAATTTTTAGGAGCCCCATTTATTTTTCAAGAAAAAAAAAAACAAAAGTTGGCAAGAGTTAACAATTCATCACTACCCAATCTGGATTTAGGAATCAGACTTGGCAGTTCATTGGCCAAGAATTACATTTTCCCACATTGACCTCATAACTAACATCATGGCTTAGAAATTTTTCTTTTGAGTTAGGATTAAGGGAAGAAAGTGTCCCTCTCTTTTTTTTGAGACGGAGTCTCACTGTGTCACCCAGGCTGGAGTGCAGTGGCGCGATCTCAGCTCACTGCAAGCTCCACCTCCCGGGTTCATGCCATTCTCCTGCCTCAGCCTCCTGAGTAGCTGAGACTACAGGCACCCACCACCACACCTGGCTAATTTTTTGTATTTTTAGTAGAGACGGGGTTTCACCGTGTTAGCCAGGATGGTCTCGATCTCCTGACCTCGTGATCCACCCACCTCAGCCTCCCAAAGTGCTGGGATTGAAGGCATGAGCCACCGCGCCTGGCCGTAACTGTCCCTTTCTTCCACTACCACTGTGAATGAATTCTGATACTTTGGGTCAAAGAAGCAAAAAACTGCATACCCCACAGATTACATGAAGTCCTGTTGGCTGAACAGAGCAGGAAAGAAGGCAAAGACACGTGGAGGACAGCAGTAACCCATTGCGGCTATCCACAAGAAGCTGTTGGAAAAAGCTGTCTCTGGAGAGGAATAAACTTCAAGCTTTTTGGGCCTAGCCCAAGGGGAGAGGAAAATGGAGGCCAGAAACTGACCCAAACAAGAGATCTTACAGAATTACCTATGATCAGCATCATCTGACTTCATCATCTAACAGAAAAAAGGCTTGGATTAGGACCTTCACATAAAAAGGCTAAAATCACCAAGGCTTTCATCTTTCTCATGATTTCCTCCCTCCCCTCTTCTCTGGCAGTTATTAAGAAACACGCCTGTAATCCCAGCACTTTGGGAGGCTGAAGCAGGAGGACTGCTTGAGATGAGGAGTTTGAGTCCAGTCTGGGCCACATACAGAGACCCCATCTCTACAAAAAAAAAAAAAAAGTATTAGCTGAGCATAGTGGTGTACACCTGTAGTCCTAGCTACTCAGGAAGCTGAAGTGGGAGAATCGCTTCAGCCCAGGAGTTTGAGGCTGTAGTGAGCTATGATGGCACCACTGCACTCCAGGCTGGGCAACAGAGCAAGACCCTGTCTCTGAAGGAAAAAAGAAAAAAAAAAAAGAAACAGACAATTAGAGAAACAGCAGCAGCCCATGATCCTGGCTGTTCCCATTCCAGCTGGTGAGTTGGGAGCTGCCCACATGTTCCAATTGGCCTTAGACCCACCATCCGTCTCCAACTTGCTTTGCATCTGGAAGGTGACTTGTGTACTTCATCACCTTTGATTCTTCCTCTCCCAATTACATATTACTGTACTAGTTCTTCCCCAGTGCATTATTCATTGAGCATTAATCCCCTTAAAATTAGTCTTTGCAGGGAAACTTTGCTTTTTAAAAATCAGTATGCGTTTAATAAAGGCAGTTGGTCCCAGGTTTGCTGATGGGCAAGTGGCTTTATAAACGCAAAAGCAAGGCTTCCCTGTCTCTCTCCGCTTGCACTGCTGTCCTTCGTCTCTGCCACTTGGTGAAATCCATTTTCTGCCTGCCTTGACTAATAGACTGTCTTCAAAAAATGGAAGTTAATCCTTGAGCAACACAATGTTAAACCTCCCAAGGAAGAATTAAATATTTCAGAAGAGAAGGTGGTAAAAAATGGCAACTGCTATTTTAGAATCTTTGAAAATTTAAGTAGAAGAGCAAAAAATAGAAAGTGGCTTGTACTTGGTACAACAGATCTAAGTTCACTTTTATAATGTGCAGGATTCTTAATAATGTGCTGGAAGATAATGAAAGCAGCAGCATGCTTGCACACAAAGCATTGGTCCTGCCAGCCCCCAGTACAAAGAGGGGACCTGGCTGCTCCAGTTAGAGGGACCATGTGCTCGAGTTTCCGAGGGCCCAGAGACTGAATCCCCGTTGAAAATGTGATTTGAAGAATGAAAATTGACCTATTTTCCTTCTCCTCACAGTAACGTAACGAAAAGCAAAACTTTTCCTCTTGGGAGGAGCATGCTCTGGAGTCTGATGCCTTGGGTTGGGGTCCTGGCTGCCACAGTTACCAGCCCTGTGGCTCTGAACCCTGCTTGGCCCCTCTGTCTCAGCTGACTTGCATGAAAAGCAAAAACATGATGGACGAGCCTGCCTGGTCGGGTGGGCACGAGGGTTAATTGGGAGGCCGTGTGTCTTGGTGAGCGGCAAACAATCAATACATGCTAGATTATGATGACACAATAGTGACACGGACTTAACCTGGATACATCTTTTATCACAGAAGTACAAAGAGAAAGCACTCTTTCCTCTATGGACTGAGGAAAACCAGGTAATTGTAAAAATGCTGCAATCATTTTTCTATCCTGTGCTTTTACAATCCAATTTATTGCTCTGCTCCTCACAGCTGCTTTCCAGAGCCCACAGACCATGGTTAAAACATATTACCTGGAATCAGAATAGCAGGTTTGAGAATTATGTATTTATGGCTACCTTAAAGAGGCACAAGTGATGTGCCTTCAATTGTTTTAATTTGCTATGCCTTGTTTCCCTTTGCCTCAGGGTGCTCAGAAGAGACAGGAGCTCCCTGGCATGACACTCTCTGGTGGGGCTCTGCACACATGCATGCATGTGGCTGGCTGGTGAGCTACTGGCTGGCCAGAGGCAGAAGGTTCTCAGCACTCACTCGCCCCTGTGGTGTGGTTGTTCCACCCTGGAGGCTCATGCCACCAAGTAGGGGCCTGTGTAGAAGGTTCTGGAGGCATCTCCATCTTCTACACCATGTAGGTGTAGGTTCAGAGGCTGATCTGGCCTGAAGACACCTGAATTCATTCATGGTGAAGGGGCAGCTCCCAGTGCTTTTCAAGCCTTGTGGTTTTGCAGATTAGTCTTGGTTCTCCATGAGAAGGGTTAACTACAATGAGGCAGAAATCTTGGGTAAAGAACGTGGCCACTTGAGAGGGCCTGCTGGAGCTTCACCCCTCACTTTACCACTTTTTAGCTGTGTGGCCTTGAGTGAATCCTGTAGCCTCTCCAGGCCTCAGTTTCTTCACCTATGACATGGAGATGATAAAGTCTATACCCCTGAGGGATGGGGGTGAGAATTAAATGAGAATGTCTCCAAAGCTCTGGGTGGGGGAAGACTCTAGATGTAGGCTAAAAGTAGAGGATCTAGACCTGGTTCTTCCCAAGCACACATGGCAACACTGCTTCAGGCCCTCAGACGCCGACAGACACTCTTCAAAATCGTAAGGGGGGGCTTCCCTGCCTCCACCTGCCGTGCCTCACTTCCTCAAAGATTTGCCTGAGTCCTACTGCCTCAATCCAATCTCATCTCAAATGCCACCCTCCAAGAGGCCTCTCCAGTTCCCTGCTGGCCAGCAATCAGCAATCTCTCTTTCCTTCCTCAGCTTTCCATGGCACGTTATAAAGCCACCATGCTGTGCTTTAGGGACATACGTTGTCACTGCCAGTGTCCTTAAGGCCCTAGACACAGGGCTTGTGCTTTATATATCCATCTGGCCTTTCCACTTCACCCTGTCTGTGGCTTGCTCTTAGAAGGTGCACAACAGACTTTGGTTGAACTGTAAATTTGCTCAACCCAATGAAATACCCCAGCTTTCAGAGACACCCCAGGCAGGGTCTGGCAGTTTTATATATGAGGTGCCTAACTCAATCAGACAGAAACGAATGCACCAGATCCAGACCCTCCTGAGACAAGCGACTGCTGCCGAGACTCCCGGGAACAGTGCTGCGGCTGGGCACCAGCTGAGCGCCTAAACACAGATTCCTCAGGGTCCCTGAAAGGTGCAGAGGGACCTGAGGCAGGAATGGGACTTTTCGTTAAAAGGGTGTGCCTTAACAAAAGCCCTGGATACAGATGTTTGTGAAACACTCAGAGGAGGGTACTAAATACCTAGTTCCACATTGGGACCATGTTAGACCAAGGTGTTTTAATTAAGGAGCGGTTCAAATCTGGGTCACCTGAACTTCCAAACCCCCATAGGATTGAGGCTTTCAACGAGTATATCTGGCTAGGATGCAAACAGCTCAAGCAGGCTCTAGCGCTGGAGAGCAGAGTTAGCAGTTTGGGTTCTGGAGCTGGGCAGGCCTAATGCCACTAGACCCAACTGACTACCCAGAGTCAGATGTATGGATCCATGCATGTCCCAGTCTTTTTCTCTGTGAAATGGGGAAGTGACTGTACCCCCATCTCACAGAGGCATCTGACATGGCAATGAGCTACGGCATATAGAGGGCTTGGTATAGCCTCTAGCACACAGTAACTGCTCACTGGTGATTGCTCTTATTAGGACACTGCAGCATGCTTCCCCCTGGGCTCTCTAAAGTGAAGGGGTGATTCCACTTGGAGTAAATTAAGTCTCCACAATCTAGCATGAGCCAGAGATTACAGGTGAACTTGTTTTGCTTGGTGGGTTTGAGAGGGTATGAAGAATTCAATCAGGAAAGAGAGAAGAAAATGATGGCTGAACCCAGGTATTTCTAGACCACGTGGGGTAACAAATGCTTCAATCTGCATTTTAGAAAGGAAGTTTAAGAACAGGCAGTGGAAGGGGGTGGGGGTGAGCTGGGGCTGGAGGGAGGCAGTTAGGTTTATCCACCTCATAGACCTTAGTGTGCAATATAAACTACCTCATGAAAATAACTACACCTCTAGCTCTCAACTTGTCACCCCAAGATTAGAACTAAATAATAATAATAATAATAGGTAGTGAGTGAAAGGCAGGTCCCAGTTTCTGACCCTTGGGAGTTGAGAAACCAGATGCTTGCCGGTTGTCCTCCCATCGGCTTCTACTTAGGGAGGGCCCAGAGCGAGGAGGGTCTGAGAAATCCCTATCCTCAAACGCGCTGTACTCTTCAAATCCAGTAAAACTGTAATAGGCCTCTTCAGTTAGTGAGCGCAATGGACGCTAGGGACCTGCCTTTTAAAAAATTTACTGGCAACAGACAGAAGGATGGGGACACCAGCCTTGAACTTAGTGGTGTTAAGGAGGCATTTATGGGAGTTCATGAAATGTCTGCCTCCATCTATGAACTTAAATCACTCCAATAAGTTGAAGGAAACCATTTCTAGTGTGTGAGGGGCAGGGAGAGAGGGGTGGTGGTAAAAAACCATGTAGTGTGAACTAGAGCACTATTTCAAGAGGAAGGAAATCAGCAAAGAACAAGGCCAAGCTATTTATGATGCCACTGCTCTTTTCAGGTAATTTACAATGTGCATGAAAGGTTTTGCCTCCAGCAGCACCTGCTTTTAAGTGACACCCAGTGTGTACCAGCAGAGAACATCTCCTGGAGAAGCAGGGCTTTATTTATTCAGAAGGGCAGCAGAGGGCGATGCGGCAGGATAGAAGCAAGCTCATTGCTACGCGGTGTGTTTTTTTCATGTAGATGTTTACCATCTGGTTCTTATACCTGCAACCATCTAGGCTCTTGTTTGTTTTATCCTAATCATTAGAAAAAGTCTCCTAGGACCTCACTACTCACAGTGGCTCCAGAGGCCGACAGCTCTTCACTGGAGAGCTGGTTAGAAATGCAGATCTTGGGCTCCCCAGACCTGCTGAATTGGCACAGACACTGAACAAGATCCCCACGAGTGCACACGAAAGCTTGAGGGGCCCTGCTCCAGGGCAAACCTTGCTAACATGCAGATTCTGAAGAATGGATTCCCACCAGGCTACTTGTTTAAGGAAATTATTCTCATGTACCAGTTGGGGCAGACTTTCAGAGAAAATAAACTAAGGGGAGGGAGAGTTTGCAAATTCTCATTCCTGTTGATTTCAAAAAAGCAAATCATAGGACAGAAAGGCTCATCAATTCCTGGGAGCTCACTGTGTACTCTTCATCATTATAACTTGGTCTTCATGGGTATCTCAAGTATATTTCTTCTTTTCTCTTCAATTATGAGTTTTCTTTTTCTTTTCTTTTCTTTTTTTTTCTGCTGGAAGGAGGACTGACCAGTGACATATCCTGTGACTCAAACCTACCCCTTTCCCATCTTGGCTGCTCTCCAGTCACCCCCGACTCCCCTCCCCCCACCTCCCATTACAGGCACCACAGCTGTGCTCCTAGCCTCCAACCATCACCTGCTGGGCTGCCCAGGACCCACCCCTTTCTGCTTCCACCATCTCCATTAACCTGCCGCCGTGTCTGGGCTACATCATCCCTGTCTCCCTCACCCTGCAGCTTGGTTGCGGTGTCTTCTGCTTGCCCCTCCCCAATCCCCTCTCCTCCCTTTGTCACCAGGCCCTGAGCTCCAGGAGGCTGACACGTGGTAGGGAGGGACTTCATCAATGGCCCTCTTAACTCCTGGCAAGAGGGGAGCGGGGTCAGGACACTGGGACCCTAGGCTCACTCTGCAGGGCCCCTCTCTACACAGGCCTCTCTCAGGTTCTGGTTATAGCTCCCTCCTCTGGTCCCTGCAGGCTGGCTGCCATGCTTACACCCCTGTACACAATCCCTTTATTAAACCCTCCTCAAATTACCCAGGTAAGTGTGCCATCTCTCTTCCTGGGCCCCTGACCACGGACACACAACTCTGCTACCCTACACACCTCACACTCTTGAAGGCCCCAATGGGCTTCTAAAAGATACATCCAATGGCCATTTCTTTCCCCTTCATCCTCTTCCTGTTGGATCTGATGGACAGTTCTCCTTGCATGCCCCCCAACACATCACATCAGAATGCCTGAAATAAGTCGCTCCCCTGACCCCCTTCCAGGGCCATCACCCCTTATCCCCTCCTTCACCCTGACACCAATTTCTACCTGCCATCAACTCACCCCCCACTCCTTGTCAGAGAGCCTCAGAATTGTGCAGCTGGGGTCAAGTCCTTAGACCCGCTGGTCCAACCCAGTGCAGGCACTGAAACCTGATGAGCAGCCTGCAGCTCACCTGGCTGGTTTACAATGTGGGGCACATCTGCCCCTCCATGTCCTCCCCATCCACACCCCATCTCTTGATTCTCTTGTGATATTCTCTTAACATCCTCCTTGATGGCTTCTCCACTGCAGTCTCTCATTCTAGTCATTCTACCTACTGTGGCCAATAAATTGTCTTAAAAACACTATTTGAACATATCATCCACCAGCTCAAAACTGCTTGGCTTCCCAGTTTGCACAAGCCCCTGGCCCTGGCATGCAGTGGAGATGTCCCTTTCCAGCTGTAGGGCAGCCTGCAGCCTCCTCACACCTGTAGGAATGAATCTTCCTCTGCAGCTCCAGTGAGTCACTGGAGCCCACCCAAGCCTCTCTGATCTGTCCCAATCTTAGGCATCCTTCTAGAGTCCAGATCTGGCTTGGAAAACCCTAGGGGGCTCTCCCTGAGGCTTCCTACAGTCCTGCATTTTTTGTCCCATTCATTTCCTACAGTCCTGTATTTTCTGTCTCATTTATCATTAAACAATTAATCATGCCCTACTTTTGGCTGCCTTGAACAGCTACAAAAGACACCCATTTAACCAGCCCTTGTCTGACACCCCCAGCCGGATTGAAGATCTCTGGAGACAGAATTCCTTATTTCATATATCTCTTTATCTCTCAGCATCTAGCAGAATGAGATACAAACAGAAAGCATACAAAGATAGAGTATGACCTCTGTTTTACAACAGGGGCATAAATGAATAAAAGATGGCAAAGCCCCTCCTGGAGTCTCTCAATGCCCTGTGCACCAGAGAAGGTGCAGTAAGAGGCAATCCCACCTCTGTTGGCCTCCAAACCACCCAAAATGAGGTTTCCAATTTCTGTTCAGTTTTCTATATAAATCGGGCCTCATTACAACTGATTAAATACATTGCAAATTCTACTTAAATGTAGATTATGATTTATAGATGTTTTTCTCCAAAGATGCTGAAGTGTTTCTATATCCTGACCCTCCTGGGAGACCTTCATGTGAGACCAGCGACATCACTTCTGTGCTCAGGTGCAAGCCACCCTGTCAACATCTTACCTGGAAGGTTGTAGTCACTTCCCAACTGGCTGCCTCTCCTTACCCTCCCTCAGTCTAATCCACTCTCCCCATTGCAGCACAAGGGATTTTTTAAAAAGAAAAGTTGATCATGTCATTCTCTACCACTCTAACCTTTCATCCCTCCCATAAGGATGGCTCACACTTCCCCAGCTCTCCCTCAGTCCCCCTCTACCTGGCAGCCTCAGTAACCTGTCCTTCGGGTTTCTGCCTAAATGTCACTTATCTGTCCACATGCCCATCTGCCTGTAAGACATTAACGAAGGGGCAGAGGTTTTGATCTAATCCCTCTGCCTCTGGTGCAGAGCATCATTCCTATGCAGAGTGGGTCCTCAAGGAGCCAGCTTCACTTTCCTCATGACAAAAACTAGCGATGGAATTCAGAGCCAGGTGAGTCATTCAAAGGGGCCTATTCTCTGACACACCAGGAAGTCTCATTCTTGACTCAAATTAATCTGAGCTATAATACCCAGAAACACCTGCTCTGTCCCTGCTGTGGAGTCCTCGGCTGGCCAGGAGGTGACAAAGCCAGGTGAGGAGTCCTAGCACCTACAGGGACAGCAGACACCTCTACACAGGCTCTTCATGGCCTCTCCAGGGAACCACTGGGTAGCTCTGGAGAAATTACTCAGATGATGGGCCTTCGTTTCCCTTTTTCTCTTCTCTTTACTTTTATTGTGGTAAGTGTTATATATATATATACACACACACACACACACATACATATATACACACACACATACATACACACACACACATATATATACACACATATACATATTACATAAGAATTACTACTGTAACCATTTCTGCATGTACAGTTCCGTGGCACTGAGTGCGTTCACATTGTTGTATAGCCATCACCACCATCCAACTCCATAACATTTTCATCTTCCCAAACTGTACCCCGTAAACAATAGCTTCCCACTCCCCTCCCCACAGCTCTTAGTAACCACTGTTCTACTTTCTGCCTCTGGATTTGACTACTCTAGGAGCCTCATATGAGTGGAATTATATATTTGTCCTTTAGCGACTGGTCTATTTCATTTAACATAAGGTCTTCAAGGTTCATCCATGTAGCATGTGTCAGAATTTCCTTCCTTGTGAATAATATTCCATTGTACAAATAGGCCACATTTTGTTGATCCATTCATCTGTCTGTGGACACTTGGGCTGCTTCCCACTTTTAGTTTTCCCTCTTGTACAATGGATTAAATCTTAATCTGCTTTAAAGACAAAAGCAAACACCCCTTCCCCCAGCCAACTGTAGCAGGGGCTGCCCAGCCCACGTCCTCTTGGCACCTGCTGGGTCCACCAAGGGCTTTGTGCACACTTGGACTCTTGGCCTGAGGCTGCTTTGGCCTGCAGGGTGGCAGGCTGGAAGTGCCTGTACATTAACAGTCCAGGAGTAGCCTAGACCCAGTGACCATGGGAGCTGGTGCGTGAATGCCCCACCCAGCTCCCTCACCCCTCAGGGGCTGCAGTGACTACTCTCCAGTGAATTCTGCTGTCCTGGCCTCCTTCCTTCCCTGTCTCACTCCCCCCTCCCCTAACCAGTGCTGCCTGGGCTTACCTCCCAGACACGCAACTTATACTGCTGGGGGAATCCAAACTAAGACACTAATCAACCATCCAAATATCTTATCCCTCTCTTCACACCCTCCTCTCCACCCAAGGTACTGAGGGCAGCACCAAGCTCATGCATGCACTGAGGCAGAGATGGAGGGGACACAAGATACGGACTCTCTGGTTTGAGAATCTCGTTGTTCACCCGAAGTGGTAACAATTCCCTGTCCCACCCAACAGCAAGCTGCAGGGCAGCCATCTCAGCAGGGGGATCTTGACCCAAATCAGTCAGGAAGTTCTGCAAATGAGCGAGGAGGACCGTTTCTCAGGGCTCCCAGCTCGTGATGGCAGCTGTGGGTTCCTGCTGAGACAAACCAAGTTGCCCTTCTGGCTCATGGCTGGCTTCACTTCCCAAATGTACCAAGTGGTGTCTCCATGTGCTGGGTGAGGCCACAACCATTCCAAGGCTGTCACCTCTGGCAGAGACCTGATGGGCGGTCAGATCCAAAGGGAATCCCACTCCTGCAGGGACGCTCACCCTACCCTCCTTCTAAGGACTCTGTTGTCCCCTTTGTGCCAGTGCAAGGGCACATCACTGTCTTACCCATGTTTAGGCAGCCAAGGGGAGAAGCAAACCAAGGTGAGGTATTGGTCCAGGCCAAACACCGAGTTGGCCAGGCCCAGCTGTACGGTACCTGTGACCACAGGGACAAGATCTGCTCACAGGATGAGTGCAGAGGCCCGAGTTTAACTCTGTGTCAACAGAGCCCAGCCTTCTCCCGCCTGCCTTGCTTTCTCCCTTCTGCAAGGCCCGTTCTGTCACACTAACCCTTTCCTAAAAACTGCAGAAGATGCAATGACATAGCCACAGCTCTAGTAATAACATAACAGCAAGAGAGAGACAGTGGGACTTTTAAAAGAGCAGATGTCCTTAACATCCATCTGCATCCACTATTTTTACTAGAAGTAGATTTCATGTAGTTAAAAGGTCATGGATCATGTTATCCCCCATCTTGATTCTGGTGTTTGGAGGATGACTGCTTTTCACTGGTTCAGCTGAGAATCTTAGCTGGGACCTGCCATGGTTATAGGGCCTGTGGACAGTTTTGTTTTAAGAAACAATCACTGATTACAAAATGGAGCTTACTAAATTCCACACAGCCAACCTGTGCCTCTACTTCTCCATCAGCTCACAATTTGTTCCAACCTGCCCACCAAGGCCAAGGCCTGATGTATTACGCTGGAGTCTATAGTAAAACAAAAACAAAAACAAACTGATGATGGGGAGGGACCTGCCTTCTGGGAGCCTCCAGTCTAGTAACAGGCAGACCAGCAAGAACCCAACAACCACAGCACTAACAGTGTGTCAGCTGCTGTCCAAATGCCTCACATCTACTGACTTCCTTAATACTATCAGCAGCCCTTGAGGAAGGTACTATTACTCTCACATCACAGAATGAGGCAACAACTCACCTCACTGGCTTCAATCACTCAAAGACACTTGGCTATCCAGTGCAAGCCAGGCTCTTACATTCTTAACACCTATGCTATACACACTGCCCAGAAGCCCAACCTGGGGGGTGATCTGTGCATTTCACATGGTCACCGAACTCTGAGTCCGTTCTCTCCCTTTCTGAGCCTCAGAACAGAGCTATCTGTCACAGGGAAGCCACAAGGAAAAATGAACGTCTGTTCACCTTTTTGAACATGCCATGCTCTGCTGACCCCTGTTCAGAGCAGTTTTGCATGAATAATGGCTAAAGTCAAGGTTTTGATGGAGAGAAACAAACCCCGGACATCTTGTGAAATGTTAATCAGGGTGTCAGAGGGCTCTGAGTTTTGACAGAGGTTTTCCCTGCCACAGAGGGCAAGCACCTGCCATCTTGCTTCCATGAGTCACTAAAATAGCGTTAGCCCCACCTCCTTTTATAAGTTATACATGTTAAAGTGCAAGGTTGCAACAGAACATAGCACATGTGTAGAGAAATATCCATTCACATATGCATGAGCACACATGCCTTCTATTTGGATGGGTTTTTTTTAATTCTTATTTTTTAATACGGAATGCTTCACGAATTTGCGTTTCATCCTTGTGACGGGGCCATGCTAATCTTTTCTGTATCATTTATTTGGATTGTTTTAACACAAAGAACCTGCACATTCTTCATCTTACGGAAGAAAAGACATGGACATTCCAGCCAGGCACTGTGCTGCGTACTTGGATGGACACAGATGGCTAGTCAGGGCTGACTCTGACTTGAGGTTCTCAGAGTCTAATAATGAGAAAGAAAGACCACTGGAGAATTCACTTTAAGACACTATGAGAGGAGTGCTCATTACATTAAAAAAAGGAGCTGCTGCTGGCCCTGCCAGGAGTAGAATGAGGGTAACTGGGAGTCAGGGAAGGCTCCCCAGAAGAGGAGACTGCTACCTGGGTCTTGAACACTAAGTAGAAATAATTGGCAGTTTGAAAACAAAAACATATGCAGGAAAACAGGCTGATGGGGAAGGGGTATTTCACAGCCAGAATGGAAGAGACAGGGGCTCAGAGCATGAGCTTTGGAGCCAGGAGGCCTAGGTTTGGACCCTCACCCCTACTTGCTGGGTCTGGGACCTTGAGCAATTACTTCACCTGTCTCTTTACCTGCAGAAAAGTGACTGCAGACTATCTCATTTAATTCTCCTTACAAAGAGCTTGGCCCACTCAGGACCTGTTCAATAAACTGCTTATTACAGTGGTTCACAGACAGAGTAGACATTTTGCTTATTTTCTGTCATGACTATGTTAGTTTGCCCCTAATCCAATGTCTCAGAGTTCTGCAGTGCCCTGGGTTCCCAGACTAAGCCTTGAGATGTGAGTGAAGAATAACTCTTTTGTTTTATGCATCAACTGTCCATGTTCCCTGAGAATAATATGAGAATAAATAGTTGCTGATGTGCTATTACAAAGAGGCAGGAAAAAAACCAGAAGGCTCTGGGAGAGCACAGGAAAAGTATATCTTCCATTAGCTTTAGGAGCCTGTTATTTAAGTGGTGATATCCTTTGAAGCAGGTGCGGTGGGGTGGGGTCGGGTGGGGAGGTTGGCTTGGAGAAAAGGAAGTTTCCACTAAACCATGGTTAATTGTAGTGAACAACAGAAAACTGCTAAGAGAAGCCTTGGTTTCATGAAACAATTCACAAATAAATTGCCAATCAACACAACTCCAACTCCATAGGAAACTCCTCTTCAAAACAGTGAAGGAAAAGAACAAGGGAAATTTATAATCTTTTTTTCGTGGGTGTATATCAGCCTATGTTTTTGACAAGCAGTAATGGGAAATAGGTTTCCTGCATGCTTCTATAATATTTTCCTTGCTGTTGGTTTTGGTTCTCTAACTTGCTTTCTGCTCCTCCCTACTCTTGGAACATTCAATCTATTTTGTGATCCTGACGTGTCTAGTGACCCAGACTTGCATGAGGCTTGCTCAGAATTTTAACTACCGTTTTCTTCCTGACTTTTCAGGGCTTTTAAGTTGCTCTGGATTTCCTGGCCCCTCATCCTTGGCATGAAAGAATATGAGGCCTCTTTACCTAGAAGGCGGCACAATGAATCAGCAGCAATGCTGATGATGGAAGGCCCAGGGACCAGATGGCTTTTAAGACAGGCTTTCACAAAAGGAACATGAGGAGAATGACAGGAAAGGTACAGGAGGGTAACGACGGTTTCAAAGGCACAGAATTTGAAGCTCCTGGAAGGTACCTTATAGAACAGTGCTTCTCAAAATTTAATGTGCACATGAATCATCTGCAGATTCTGATTCAGCAGGTCTAGGGCGTAGCCTCAAATTCTGTGGTTTTAACAAGCCCCATTGATTACATTTTGAGTGGCAAGATTCTAGATAACCTAATTCAATCATCTCATTTTCCAGATGAAGACACCGAGGTCCAGAGGGGGAAAATGACTTGAGGAAGGAAGGTCAGAGTAAGAAGTGAGTTGAGTCTAAAAGCTGGGTCTGTAATTGCTGGTCACAGTGCCCTTTCAAAAGAATTATTTAAATAGCCACACAGACGATGGAGGTGAGGGACTCACCCTCCCCTCACAGTCTGCCTTAGGTAGGACGTCACTTGGAGAGATTGCTCAGTTTCGAACCCTAGTGGGTGATCTGAAGAACCTAAACCCTAAAGCAGGTAATGTAAAGTTCAGAGTGACTGATCTGTCTATGCTGAACTTATTTATTCAACTGGCCCTCTTGAAAGAATCAAAGAGGACTCTTAGGGCCAGAGGATGCAAGCTGTCTCCCATTACCTGTGGTCACACAACAATAAGGCTGCAGATTCTGCAGGAATGTGAACCTCCTGCTTTAATAAGAAGACATTCGGGCCAGGAGTGGTGGCTCATGCCTGTAATCCCAGCACTTTGGGAGACTGAGGTGGGTGGATCACTTGAGGTCAGGAGTTTGACACCAGCCTGGCCAACATGGTAAATCCCTGTCTCTACAAAAAATATAAAAATTAGACAGGCATGGTGGTGAGTGCCTGTAATCCCAGCCACTCGAGAGGCTGAGGCAGAAGAATCGCTTGAACCTGGGAGGCAGAGGTTGCAGTGAGCTGAGATTGAGCCACTGCACTCCAGCCTGGGTGACAGAATCGGACCCTGTCTCAAAAAAAAAAAAAAAAAAAAAAAAGACATTTGCATAACACTGGTAATGCCACCATGTCTTACTGATTTGGGTAACAGATAGTAAGAGGCTTAGCTTCTGGAGTAGTCTGTCACTCCAAGTGGAGATAGGTCGGCAGGCAAAGTGATAGCAGCTCCCAACTGAGCTTACCCTCCAGCCCCATCCTGCTGTTGTCCAGGCCCAGGCATCTGAATTTGTATTCAACGTCCCAGCTGATTTTAATGTCCACCTAGTTTTAGGAACTGACAGATTAGATGACCCCTCAAAAAACTGCCATTTGGCCTGGGAAGGTACAGTCTGGGAGATGACGCTGCTCTCTCGGTGAGGGGGGTAAAGAAGCATCATGGTGAAGCCAGTGGCCCCTTCCCAGAGTTAATGATGCGCTCACAAGGGCAGCTAGGGATCCCCGCCCTCTGTCTCTGAGAAGGACCAACGCCACTCAAGGAAGGGCCAACAACGAGCTACCATGGTTATGAGAAAGGCAATCTGCATAGTTCAGATTTTATTAGAAATGAAGAAAGGGAGCAAAACTTAGGTTGTGATCTCAGAGTGTGAGGGAGGCATTTTTGGAAAAAGCATAGAAGAGCTTTTGAGAATTGAATGAGAAACATTTGATGTGGGACAGATTTTCTCTGAAAATGTGAGCAACCTGGTGGTTGAATTCTGTGCCCTGTGAAAAATACTGATAAGGACAGCGTACAGAGGACGGGGCCCCAGGCTCTCCAGCTGCCTGCAAGGAGGGGAAGCTTCCACCAAACGAGCCTCGGAGGTTGAGGGGCTGTGCTGGGGGAACTGCTGGCCCTAATTCTTACCCTCATCTCTGTCTTCTGCCACGTGCCTTTGCACTTCCTCCTGCTAAAGAGGGGAGAGGACCCTACTTCTGTGCTCCATCGTTAGGTTGGCCACGGAACTTGCTTTGGCCAATAGAGTTCAGCAGATGGATGGTGTACCAGTCTGGGGCCTAGGTCTTAAGGGACCTCAAGTGCTTTCACTTGCCTTCATGCTCTTCTGCCGCTGTTATGAGCAGAGCTTGTCTTGCTACCCTGCCAGTCCATGGGGAATGAGAGCCATGAGAAGCAGACCCACTCAGCTGACCCACCCAACCCTGGGCCAGCTGAGCCCTAGCTGCCCTGCAGCCCTGGGATAACACTTGAGTGCTGTGGAAGCCACTGAGTTCCAGCGGGTTCCTAACGCAGCCATGGCTGATGGTACAGGTGCCGAGAAGAAGTGGCAACTAGCACGAACCTCATCGGCAGCCAATTTGGCGCTCTGCTCAGGGCAGCTCCTTACTCCAGAAAACAGCTGATAATCCAGAGGACAGGACAACTTTAGTAAGGAGTCCTTACTGACTCCAATTTCATGATCCTTCTCTGACTTTCAGCCCTTTGCTCACATTCTTACACAAAATGAAAAGAGAAACTGGACTTTTAATCATGGTGGCTGGCTGGAAAAAGTGAAACTTTTGCTAATAATAAACACACAATCATTAAGGCTTTACCATGTCACATGCCCTTCACCCGGGTCTCCTGGTGCTTCCTAAACACTTACTCATTCATCATCAGGAGGCCTGAGGCTTCTGCTCACTCAGCAGCAAAGACAGGCAGCTAACTCTTGGCCTGAGGGACCTTCTCGTAGGCTCCGGAGTTAATGGTTTTCTCAGAGGGAAGGAGGACAAGGAATTATCCATGGTCTTGTTGAAGAAGTAAGGCACTGACTGTAAATAATTTCCTATCCAGCCAACTGCTTGCCACATCAGAGCCTGGTATGGGTCTTAATCTTCTGCTTCTTTCTGACTGTGTTATCTTAGGGAAATTTTCAAATTTTCTGAGCCTCAGTTTTCTCAACATAAATCCTTAAGAGTTGCTGTTGGTGTTACAGATAATAACTACGTAAGAAAAAGCTGACCCTGTGCTTACACATGTAGGTACTCAAGGGTAGCTATTTTGTTCATCAGAGCACAGAGTAAGCAGGGTTGCCATGTGCAACCGTGTAGGTTGTTAACTGCACAAAGACTCCTGGCCAAGGAGGTAAATGGGGCTGAAATGCATCCTGAGCCCCACAGGCCTAGTCTTGCCTTCTGTGTGGCCTGCTGCTGTCCAGAAAGAAGGGTTCCTGTTTCTAATTTGCACAAAGGGTACATAGCAGCCCTAAGAAAAAGTCCAGGGTATTGAAGGTTAAAGATAAGTTTGTGCTGAAACTTCTCTGAAAGAAAGTGAAAAATGATCACTTTACTTAGTGACTTGCAAATAATTACACAGCTTAACAAAAAGTTGCCAGTTAATTTTCCATTTGTCCTAAAGATTCCAACTCAGTAGGTCTGAGGAGAAGCCTCAGAATCTGCGCTTCTAGTCAGCATTCTCAGTGTTGTTTATATAGATCTAGGTTCGAGAACCACTGTGATGTTTCGGGTTCCTTTGACCCAGGCCTGGGCTCTCAGGACGTAAGAGCAGGTCAATCAAATGAACAAACAGGAAATCATCTGCAGCAGTTCCAGTGTAAGTTCCAGGGTTAAAAATCCAGAAATACCCCCTGTGTCTTGTTAACAAGAACTTTAGTGGACCAGGGCCTCCCAGTGGTTGGGCTGGGGAAAGGCCGTAGCATTAAAGGGCTGCATGGCAAAAGGGGTGCATGGCAGCTTGGGAGGTGGCCGGGGCCCTGACAAGGAGCCTCTGAAGCACACTAATGATAGGAAAGAGCCTGGCCACCGAAGGCAATTACAGAGGATGAAGCATCACACAAGCCAGCAAGGCGGGGGAGTGCAGGGGGATCTTATTATCCCTCTGTCTTGCTTAATAGGAGTTAATAGTTGGAAGGGAATAAAAGAATGGTGTGTGAAGTTTAGTGCCAATACAGTCTAATATGCATGCTATGTTTTTATTTCAAAGAGGATAAAGGCCCAAATTTTATACTGAAAACAAATGTTAAAAATTAATTATAAAGAAGACACCAGAGGGCCTCAAGCCTGTTCCCTGGGTGACTGATTAAATGCCTGCCTCATTTAGACTGGTATAAACCCAATCTCTTGGAAGAAGGCCAAAACTATTTGCCAACGTCCACAGAGACTCTCCAAGAAAATGATCCTGGTGCCAGGAAAGAGAAAAACATACTCACCACCGCTGCCCGGAGCCAGCCACCGCCACAGGGTGGAATCCAGTCATGGGCAGGAATGCAGAATGCTGCTGCAAGGTCAACGTGGGTCAAGAGCATCCCTCATCACCTGAAACTGATTATCAATGAACGAAACAAATAAGGCCATTCAGGCCTGGGAGAAAAGCAGTCCAAAGAGTTCCTTCTCTCTGCAGGCTCTGAGTCGGGGAGGTGGGGACTTTTTTTTTTAATCCCTGGATTTTGTTTGGTTTGAGACTATCTTCCCAATTCTCAGAATGTGCAAGCTCTAATTGAAAATTTTAGAACAGGAATTAAGCCAATGACTCCATTATCTTTTGAATTTTAAAATTACAGTTTAATGGCAAGATAACATTTCCTTGTTAAAATAAAACTAAAAGATTTCCAAAAATGCTGACATCCCCCTTCAATACTCCTCACTCCCAAACCCTAGTTCTTTCTTTTCGCCCCAAAGGTAACTGCTGTTAGCAGTCTGGTGTGGGTCCTTTCAGACCCACAGAAAACACGCAAACACATAGAACTGTTTTGTAGAGTATTTTTTCGCTGATGATATTATACTGGGCATATTTTTTGCAACTCACATTTTTCATTAAACCACAGGTCTCAGAAGTCGATTCATGTTGGTACATATGCTAATTGCAGCACAGTGTTCCAAAGTATGTATACAATTACTCCACATTCAACAGAAAAAAGTCCATGTTTCTTAGACTGGTATTTAGGGATGTTCATAATAAGGTCCTGACCTACATTTTCCAGTTTATTTCTGCCAGCTCCACACCCCACCCCCACTTCGAAGTAAACTATACACAAACCAAAAGGAACCATTTGCAGTTTCCCACAGGGATGGGCAGGCATCTCCATGCAGGGCTATCTGTATCCTCAGTTCCTCCTCATCCTGCAAGGTCAGCTCCCAGCTGGCAGTCATGACACCTTCCTTGGGACTTCTAGTTTACTTTATATGCCCTTATATAGGGTCCTTACCACTGTGGCTGGGCATTCAAGTAATTGAAGGGTTATTCTTACTTTTCCTTTTTAGTCATGAACTCCTTGAGGGGAGGAGTGTGTACCAGAGATACAACAGGGACTTGGCAAATTGTTGTTGAATTTTTTTTTAAAAAGAAGCCAAATCTTACACTGATTCTCTATATTGCTACGGGGAGGAGGAAGAGCAAAAGCTCAACTAGAAGTTGGACTATGGATACAAGATCATCCTTCCTTCCATCTGAAGGGCAGCAGAATATGCCACCCCAAAATATGTTTCTTTGGCACATGGATGATTTTGAGCTAAAGGCCATTGAGAAACAGCCGACGCAGGCAAAGCTCCAAAAACAGGGCACAAGGTTTTCTTCTGTAAAGTAAATTTACACTCACAAGGAAAGTTTCCATTTGTAAAAGATGTCTTCCTCTTCCTGGTAAGGGAGAGGAGTTACTTTATATGCTCATGTATAGGGTCCTTACCACTGCTGCTGGGCATTCAAGTAATTAAAGGCTTATTCTTACCTTCCCTCTTTAGTCTAGTGTTCCCAGCCCAGAATCCATAAGCCCCTTTTCCTTTAGCCTAAGATGTTTTATAAACCCAAGTTCTGACCATCCCTCTGGTTACTCATCACTGGGTGCACCCATGTGTACACCAACAATACATATGTTAATAAATGTCTTTATTTTTTGAATAAGTTGTGAAACTGTCATTTGCCAGTTTAATTTACAGGGATCCAGTTGCAGAAACTAAGATGAGGAAACTAAGATTGCCTCCCCTACACTTATCCATCCCTCCATCCATCTTTCTACGAATCCTTCTACTCCTCTTTCTCTCGTTCCTCTTCGTTGGCAGCCATGACAATGCATCCCCCCATCCCCCAGCCCCAGATCTGACTGCAAGGAACTTATTGACTGACCTGCATCATAAGGTTGGGGAGAGACAGTGTCTGCGGTGCAGGCACTTTGCACCCCTGGGTCATTGCTGATGTGGGACCGTAGTGACAGTAATGGTGAATGCTCATTGGAGCTCATCTCTGAGCCATGAACCAAGAGTGTGCCATTTCCAGGAATTCCCTCAATGGTGGACAGCCTTCCCCTTTCCATAGTGCTTTCATTTCATTCTACTATGACCAAGGAATGGATAATTTCTATTTGGGTGTTAAAGGATGCAACTGCATGGAGAGACCAGTGGTTTGCCTGAGGGGACACAGTGGTGCCCGCACGAACCCTTGGGAATTCACACCACTATGAGCTCCCGTAGCCTTAGGGAGTGGAGGCTGAACAATATTTGCAGCCCTAGAGTTGCTAGAACAAAACAGGTTTCATGATCCCTCTCAACTCCATCTGGCTGTCTCTTGGTCTTGGAAGGTACCATATGCCCAGTACAATTTAAAAAATAGTTGGATTAAAAAAAAACAGACTATGCCACTTGGGAAAGATAGGCTGCTACCCTCCTTTGAATTCTCTTAGGTTCTGTGATTCCACCCCTCCTCAGCCTACCCACTTTCAATTTTATACAACTAAGAGCTCGTGCTGCAGCTCCCTCTCCCCCTCCTCCAGTGTTGGCTTGAACAGCACTGCCTAACCTGGAAGGCTGGTGATGCCTCTCCCTTAGTGCTCCTGCAGCCCCGAGGTACCCTATTCCCATACCACAGCTGTCCTGTACCCACCTACTCCCTGCCTGTCTCCCTAGAGGAAAGTGAGTGCCTGGGGAGCCAGAGGCAGAGGGCACTACTATCACAAAGGGGACTCAAGATAATGTGCAGAGCGAGTGCTTGGCAGTTGGGCTTTAGGCATTCCAACAGGTCAGCTAAAAAAGCAGATTCAGCCGAATATTCATTCAGCCAGCACTCTCTGGGCTGTCACCCCCAATTCCAGGAGTTGCATCCCACTCAGCTTCCCACACCTTGCAAAACCGCCCCTCTTTCTCAGCACCTGTGACTGCCCCACATGGATCTGCCAACCTTTCTAGGCCTCTGCAGGTGGAACTTATCTGGTATCCTCATTTCTCAGTTTCCCCCATATTCATTTTTGGAAAATAGGCCTTTAAAAACATTCCTGCGATATTATCAACATCCTATCAGCCATTTTTCTGGTTTGCTGCTTCTTTTTTTCCACCAGTTTCCACACATCTCCCTGCTTCTGTTCTCACTCTGTCCCCACTGCTACCCGTCTCCTCATATCCCCCATCTCTGCACCTTCTAATTCTCTTACCACCTCCCATGCGCATATTCCCTGTCTCAGACCTCCTGCGTCCAGGGCAGCGCTGCCTGTCGGGAGGGCTCTCCCTTGCCGTGGACCTGGCTATGATGACTTGGCCCCAGACGTGGCTGAGCCTCTCAGCAGTTCTTAACACACGATCAATTTTCAGGGATGCAGTCAGCATATTTTGGCAGAGAAGCACCTGAAAGCCAGCTCGGGAGTTACTGGGCAGGAACCAGCAGTTTGAAGGGATTAAAACAAACAAGACCTACCCAAAGTGTTTTGCTGATAGAACTGGCAGATAGAGAGGGCAGGTCTGGATATGGAGAGAAAAATAAACTTTCATCAATTTTGTTTTTCACACCACAATGAATGAACAATGGGTGCTGGCAATTAGAGCAATAACAGTAATAATGAAGAATGAAAGTTACACCAGTAAATGTAATTTCTAAATGTCAGATGGATATCAGATATATTCCTGTTTTAATGCCTAGAAGGTACATTAAAATCTAGGAAAGAATCCAAAATTAAGCAGTAATTTGTGGTGCTTTTCAAAGAAAAGAGTGAAGAAAGTATTTTTTAAATGAAAGTATTAAAATTCCCAATAGGGTTAATTGACTATTCTAATTTTTACTTCAAGTATATAAAAACACACACAAATATTACCCTGATCTTGATATGGATAAGAAGATAAATTACTTTCAACTTTGTTTTGCCTTTCGGATTGCTGCAGAAGCTCCTTAATAATATAGAAAGTGTATGGGGTGGCACCTGCCACCACACTAACCCCTGGGGAAGTCCTGCCCCCATCTTTTATTCTTCTTTGAGGAGACGAAGACATCACATATTCCCCAGAGGAGTAGAAGGTGACAGCCATAGATTACCCTTGTCCTTCCATCATTATTCCAAAATGATTGAGTTTTACATGTGGCTTTCTCTGTCAGCTGAGTAAGAACTCCGGGTCTTCCCACTGAGATGTAAGACTACTCAAAAGCATTGTCAAAATGTGTCCTGGAAGCCTGTGCTGGCATCATAAGCTACCAGCCCCTGCCTCAGCCCAGGGGTGAGTGGGATCCAACAGGAAGCAACCTGTCAGCTTAACACACCAAGCCAAACTGGCTATCCTTTTAAAAGCTGCCAGCATGATTTTTTCCTCATTATTTATTTTTTGTTGATAAGTAAAAACTGTACATATTGATGATGCACAACATAATGTTTTGGGATACGTATACATTGTGAATTCATCTCACGGTGACCCTCCTCCCCCAAGGGCTGGCATTTCTACTAGCGTGTTTCTTGGGGGAAGGGTCCTCCTTTGCTAAAACAGCGCGTTATGAAACTGTAGGCAAAGGGTTACTATTACTGCTCGTGACTGCCGGAGAAGTCAGAATTGTAAGTGAGCACACCTTCTCTGGTGTGTACTCAAGCCCTTCAACCACACAAGTTTTCAGGGATGAAACGCAAGCCGGCTGTCCACACGAAGGGGCATCGACGTTATCCCTGTTGTCCCATTAATCATATTTAACGCCTAAGTCTAAGAATGTTATCTTTGCTCCCAGTTCCAAGAGTGTATAATTTAACCGGAGCAATTTTCCCCAAAGTGTGAATCAGGCTCATACACTGTCTCTCTCAACTTCCTTTGTGCTTCTAAATTAGAAAACCAAAATGTCACTTTTCTCAGATATAAAATCCTCTCAAGGTCAATGTAAAAGAATAAAGCAATTAACTTCCTGGGTAAACCACAGTATGGTGTTAAGAACACCATACCTGAAAAAGCGGTTAAAAAATAAAATCCTTTCTACAAACGACACCCCTTGTTTGAGACCCAAATAATGAATGCAGTTCCCGAGGCTCCTGTCAAATGAACAACCAGGTAGGGGAGGCTGCTTCCCCCTCTGTTGCCAGCTGGCTGCAGGATGTGCTGTTTTTATGCTGCTGGGCACACTGATTGGCTGTTTGATGAGGCAGATCTGTGGCTAGTTTCTTTGCTTTTCTTTCTTTTCCTCCCTTTTTGATTCTTTCTTTCAAGTTTTGTAATAAATCAAGTTCCATTTCTGCATGTCCGGTGGAGCTATTACGGTCTAATAGGTAACATGAACTCTATTTGCTGACTACATAACATTTCGTTCTCTTATTGAGTCCAGTAATCAGGAAGAAACAGACCTATATTGAAGTGAAAAGAGAGGCAGCAAGGTTCCAACTAGTTACTCAAATCTTAACATTTTTTTTCCAGGTTTGATTGAAAATAGGGTTTAAAATTTGCCATCTCCTGCTTCTGCATAAATAAAATGCAAACACATTTTGATTTGTACATTTCTTTGCAATAGTCAGCACTGTGACTCAAAAGGGTAAAGGGAGCTGCTTACCATGTTTGATTAAATTTCAGAACCACAGCCTGATGCACACAGGACCCAGCCTAGAGCCCTGGAATTCTCACAACCATGGAGGCTCAACAGTCTGACCCATGACTAAAGGTCCTAAAACCCATCCAAAGGCAGTTAGTGGTTCTTCAGAGGAGCCTGACCTCAGAATACAAAATAGCATGGGGAACACAGCTGCCAGGTACACCAGGTATGCCCCCTTAACACATGTAGGGTACACCCCAAAGCACTTCCAGATCAAGGCCTCGGCTGGGCCCATCGCCTCAACAGCTTTTGCTTCAGTAAGAATGGGGCACACGTAACTGAAGGTCTGTGAAGTTTCTGTCCTCTCGATGGCCACAGGTGTGTCTGTACAGCTGTGAGCCATGTGTACCCACTAGACTTGAGGGAAAGACAAGCCTGTGGTTCAGAACTTCCCTTGAATTAAAACCCCTGGCAAAACTGGCAATGGGCTCTAATGAGGAGTGGATACACACAGACAACAGGTGTGGTCAGTAGCCCTCTCAGGCACCTTGGGTCAGCAGGTTCCAAGACTCCCCAACTGCGTCAACCCCCATCAAGTTACTCATTCTCATTACTCTCCAAATACATCTCCCACCAAATCTCTAGGCATTCACCTCCCCCACAAACGATGGCATTCCCCTTCTCCTTCCAATCTCACTGGTGAACCCACATTTCTTAAATCTGCTCTGAGAACTACAGAAAGACCTCAAAAAGCAGCAGGCTCTGCAAAAATTCCCAACTTCTGCCACAACGATACCCAGCTCCACAAAGGACGGGGCATGTCCTCCTCCCTCCTTTTGGGTGTAAAGAGGCACCCAATACTGAAAGTCAAGGAGGGTGCAGCTGGGTGAGGTGATTGCCTGGTGCTAGGGACTGGAGGGGCTGTGTGTAGATGAGAATAGGTGCTGCCTGCCACTGGTGCTTTGAGCCCACTCTTCCCCGTGAGCCTCTGTTGCAAATTTTCTCAGCCGTTTTGCAAGCACTTTTCTCATCTCTCCAGTCGGGGGTGGGGAGGGGGGGAGTGTTGGGGGAGAAGGGGACACCGCCCTGCTGCTTTCTTGTGCTGTGATGAATGCCTCAGGGTGACAAACAGTGACTCTCAGCTCAGTCTCATCGTCTCCTCGTGTAGGGCAAAAGCAGCCCACGGCTGGTTCCCACAGCCCCAGCTGGCAAGCAAAACCCTCAGGCACCAGGTGAGCCCAGCAGGGCGTGCCGTGGGCCGGAGAGCTCTGCAGGTGGTGGGAGGTGTGTAGGTGTAGGGGCCCGAGCAAGGGAGGGGATCACACCCACCCATGAGCTTGGCACAAGGCGGAGCAAACGAGGAACCGAGACTCAAGCTTTGCAACCCGCTGCTCTCAAAGGCTCTGGCAGGCTCACTCTCTCTGTGACTCATCCTGCTTCACTCTTAGGACTTTTTAATGCCTTTTATCTGCCACGAATGTTCTTGTCAGGGAGCTGGTAGGTGTTAGATGTTCAAGCAGACTCAGGGGTGTAAGCACACACACGGAGTCTTTTGAAAAGCACATTTGTCTCACTTAAAAACAACAAAAACAACACACCTGCCTGCCTTAAAATACTTCCCTGGGAACGAATAGCTTCCTCTGACTTCTGAGCTCCCATTTCACTCCCTTTAAATGAATGAGGACCTCCTCCTCAGAAGGACAGCCATGCCTTAGAACTGGACCCACAATGCCCCTGGAGAGGGCATGCTGGCAGTGGGACAGAAGCAAGGAGGAGCATACAGAACTTAGGATGGGACAACAGACAGGTTGGGCTGAGTTGGGACACTGGGGATGCTGGCCAGCCTTCATGAAGCCCCTGGCATTGGGGGTGTGCCTGACCCAGGGCCCTTCCAGGGACACCACAACAGAACTCTTCAGAAATGGCAAAGCAAAATGTGATGAAAAAGCAACTCGATTTCCTACCTCTCCTTTAATAATTGACCATGTAAGGTCGCTTCCCAAATTTTCAAGTCATTTAAAAATACCCCATGAAGTCACCCTGACCTAAGAAGCCTGAAGCCATTCACGTTCCTGGCACAGAGGTGGGAAGCCCACCCGACAGAACACATTCAACTCCATTCCACAAACACTTGGGGAAGAACAAGTAATGACTGCTCCCCTTAAGAGGCTGATGACCTCGAGAGGGAGGAAGGCAAGTATACGAAACTTCAGGGTATGGTGATGGACACAAGAGAGGTACCGAACATCAGGGAATACAGAGGAGGAATTCTTTCAAGCAGAAGAAATTAAGGAGAGCCCAGCAGTGAAGGAGGTATCTGGGCCTTATAGAACGACTCGGTGGGGAGAGGGGAGGGAATAGGAGAGGGATGGGGAGGGTCTTCAGGTGTCCAGGATGGCCAGTGCTGGCCCACGATGGGCCCGTGTGGGGCATATCTGAGGACTGTCAGCACCCAATGGGGTGGACACTGGAAGCTGTGGAGTGGCCAGCCTGATCCCCTTTGGAGGTGGCTGGCATAAAATGCCTTCTGTGGGGGAAGTGACTGGCCCTAGTGTGGAAGGTTGACTCTGGGGGTGGAGAGAGGAGGGTGAGGGCGATGGGGGTGAAAAGGACTGGTCAGCACTGAGAGACTTTTAAAGGTAGAATTCACAAGACTTGGGCTCCCGAAAGCAAGGCAGCAAAAGGAGTGTCCACCAGGGACAGGTTGAGGGTGGGTGGCTGGGACTTATGGCATGATGGGTTGTGGGGGCCGGGTGGGGTTAGGGCAGAAAATACACAGGAAACAGAAGGACCTCGGTCAAGCCATGTCTCCATTTGGGCCTCCTAGGTGGCAGGCAGGTGGCTTCTCCCCTGTGCCCTGCACACCCCAGCGCTGAGGTGAGGGTCAAGTGACAGACAAGAGGCCAAAGTCTGGCAGTTAAAATAACATGGCATCACCAAGTGCTGTGGGGCTTAAGAATACAGACCAAAAGAGAGCTCAAAATAAGGATGCCTGTGGGGCCACACAGGAAACAGGAGCACAGGAGGCCATTTTAAAAGCAAAGGAAGCTGAGAACCCAACTCAGAAGCCTGGCCTCTCCCAGCCACAGATGGGAGACCCGCGCCGGCAGCCTGGGGAAACTGGTCCTCTTGCCTCCAGGGGGAAGGGTAGTGTGCTGCTCTGACCTGGAAAGATCTGGGAGGATTAAGGAAGCAGGGCCTGTCTTCAGGGAGTGTCAGGACTTTACAGACCTTATTTTTAGATTAATGTGATGATGCTATTAATATTCCCGGCTTCCCAGCAAGAAAGAGGCTATCAGGCATGCTCACCGCCTGTTCTCTCCTCAGCCACACACCCTCCCCCTCGCTACCTGCAAGTCGGTCCTGATGCCTCCATTTTCAAGCCATAGCTCCATAAAGGGTCTGGCAGGGACCCTGAGGCTCACAATAAGGGCTGGGAGTGGAAGCCCAGGGTCCTGAGCCCTAGAAACCCCCATTCCCTGCTATTTATCCATAGAGTCTCCACAGAGCACTCTGAGGTGTGCAACTATCTCACAGGAACCCCACCGCCACGACCGTAGGGGGTCTATGCAAAATAAAACCACCAAACTTTTACCTCACACTACAGATTGCACGTACAAAGCGGGGAAATGCAAGATATATTCCAAAAAGGCTATTCCCAGCCCTGGCTGGACTCTTGGCTGAATCAATCTGCTTGGCTTCTTTTCCAGAGACCGAAGAGAGGAAAAGTGATAAAAGACCACAATTTACTTCATAAAGTAACTTGGTTTTCTTACATAAACACATGCTTTTCAATGGAATGTTTAGCTCATCTCATTAATTCTTAAACAACCAGAGGGTATTCTATCTTAGGATACTGCAATTGGGTAAATACCACTTGACCACTTGTTTAAAAAAATGAGATGATTAGCCAAAAGAATGTAGAGAGTCTATCCCCAGGTTATGGTTCACAGAATACTGTCTCAAAACAACTCAATTTCAGAAAAACCATCCATATGTCAAAAATGACAATAAAGTATCATTCAAAGAAAGAAATGATACACTCTGTGGTTCTATTTGCAGCCTTTGTCAAAGGCCTATATATTTACTTAATTTTCTTGACCTGTCAGAAACTTTTCTTGCCTTCTTCCTTTATCAAAAATATTACCTTTTGTGCCATTTGAGGGAAAAGGACTATATGCTTTCAAAACTTTACAAAACAAAGAACAAAAGCAAACAACACTTTAAAAGTACCCATCAGGTACTGAAAAATATCTACAGCACTGAGAAACTTAATCTCATGCTTATTTTAGATTGTCTTGTATTATCATTAGTGGTTTCTTGTGTTGTAATCAATTATATTTCATATTCTATCTCTTGATTTAGACGGTAAGGTGTTTGAAGCAGCAAGTATTTTCTTTTCAGCATTCTCCAACACAGTCACCTGGCATTTTTTGTACAGGCAACATGCAATAACTATTTTTTTGAGACAGGGTCTCACTCTGTCGCCCAGGCTGAAGGGCAGTGGCATAATCATGGCTCACTGCAGCCTTGACCTCCTGAGCTCAAGTGTTCCTCCTGCCTTAGCCTTCCGAGTACCTGAGAATACAGGTGTGCACCACCATGCCTGGCTATTTTTTTAAATTATTTTTTGTAGAGATGGGGTCTCACTCTGTTGCCCAGGCTGGTCTTGACGTCCTGGGCTCAAGTGAGCCTTCTGCCAGGGCCTCCCAAAGTACTGGGTTTATAGACATGAGCCACAGTGCCCAAACCTGCAATAACTTTTTGAATCAATGAATAAATGATTAAATGAATGGCCAGGTTAATTAACTGCAGCTTTAGTAGAGCCAGCTATGCTTTCCTTTTTTTTTTTTTTTTTTAATGAAAATATTTCGGGGTAACTGGGAACTGATGGGAGAATTTGAAAAATACTGGTTAGGAAAGATGGCAAATGCATAGTACTTGATTAAATCCTCCTCCTTTTCGTGCCCTTGGCAGACATTAATAATCAGTTATAAGACTCTTGCTGAGCGTTGATTAGGCCTCAAATTTCATCTCAGATGCCAAGCTCAATCAATCCGCAGTAGCTGCCCTAAGTGCTATGTAGAGAAGGATCCATTTGCCTTCTCTGTGTTAGATCCAGATTTTTAAAAGCAACACTTTACTGAAAAAGGAAGGCAGGGTTACTTCTCTGGATTTAATGTCACTTCTTTTATTTTTAAATCCCTTCTTCCTTCCGGGCACTGATTTTTCCCCCGCTTGATATCCTACCCCATCCTGTTTAAACAGAACTGTCTGGTAATCAAATTGCTTTTCCTTGCCAATGCTCTTTGTTCTTGCCTGGTGTCCAGGCCCCCGTCCATGTGGGATCTCACCCCCATGCTCACCATCTCCCACATCTACGGGACGTGACAGCAGGGAGCTGGAGACATGACCATGGGAAACACTGGATCGTTTTCCTGGGCTCCTCAACAGCTTCAATCTACAAAATCTTGGATTTGCCCTTAAAACTCTCAGCACCCCAGCTTTGATCCTCAGCATTGAGGGTCCCCTTCACTTACTCTAGGGTTGGGGTCAGATGGCTCCAAGCTGGACCCTGGGCCACTGTCATGTCTAAATCTGCTCTCTGCTGCCTACTGTCTACCTTTCTCCCAGGGACGTGAAGCTTCGCTGGAAAAATGGGAGTGATTCTTATAGGGACACAACGTGAAGGTTTCTGTGCATGGGCATATGAAGACACCGGGGCTACCGGTCAAAGAGGCGTGTGAAACCTGATAAAATGTGATGAGCTGATAGGAAGAAAAGAAAATAAGACCTTGTCCCTGCCCTCTGGAGACTTACACTCTCACAGGGCAGATGTGGCAAACCCACGTGGCAGGATGCCTGAATTAAAGTATTAACTCGGCTGCCTCATCTTGGCCAGCAGGAAGATTATTAAAGCATGAGAGGGGTTTCTTGCTCCCCTCTCCTGGGGGCGAGCTGGGAAGCAAGAAGACCAGGGACTTTGGCATCCAGAGACAGGTTAAGAGGTTTCTATTGGTTATGTTTTCCAATCCAACAGGGAAAGAGCTAGCTAGGTAAGGGAGGCGGCATCTCAAAGGCTTGAACAGGCAAAGTGGAGCCTGGGAGAAGGGATCTGTAATTGGAGGAGGCTTGGGCTCTGCTCCCTGGCACTCCTGGAGAAGCTCTGGGGAGCTGGAGACTGAACTCTATAGGCTGTTGCCACAGGAGCTAGTGGGCAGGTCCTGGGGCCTGACCAGGCAGGGAAGGACAGCATGGCAGCCAGAGATGCTGTGTACGTCACTGGATTATCGCCTTGAGATGGTATGCAACCCTGCAGTGACCATGAGGGCCCTTCTCAGAGGTTCTGGTCTGCCCTCCAGGACTTGTACGGTCTCATCAAGATGGATGTCATCCTCTCAAGATGACATGTCAGCAGAGGCATGAAGTCACATGTATTTTTAATTTTTTTTACTTGGCCCAGTCATGATGTTTTGTGAGCCCTGTCATCGAAGGTCCTCTTTATTATATTATTTAATAAGAAACAAATGCTCATGTGTTTAATTTAGAAAAAACACAATGAATTTCTTGCTGGTGAGTGTCATGGAGCAAATGTGAGCTTATTCCAAGGAGGTAAAAAAATAAACAAACAGGGTTCTGGGGTTGTTCTGCAGGTGAGGGTAGTGGTGGTGCAAGGACCTGAATCCCTCAGTCAGGAGAGTTAGAACAGGTCAGCTTCTATATGAAGGTGAGTCCTGTGTCCGGACACTCAATTTTGGCTTAGATTCCCTTAGCCTTGACTTATTAACTTGTACTTTCACTCACACAAAAGCATTACATTGAATCAAAATATTCGTCTAAGTCCAGATCCAAATATTAAAACGCAGGGGTGGGAGAGGTGGCTACCATCGAGAGCACCTACCACGTGCCATGCACTGCCGGGCGCCTTATCTTTACTATCTCTAATTGCCATGATCCCCAAGAGGAGGTATTACTGTCTCACTTGTACAGATAAGGCACAAAGCAGAAAATGGGCTAGAAAAGTTAAAAAACTTGCCAGTAGTCCCACAACTGGTAAAACCTGGAGTCAGGCTTCAAACCAAGCTTGGCTGGACTTCGAGCTTCTCTTTTCAGACACTTCATCAGGTCACCTCTCGGCTTCCAAATGGCTCCAAGGTTGGATGTCAGTGGAAGGATCTTTGGGGCAAATAATTTCCTTATTTTGAAAAACATCTGCCCAACTGTGAAAGAAAATCAGTGTCCTGCATTCAATCCTGACTTTGCCTCCTATTCACTGTGTAATAAGGGGCATGGCCTCTCTGAGAGCATTTCTCATCAGGCAGAAGAAAGTTCACCTCTAGTGCGGCCAGGATGAAGAAGAGCCTGGGGTCAGGTTCTAGAATCAGGTCAACACCCTTAAAGAAAAGGCTGCTGGAATTTGGAATATTTTAATCTATGTGATTAAAAAAACTAGCGTATGACAGCAGGTGCCTTTTTATTAATTTAAGATCTTATCTGGGCTGTGAGTTGCATTTGTTTCCTTTACAGGAACGTGGCTGGGGCTATGCTGTAGACCACTATTGCTGGCTCTAGTGCAGGGATTCAGCTGTGTGCATGGACAGGTGTATTTCCTCGTTGAGGCAACTGGCCATACGGTTAAGAGTGGAAACCCTGAGGACCCTGGGAAGGGTAGCAAACCAAGCCCTGCACTGGCTGAAGTTCCTTCCAGGAGGCCCGGACTCTGGATACTGCATGCACGCGTACGCTATTCTGTCAAATGACCCAGACTTGGGGAATACACTGGCCACCCAAGAGCTAAGTCAACCTTAGAAGGGGGAGATTGGAAAGCGACAGCCAGTGAGATTGATGGCAGAGTTCTTGTGCCAAAAGGTCCTTCATATAGCAACGTGCTGTATGCCAGTGGTGCTGTGCTAGTAAGGGAATGAAGACAAGGCCAGCCCTCGTATCAGGAGTGGGGTATTTCTTGGAGGGCATATAACTTCATACTGCCAGAGCTGGTGCAGAAAGTGAGTACTTGAAGGGCAGGCTTCTGGGCTGGGGAAAGCTAGTGTCTCAGAGGCTGGTCATTCCTCCAGTTGGGGAAGAAAGGAAGATAGGTATCCTCCACCTGTTGGGAGGGCAGCAGTGGGCAGAGGTGCTCAGTGGGTGGTGCCTGTGGAGGGGCAGGATCTATATCTGGTGTCTCCTTCTCCATTTATCTGTTACTAGTCCCTTGTTTTTAACAGCTGCACTGCTGATCTGGGTTTAAATGTGCCAGGCTGATCTTGGCTGTGCTAGAGGAGTGTGGTCTAAGTCAAAGAACGCACAGCCTCTCCCCTCCCGCCAGGCCACACAGTGGCAGCAGCACCAGTGCCAGGGAGGCTGGTGGTCTTGGCCTTGCAGGGGGATGAGCCAGGGACCAGCAGGGTCCCTCAGGCAGGTAGGGGTGAGGGTAGAGAACTGGCATGGGACCTAGGCAGGATGGGTCTGCAAAACGCCTAAATGTCCCCCAGCATGGTGGAGGGCTTTGTGGCTGGGGAACTGATTAAAGTGGGATGGAGTAGATGGTAAAAGAGGAAATGTGTTCGTAGTTTTTCACCAGGTTGGTGGGGCTGCAAGGCAGTTGCTCTCTACACTTCTTGTCTGTCTCTAGAGCACCTGGCCATAGAGAATTGGCTCCTTGCTGGGCAGATACTGCTCTGGATGTGTGATGCAGGTCCAAGGGATAGTGGAGGAATGGTGGCTGCTTGAAGCCCATCTTAAACAGGGAGCTCCCACAGGGCCCCAGTTACCCTGAACCACAAGGCAGAAGTTTTGGCCTGAAAACATTTAATTGCAGACTAAACTCATTTGGATAAACAGAGGTCTCCAGTTTCTCCCTCTGTGGGTGTCCTGTGGTCACCATTTCCTTTGCTGTCTTGGGGTAGGGAGGGATTAGGAACCCACTGATAAATTAAACCCAAGGGTTCCCATCAGTGAAACTCAGAGCTAAGTCCCGGGGAAGGGGAGGCTGTGCCATTTTCCTTGATGGGCCTCTCTCCAGCTCCTGCCCCTCCTCCTCTCCCGGCTTCTTCTTCGATCTGTGCTGAGACCTGACACGCAGCTTCTCTGACCCTTGACATGGGCTGGCATCCCCCACAAATCTGAATCTTCCCCCTCCTCCTCTTATTACCTGGAGCAAAGAAGAGCTCAACAATTGATTTTAAATGTGTTATCATCGGGGTCCAGTTTGCATTTACTTGGTTTCTTTGAAATTCAGAAAAGACACAGTCTTCACCCCTTTAAAAAAATCAAATTTCATTTTGGATCACGCCTCCATTTGCTTCTCTGTAAAATGAAGGTGGGAATCAGCCAGGCAACTCCATAAGATACCATGCAGCTCTAAAGCTGATTTCATATCCCACACCCTGCAGCGGCTTATTAATAAAAATGTATTAACACTGACCTAAAGCTCAAGACGAAACACATTTCCACAGCCGCAGATGCGTGGAGCTTGTTGCATCAGCAGCGTTGTGCAGACAGTGAAGGGTTTGTTGGGGAATTATATCAGGCTCCCACCAGGGCCTCCTTGGCTCTGTCCTTTGTACCAGTGACAGTGCAGATGTGCTGACTGGCGAGGGGTGGAGTGAGCAGCCACATCAATACTGGAGATGTCTGAGGATGTGTTAATGACTGATTCAGAGCCGTCAATGGCACCATGGAAGGCCCTTTGTGATGGTCCCAACCCGGGGTAGGGATATAAGGACCAGCAATGAAGGACCCATTTCAATTCAACAAAAATGTATTGAGGCCTCACCAGGTGCAGGACACTGCGCTCAGCTTGGGGAGAGGCCGGCAGAGAGGGACAGAAGACAGACAGTGGTGTCAGGGCTGCAGCTCAACAGTGCTTAAGTCAGCTGAGCCCCTGGCATCGCACTGCACCGATTGAACAGCGAGGTTCTTTGCACACCATTGTTCCAGCAAGTCAAACGACTTACTTCTAAAGGTGGGGGCTGTGCCCTTTGAAAGTCCCAAGAAACAAATGGGCCCACTTTGGCTTTCTGCTCAGGATGGCCTGTTCTGCAGCACCTCGTGCTGACTGACTGCCCCTCTGTGACATGCGGCAGTGCGGATGTCACAGAAATGTAAAAATGCCCAGAGGGTGCCAATGTCCCCACCAAATGCTCTCTTCTCTACACTCCGGTAATCTCCACTTAGCGTGGTCCACAGAGCGCACATGTAGACAGACGCCCTTCCACCGTTAGCTCTTACATTTTCACATGTGAATCTCAGTGGTTGAATGACACGTTGATTTCTGAGTGGACTAAAGTTGATATTTGAAATTGGATTAAGCATTCCAACCTGTAAGAGTTAAGTCATCCTTAAAGTGTGAAGACTGAAAAATAACATTGAATAAAATTATAGATAAAATTCCTTTAAAAGCAGGAAAAATCTGACAAGAGCCAAAAGGGACTTTATATAATGATATGTAAAAATATTTATTACAAGGAAATAAAATAAAAATATCTACTTATTTACTCTAGTTTTAAAGAAGTTAGAGCAAAGACACAAGTTGGCCAAAATCATCAATTTTATCCCCAAATCAAATCCTCTTATAAAAACTATTACCAGAAGATCTCTGTTTAACATCTCTAAGCCCCGGTCAATACTTTGATGCCATCATGTTCTAATACAAGTGATGAACCTAGAGAGTCTCCTGGAATTTGCTGCTGTGGGGTTTAATCTGTATTAAAGTTCTTATCTTTGATGGAGAAAGGTTTGTGGGGGAAGCCCTGATCAAACCCGACAGTTCTGCCTACAGAACACCAATCAACTCAGTGCTTGGATCTGGAAGACATTTCACAGAACTGCAGAGTTTTTGCACTACTGAAATGACCTTGAAAACCCAGGCAAACAGGCTCCAAGGTAGAAAAGGCATCTTCCATTTGGGAAAGAAGAAATGCTTTGGCCAGACATTGCTCAGAGGTCAGAGGTTCATTTTTGGTAATCTCAGTTAAGTCCCTCACTAACAGGACCCCTCACCAAGGTGCTGTGAAGTCCCCAGTGGCTGGCTTCAAGTGTTGGTGGGGTAAGACCTTATATTGGTAGGTTGCCTGTGGGGTGACAGATTGAGAGCAGGTCATCACTCCCACCTATGCCCATGGAAGACATTACTAATCAATCAGATGCAACCTCAAACCTCCTAACACTGATCTCAGGCAGCAACTCACTTCTGCACACCCTACTGTGACAAGGAAAATCCCCCAGGCCAAACCCAGAAAGCAATTTCCTCATCAACAGCTTTTGGACCACAAGCCTAGGGTCACCGCTAAAGAAAGTCAATTACAAAAGCTTTGTGCTTATAGGTAGCATTCAGAAGTCTGCCATTAGTCATGTTTAGAATTCCAAGAATGGACTTGTATGAAGAAGGCTGGCTCAACAAACTTGGTAAAAATACCAACAAAACCCAATACACTGGGCCCTTTGTTTATCTGGGCTGTTCATACAGAAATGTTCCAATTCAGAAGTATTTACAAAGAACTGAAATGACCATTCACCAAAGACCTCTTGGGTTGCTCTAAAGTGATTAAAATGGAGGGACTGGCCACTAGAGATGACTGATAAAACTTGAATTATTTGCAAGCCAGAACCTTCCTGCCAAACTGCATTCCACAGATAACTAAGGAAGTCACACAGGGTCTAAAACTGCTTGTGTGGTGGCTGGCTCACCTCCTCGACCCCCGCCACAAGCCTCCCTTGGTTAATAAAGGTGGAACCCAGAGACCATTCTGAAGACTGCATAAGACCCTCCTACCCCTTTGATCCGGGGAACCTGATGCTTAACAGAGGAATGGGCATCTGAAGCTTTCCACAAACATGTCCATGCTGTTAACTGAACGGTATATAAAAAATGTGGATGCTAACAATACTTTTGGACCCCAGCTAGGTTGCAGAAATCTAGCAAGGTTTCTCCAGGTCCTAAGCCCTCCCCTATGGAGATGGAGCAGGTTTCACTGGTTACAGAGAATCAGCAGTGGACACCAGTAATCAGAAGATATCATTCACAGCCAGATTTTTTAGGCACAGTGCTGTATCACACAGTAACTTGAAACTAATAAGAGGTAATAACGTGTTAAAATTTTAAGAATAAGATTGGCTTCTAAAAATATCATTGCCAAGTCTACCCATATAATCACATCCCTTGCATTCCGACGAGCCTGCTGGAGTGGGAAAGGGGGTGAATTTTGGTGACTGCCAGGGAACTGCTCATGGTGGGCAGCCTACTTTGTCTATGCCATGGCCCTTAGTGGTTCCCATTAATCGTGTCCTATTAATACTGGTGGCAGTTACTAAGTACCTTCATGCTTTATTTTCATATCCAAGATGTTTGTTCTTAGTTTTGTTGGAATCAAAGGATACCCATGGAAGTTTATTTCACATGTCAATATTACCTAGTGCCTATGTCTGTGGTGGGGGTAGAGGGACAAGAATTTTCTCTGAAGCAGTCAGAATTCTTTTGATGGAGAACTTGGAACTGGAAGAAGTAGGTCATTGCTTGGCACAGCTGGTTACAGCTCAGCCTGGGGATCCTAAGGTCCCACCTGGCTGGGAGGACTTCCAGGTTCAGGTCAAGTCTATGCATCTTTCAAAGCCTTCTCCTCTCAATATGGTTTTCTCAGGTGTTTTTAGTACAGAAAGGAGAAGGCACTCCTGGTCTACCTGAATCATGGTGCATGTGGAGGCTGTAGTTCTGCCTGCAAAGCAGTTGGGTTTTTGGATTTACAAAGCAAGTGCAAGCAACAAGGGCAGACTTTCCAGGGGCTGAGTCTCAGAACTAAGAGGTCGAACCACCGAAAATGACCTTCACAATCATGAATCTATTGTCTTATTCTCACCCTTTGACAAGGAAAAATACACAGTGAAAAAAACTGGATTATAAAACACTGTTCAACATAATCATAATTTAGTAAACCAAAAATGTATGCAAATACTTATAGAAAGAATACTGAAACAGCAAAATATTAATGGTGGTCCCTTTGACTTTCTCCCTCTGCCATTTTTGGATATAGAATGATAACACTAGCTGTGTTGTACCCCCTTCAGGAAGTTCTTCACTCTATTATGCACATACAGAGGCTAACAATATACGGAAAATGTTACATCTCACACCCTTAGACTTCTGCAGGAAATAACCCAAGGGCTACCAAGTTCACACCAACATACCATACAATGCTGCAAGGAAGATTATCATACTTGATTGTAAAATTGATACTTAGTTTGAAGCCCTCTTAACATTTTCATCCATTCCACCAAAAATTAATCTTCTCTGTTCTATATTAATGGTGACTGGCTAACAAAGGAATCTCTACAATTGATTATAAAATTGATACTTAGTTTGAAACCTCTTAATATTTTCATCCATTCCACCAAAAATTAATCTTTTCTGTTCTATATTAATGGTGACTGGCTAACAAAGGAGTCTCTAAACTTGTTTGAGCACATGACCTCAATGGTAAAAGAGACTAATCATAACACAGACTTACGCATATTTATTCATAAAGTGGGTGCATGTATACTTACATGTTAAGTCCATTATCAAATGTATGAGAATGGAACTGTTCTAGTCCAATGGTCTGTATTTTTCCTGTACCACACTGGGTTATCTTGTGTGTGCCTGACTTTGGAGATCTAGAGTTTAAACACCAGAGAGAAAAAAGTGGCCAGCATAATATGGCTGATGTTAATTTGCTACCTGGGAGGCTTCCTGGGCAGGGATCCAGAAATCTCCACCATTCACCCCCTCGCATGCATAAGGGCTCCACCAGCCAGCACCTTGGAAACCCCCAACCAGATGTGTACAGTGGACTCAACCATCTGCACCTGGCAGGTCACCAGCAGGAACTCATTCTTTCCTGGGCTGAAAGTCCCTTCCCACAGAGAGGCTCAGGGTGGCTGTGACTGGGGACTTCACAGTTGGCTGAGGGCCAAGGAACCTCTGCGAATGAAGCACTTCCCTATTTTTTCATATGGTTTGTCTAGAAGATGACTAAATAGAAAAGCTTTGGTGATTCTTCTTTTTCTGCTCAGCACTCAAATATAAACAGTGGTCAGAGTAATAATAATCATAGGTTTTGGAATGTTTTCATAAAAATTTGATGTCAATTAGGACATTCAGGAAAGCTAAAAACACCTCGGTGTAATGCCACATCCAGATTTGCCTTTAAAATCGTGAATAAAAAATGCTGAGAATCTGCATGGTTTTCTAGTTCCTCCAAACAAGTTCTGAGTGACAGGGGATAGCTCATTAAGTTCAATTCTGGGGAGATTAGAAGTTTAAAAAATAATCAACCCTAAACTAATGTGACTCCAAAACCAAGTCTCATAAAATGTCTGTTAACCTTCAATTCCATCTTTGCCAAGTAGAAGCTCTAAGAGTGTCTGGGGTTCCCAGCACCTCATCTAACATCCAGTGCTAGCAGAAAGCAAGAACACAGTCCCTCTGCTGAAGAATGAATGAGCAAACGAATGATCACTTGATAGCCTGGAGTTCATTATTGAGGTACAGACGTAAGCCTATATGTTCTAGTGGTTTGTTTTAGAGGCTTTATTTATTTATTTATTTTTACTAGATGCTGGAAAGACAGATGAAAGTAATGATGCCTTCTAACTTCAAAGAGCTCACAGACCAGTGAGAAAAAAAGAAGGTGAGCAGAGAACATCAACCTAGGGTGCTCTCACGAGGGTCTGAACACGTTGCAGGAGGTTGTGGAGGAATGCTTAACATGGGTGCAGAAAGGTTTCGGTGGGGGCCTGGCCCTTGGGGCCAGGTAGTGATGGGTGAGGGAACTGGTCAGCCTGTGCAGCTGGGGCTGGAGGGCCATTCCCAGCACAGCAATCAGCTCGTGGGGTGCACAGAAGCACAGTGTGACTGGGAAGGGTGACAAGTCCAAAGTGCTTAGGCCCAAAGGAAAAGGTTGCCTGCCTGGGAAGCACCACGCAAGCTAAGGCATTTTCATTCTACCCTGCAGGCAGTGAGGAAACTAGAGGTGGTTTTAAGTAGGACACAGAGTCTCCTTCCTTACTTTTTTTTTTTTTTGAGATGGAGTCTCGCTCTGTCGCCCAGGCTGGAGTGCAGTGGCCAGATCTCAGGTCACTGCAAGCTCCGCCTCCTGGGTTCACGCCGTTCTCCTGCCTCAGCCTCCAGAGCAGCTGGGACTACAGGTACCCACCACCACGCCCAGCTAATTTTTTGTATTTTTAGTAGAGACGGGGTTTCAGTAGAGACGGGGCTTCACCGTGTTAGCCAGGATGGTCTCAATCTCCTGACCTAACAGGTGATCCGCCCACCTTGGCCTCCCAAAGTGTTGGGATTACAGGCGTGAGCCACTGCTCCTGGCCTCCTTCCTTACTTTTTTAAAGCATGACTGGATTTGAAAAGAAAAAAAAAGATTACCAATGTGAAAAAAGAAAATACCCAAAAATAATGTATCTGCTAAGATAGGTTAAAATATAATCTTTGTTCTTCTATATGAAGATATCAAATTCTAAATCATTAATAATGGGGCAGAATCACCTTTTAATTGATCAGAATTAATCCAGTGCTGAGCACAGCTATCTGGACATGGTGCACACTCTGTGGACATCTGTTATAGTGAACAATATGAGTTTAAGCTTTGGAGAGAACCAAGTTAAAGGGGTCTCACTTTTTATGGGTATCATAACTGAACACTACCTTGAGAAACTGACTACAGATGTCTAGAAATGTGTGCTGGATAATGTTTCAATGGAAACCACTGTATACAAAGAATGACTTTGATTTCTCAAGAAGAATATATGAAAACATAAAGCAACAAGTCCTATTATGTTAAAACCAGGAAAATAACAGCACCGTGCATGCTCATGAAATACCACAAAAACGACTTCTCTGGTTTCCCCTGTCCTTATAGCCATTAAGGAAAAGGCAGCATATTCCTCAGAGTTTCTGGCCCAGAAACCCACGCCTATTGGTTGGAATGACCTGCCATCTGCCATTCTGAGTGGCATGCTTCGGTGACACTAAGAAGGGAGGTTTGCATGTTGGCTACAGGGTGGTGAGGTTTATGGGTTGGAAATTACTGGAATTCTCTGCATGTTCTAGTCTGTAGGAAAGTAACAGGTAGGAACTCTGAGGAAGGTTTTCTCCATGCTGCAGAAAGGGCTCAACTCCATGAAGTCCCTATACCAAAAGCAGGGCTGTGTCTAGCGGCTGTGGGAGGCAAGAAGGTAGGAGTTACCCTTGGTAGGACTGGCCCATCATTTAATGTGCCCTGGACACATAGCCACGTGGGGAGAAGAGGACAGCTGGTGCTCTGCTCTCTACTGCCCGCTTCTAGGTACTCAGAAGCACCAGAGTTAGCTTCCTAACCCAGCGAAATCCCCTCATCATATCCAGCCCCAAACACTCACCCTGCATGTGCCAGCCAGCTGACTTTCATAACCTGCGTTTTGCCCGTCCAGATGTCAATGAAGATGATGTCAAGTGGATTTTTACAATCCTCAAACACTGGCAGGCTTCTTCCAAAATTCGCAAGTAAACATTGGAGGTAACTTAATGAAAGTTTGTTGCCTTGCTGCTTTGACATCAAACACTGGCCCTAAAGTCAGGCTTTGCTTTTATACGGCTACTTTGAAAATATAAATAAAGTTCTCTTCTACCTCCAGAACCAGAATCTCCCACCTGTACCCTACATGGAACAACTTGGAGCAAGGAGAGGAGGCTGAAATGGACAAAAGCTTTTTTTCCTGACTAAGAAATCCAAGATGGAACAAAAACCCAGTTGAGCACTACAGATTGAGTCAAGGACTCCAGTTTGCCCAGAATGGTGGGCTCCAGTCACAGAGATCACCTTATTCAGTGAGGGATCACTACAAGGTAGGAGGGGAAGACTTGAACTTCCAGAGAGTCAAGGGCAGACAGAGTTCTGCAATCCTGTCCAAAGCAGTAGCACGAAGTACCACAGCTGGAAAGCCCCTTACAAATAACGGTGCAGCCCTTTCATTTTACATATAGGCATATGTAAAATGCCTTCCTTCTTTGGGCCTCGGTTCCCTAATGTGACAAGTGACCAGGGCAGAGTACCGAGGATAAGAATCTTGGGTATCTTGGTTGTTGAATAATTCTTTTTACCAACACACCAAGCTGCTTCCAGATATGGATAATCACTTTTCACCTCCCAGCTCAGAGAATGCCTTTAAAACATATTCAAATCCTATGCAGTCTAAAAGCTTGACAAGAATTCTTGTTTTGGCAAGATTCATGAATTGATAGTCCACAGAAGAGCACATTCAAATGGCCAACAAACACAAGGAAGGATGCCCAACCTTAGGGGTTGTCAGGGAAACGCAAGTCACAGCAACGATATGCTATCGCTGTCACTCTTTTTAATTTTTACCAATCTGATAGGTGAGAAATCCCACTGCTGGTGGGTCAGGCTGGGTATGGCTCAACATCACGGGTGGAAATGTAAATTCATTCAATTATTTAAAAAGCAATCTGATGACATAGGTTTCCACTTAAAACACACAGTCCCTTACACTTGGATCTCACCTCTGACAGTCTTTCCTTTGGTAGACACTGTTGGGTTGGTTTCCTACTCAGCATCCATTTCCCCTCTCCTCTAACAGAAAGCTAGCTTTCTTATGTATCCATCCCTACCCCCTACACAACTCACCCGATCTTCACCTACAGCTTCTCCCAAGGACCTATCACATCTAAGAGTGATCCTATCCCCTTGTGCATGATTGGCTTGGGAATACAGGCCTCAGCCATCACTGCTGGCATTCTCCTGGCCCCATGGTTAGGTTTAGGATTGGACATATAACCTACCCTGGACCAGTGGGACTACAGCAGAAGTTTTCTAGGGGCTTCTGGGAAAGATGGTCCCTCATTCTTCCAGGAGACACCAGAAGTCCCCCTCCTCCTTTGGCTGTTATTGCATTCAGTGGCCAGGCCAGCAGTGACCGCACCTACCTTGCCTTTTGTCTGAGAATGAAGCACAAAAGGAGAACAAGAACTTACATGAAACCACATCTGCATGCACTCTTGTCACTGACCTTCCGTGCCAATGAATCCCTTTTGTTTTCTTTGTGACTTACGAATATTTTAAATACAGAGAAAGGTACATGGAATAAAGTAAAAAATACCCAAGTACCCACAACTCAGCTTCCACAAATGTTCACGTTTTGCCACATGCTCCAGTTTTCTGTGCTAAATCAAACTTTACAGACACATTTGAAACTCCCTTTGCAGGTTTTAACTGACTTCATTCCTCTCCCTCCCTCTCCAAAAGCAATCGCTTTGTGAAGTTGGAAGGTAACCTTCCCTTCCTTTTTAGTATTTATATTACATATGTATTAGGTTGAACGATAAGAATTGGCCAATATCCACCTTTTTACCTACATATTTTACCTACACATATGTATTGCATATAGCTAAACCCCATATACCTACAAAAGTTTCTTTTATAAATGGCATCATTGCAGTCACCACTACAATTTTGGGGTTTACCCATATTGATCCCTATCATTTTAACAGACACTCTGAATTGCATTGATTAGAGGTGCCATAAAGTATGTCTTAATCTCCTACAGATGGATATTCAGGTTGTTTTCCTTTTTTTTTTTTTCCTGTCACAGGTGCTGTGATTGACATCTTGGTGCATCTTCTTGTGCAAATAGAGGAGTTTCTCCAGAGTAGAAAACCAAAATGGAGTTGCTGGGTAGTGGGTAGTCTTCAGATTTGCTAGACGCTGCAGCTCCGTCTGAATTTAAAAGCCTGCCATCCAGGTATGAGGTTCTACTTCAGTGCTTCCTCTCAGTTTTGTCAGATGTCAACATGTTAACTAATCTGTTGGCTGTGAAATGGTTGCTTTTGGAGGCTTTAATGTGTATTTTCCTGATTACTAATTGAGCATCTTTTCATGTTTATGGATTATTCAGTTTTCCTTTTCTGCAAAGAGCTTTTGTCTATACTTTGGCCATCTCTCTACTGGTTTGTTAGTGATTTTCTTTTCTTTCTTTTTTTTTTTTTGAGATGGAGTTTCACTCCTGTTGCCCAGGCTGGAGTGCAATGGCACGATCTCGGCTCACTGCAACCTCCGCCTCTCAAGTTCAATAAATTCTCCTGTCTCAGCCTCCTGAGTAGCTGGGATTGCAGGCACCTGCCACCACGCCCAGCTAATTTTTTGTGTTTTTTAATATAGACGGGGTTTCACCATGTTGACCAGGCTGGTGTTGAACTCCTGACCTCAGGTGATCCGCCCGCCTCGGCCTCCCAAAGTGCTGGGATTACAGGCGTGAGCCACTGCACCTGGACTGTTTGTTAGTGATTTTCTTACTGAATCCTGGGAGGCCTTTGGGTAGCCTGAATTAGTTTTTTGTTACATGTTGCAAATATCTTCTCCCAATGAAGGTCTTGTATTTCCACCTCTTAAAAATGGTTTCTACTGTCATTCGTAAGTTTTAACTTTTATGTTATGAAAATTATTAATTTTTTCCTTTTATCTTTGTGCTTTTTGTATGTGTCTCGTGTAAGAAATCTTTCCCTCCCTGAGGTCATAAAAATATCTGCCTGTTTTTTTGTAAACATTTTAAAACTTTGTCTTTCACATTTAGGTCTTAGATCCATCTGGAATTTATTTTTGTTGTGAGATATGAGAAAGCTATCTACTTTCATGTTTCCCTATATAAAAAAATCAGTCTTTCTAGCACAGTAAACTGACTTGGCTCCCTTCTCCCACGATTGACAATGCCACCTCTGAAATATAACTCAGATGTGACCCTAGGCCAGAAGGTCAGACTAGAGAAACCAAATATGACATGTTGATCTCTGAAAAATACCATATTAAAAAATATCTTTATGAAAAAAAGAAAAACCTATTTCATTGGGCAAGACTATCTTCTTTATTCTTTGTCTTGGTTTTTCTTGGCCCTTTAGTCTTCTACAAGAACCTTAGGATTCCTTGTTAAATCCTGTGAAAAACTTTTTTGACGCTTTTGTTGAAATTTTACTGAATTAACATATTAATCTGGGGAAACTTGCCATTTTTACAGGATTCATTTATATTGCCATTTATTTAGTCATTCTCTCTTGGCTTTCAAAAAATTTTAAAGTTATCTCTATACACATCTTACTTGTTATTAGATTTATTTTTGAGTTTCTTAGTATTTAGAATAAAATCTTTTACATTTCATTTTCTACTAAGAAGCTGCAAGTACTTAGTGCTATCAAACTGGTATCCATCAAACTTTTTAAATTAACAGAATAGTTCTAATCATTTAGATTATATTGGGTTTTCTAAGTAGACTACCACATGGTTTGAAAAACATGAAATTTCTTCCCTTTCTAATCTTTATGCCCCTTATTTCTTTTCCCTGTTGTGTCGTAGTGGCTGGGACTCCCAGTACACAATGCTAGAAAGAAGTGGTGAAGTTGGGCACCTTTGCCGTATTTCTGCGTGTTTCACCATTCAGGATGTACACTGTATGTTTTTGGTAGATGCCCTTTATTAGGCCCTCTCATCACATTGGAAATAACTTTTTTAAAAATTGGGAGTAGGTGTCAAATTTCTATCAAAAGCTCTTCATACATTTATTGAGATGACTAAACACCTTCTTCTTTAATCTGTGACAGCAGTCAATTCTACCAGTAGCCCAGCTATGAAATCAGAATTTCCCAGATGACTGACTCACACCAGAAGGGCAAGAGAAGATGAGCCGGCATGAGCTCTAAGGTGCTGAGGTAGGCAAGTTCCACTGACCCCATGGTGCCCCATATCCTTTATTCTAGCAGCCAGTTCAACAAATAAGGAATGCTGACTTTCTGTCCACTTCTCAGAGATGCTACAAACCAGAAGGGGAAAAAACACAGGCTGGTTTCTTACTACCTCCAAGTCCCAGGCTAGAAAGAGAAAACAGACGTCTTTAGTGCAGGTTTTGCTCTTGGCATCTTCTTCTCTCTTTGCCTTTAGAGCAAAGGAATAGAAGAGATGGAAGAAAAACATTATTTTTTTCATCTGCAGCAGAGGAAAGTCACTTATGCTAAGAAAAGGACTTCAGGCCAGGCACAGTGGCTCACGCCTATAATCCCAACACTTTGGGAGGCCAAGGCAGGTGGATTGCTTGAAGTCAAGAGTTCGAGACCAGCCTGGGCAACATGGTGAAACTTCATCTCTACCAAAAGTATAAAAATTAGCAGGGAACGGCGAAATGTGCCTACAGACCTGGCTACTCAGGAGGCTGAGCTGGGAGGATAAAATGTGCCAGGGGAGGTCGAGGCTGCAGTGAGCCATGTTTGCACCACGTCACTCCTGCCTGGGTGACAGAATGAGACCCAGTCTCAGAAAAAAAAGAAAGAAAGAAAAGAAAAGGACTTCAGAAGTAAGCCAGTCCAGGGGAAAGAAGGAAGGGGTGGCCACTGACAGTGATAACATAATGCTGCAAAGAAGTGTCTCCGTGGATGACCTGAGGACATCCACCAGCGATCAGTGACCTTGTCTTTCTAAGGGTTATTTGTAAGGAAAATTATTGACTCAATAAGCATTTGCTAGCACTCGCTCTAGGCCAGAATCTTGGCTAAGCACTGGGGATCCAGCAGTTCCTGCCTTGCAGGAGCATTGTCTAGTGAGAGACTGCAACTCTTAAACCAAGGCTTTAAGTCCTACAACAGAAAAATGCAAAATATTATGGAAAAACATGAAAAAATGGGAGGAAGCTTAACTCTAAGTAAAATAATACAAATTTCACAGAGCATCACGGTTTAAGTCTTCTATCAGAAACACTGGCAGAGAAGTCTAATAGTGTGAAATGCATCAGAGAGAGAAACAAGGAAAAAATGGAATGTAGAAGAATTAAGGGTCAGAAACAGTTGAGAAGAAAATAAAAGCCAATAGTTACCATTTACTGGGCTGGGCACCACTGTACATGCTCTGTAGCCACTAACACATTTAATTCTCTCCACTTCCCCAAGGTGGTATTATCATCATTCCCATCAGCCCCACCGAGAAGACAGGAACTAGCTGAGAGGCACAGGTGGTTCGGTGACCACCCTCCTAACACCTGGCTCTACTTCCCAGAGAGGACAAAAGGACCCGAAGAAAACACATCCTCCTGGGCACACACGGGCTCTGAGCTGGAATGAGGGGGCTGGTTTAGAAGGAGGGCAACTTGCTCATACTTAAACCAGGCCTCAAACCCTGCTGCTCTGTCTGAATTACTGGGTGCAGACGGCCCTATCGCCATGCAACGCTGGCCCCAAACTTGCACAACCCATGCAGTGAACCAGAGCCCTTGGGTTAATTGGCCTCACACACCTTGGATGCCAGTTCATGGATTACCTAATCCAGCCTGCTCCTTGAGGGGCTGGCGAGCCCTCACTGCATCCTACCCCAAATGCCTTGCCCTAGAAGTCCTCCTAACCACATACACTGAGGAGTTCTGGGTAAGACAATTTTTTCCATCTTGTTAAATTTCCCATCAGTGGGAATGCACTTGGGATGCCATTCAACCTGACTGCCTTTAATCAGGTTGTGTCCTCAAGAGGCAGTGGTGACATCTGACAGGCCCAGACCCTCTACCCTAAATGTGTGTCCACTGACCCGATGAGATGCTGGGAGGCAGACATCCTTGGGTTTCAGTCTCAGGCCTGCTCTTAATGGCCTGTCTCCCCAGGCAGACAACTGGGCTCAGTGTCATCTTTGTAAATCGGGCAAGCTGGAAAAATGGACCAGAAGTTTCTCCCATGCCTCCAATCTAAATTGTGCACCTTAACTGAGGTTGTCTCTCCCTGTGCTTTGGCAACAGAGCCCAAGACAACTTGCTAAGTGGCTGTCATCAGCTTCTGTGCTCAGAAGTGTTCCTCTCTGGTAACAGAACTGGGGAAAGCCTGAGTCTGTGGGAGGGGTGTGAGTGGGTAGGTGAGGGCTTGTAACTCGATGACAGCCAACGGTGCCTTCCAGCCCTGAGCAAAATGCATGACCAAAACCAGAAAGCAGCAATGCCAATTCTCTGCCGATTTTAAATGTAAGCTACAAACAGGAGAAGGTATGTGGTCAGTTACTGATCCCCAAGTGTAGTCGTAAAGGAAAAAACAAACAAAATGAAATCCAATGGTTTTCTGTCCTATCAAAGGATATTGGCAGCTTTTATTTTTAATTATCTAAGAGAAAATATGCAGAATTAAAGTTCTGGGTGCAGGCAAAACTCGAATCCAACTCTGACTTCACCCTGACTTGCTATATGACCTTGGGCAACCTGTTCAGGTGCTGAGAGTCTTAAAGTTCTCAGCTGGAAAGGTGGGACAGCTATATCTCCATCAGAGGGTGCCCACAAGCATAAAATGAGATCATACATAAAAAGTCCCCAGCAGCTGCTTGTATTTGAATACCCAAAAACGAATGCAAAATTAATGTATAGGGAAATGTAAAAGGAGCCTTTGATGTGGCATATCACATAGGTGTGTCCATATGTAAGTACGTACACTAACGGTCTGTGTGTTTTATTGCTCGCACAATAGACCTCAATTTAAAAAGTTACAGGAGCAGATGCACATAGCTAGAGACATGCATGAGGATTTACTAACAACGAACAACCACTATTCATTCTTGTGATAAACAGAAACAACTTAAACATTCAGCAGTAGGTGAACAATTAAATAAATTCAGGTATCAGGTAGCTCCACATGGTAGAATATTATTTATCTATTAACATTTTGTGTTCAGAGAGGATGCTTAATGTGAGAACATGCTCAAAATAAAAGTGGGAAGAAAACAGGATATAAATCTGTATGTAGGGCTGACCTCGAATTTATGGCTCATATCTGTACAGACCAAGACTAGGGGAATTAGGTGAAGGGATTATCAGTCATATCCCTAAGGGGTATGACTATGGTTGGTGCTTCTCTTTCCTTCACAGTTTTCTGTATTTTCCAAATTGTCTAAAATGAACATATATTCCTTTTAGAATTAGAGAAAAACACATAGTAAAAAATGAATGTGTGCCGCATAGCTCTTGTAAAAAGTGGTGATGTTATAGAAATGAGGCATTCACTAAGGCACTGCACTCTCCAAAGGGCATGGTGATTGCTGTGGAACAGAAAAACATCACAACAGAGCCTTTGACTCCAACCCCAAGACACAAAAGCTGGATACTGGATTTGAAGAATATCGAAACTGCTGACTAAAAGCCTAAAAGGAATGGCCTCTGCAATCTGATTGGAAAATGAAAGACAAGATGGAAAGAGAGAAAAGCCTTCAGAATCATTTTAGAATTTTACAAGAGAAGTTTCTCCATGGAAAAAAAAAAACCTTGTTTCTAAACTATTATTACTATTGTTATTATTATTTGAGGCAGCATCTTGCTCTGTCACTCAGGTTGGAGTGCAGTGGCGTGATCATGGCTTGACCTCCTGGGCTCAAGCAATACTCCCACTTCAACCTCCTGAGTAGCTGGGACTACAGGTGTGCACTACTACACCCAGCTAGTCTTTTTGTATTTTTTGTAGAGATGGGGTTTCTCCATGTTGCTCAGGCATGTCTCAAACTCCTGGGCTCAGCCTGTTTTAGCCTCCCAAAGTGCTGGGATTACAGGTGTGAGCCACCACGCCCAGCCTCTAAACAATTTTTTTTTATGTAACATACAAGTTAGAGAATCATTCAGGATCACCTTACTGTTGTCTTATTATCATTATTTTGTAAAACAGTAAATTGTCTGAAATGTTGGCGACAGCCTAAGATTTCCGAATTTAAATAATGAGAAATTGAAGTTTACCTTCAAATAAAAAGAATATTAAATCCCTGTAGCTATGAGTACATTTACTGTGTGGGATTTTATAGTCATACCTTCCCTCTTTTAAAAAAGATCTGAACTAGAATGTCATCTTTGATTTTTGGTTTTTCTATCATAATGTCTAATGTTCCTTAAAGGGATAATATTAAAGAAGGCCAAAAAGCGAATTCCCTCTTATCCCTGCAACCTCACCATGAGACACTGGGGGAGGAGGGACTATTTAATTATTGAGGCAGAGTGGCTGAAAGCCAGTACCCTAAAAGCTTCCTATACCCACCAAACAAGATGCACCCTACAGCCCACAGCCACATCGTGTCTGTCCATTGTGCTGGCCTCACCGTTGCTCAGACATCAGGTCAGGCTGAGATCCGACCCCACCCAGGAGCCGCCATGGGCTTGGGGAGCCTACTTCATACACCCCTAGAAGAAGGGCAGCGATCTCAAGAAAAGTGTGGGAAAGCAAGGACAACCAGACATGGGGGACACCTCGCAATTCCAGGGACAGGACAGGAAAGGCGCACTGATGAAAAGGTCCAGTTACGTGAGCTGATTTCCCACAGACAGTAACTGTGCAGGTCTTCATTCAAGGCCAGCCTGGCCAACATGGTGAAACTCGGCCTTTACTGAAAACACAAAAATTAGCCGGGCATAATGGTGGGCGTCTATAATCCCAGCTACTCGAGAGGCTGAGGTGGGAGAATCGCTTGAACCCAGGAGGCAGAGGCTACAGTGAGCTGAGATTGTGCCACTGCACTCCAGCCTGGGAGACAGAGTGAGACTCTATCTCAAAAACAAAACAAAACAAAAATTAGCCGGGCATGATGGTACATACCTGTAATCCCAGCTACTCGGGAAGCTGAGGCACGAGAATGGTTTGAACCTGGGAGGCAGAGGTTGCAGCGAGCCGAGATTGCACCACTGCACTCTAGCCTGGGAGACAGAGTGAGATTCTATCTCAAAAACAAAACAAAACAAAACAAAAATTAGCTGGGCATGATGGTACATACCTGTAATCCCAGCTACTCGGGAAGCTGAGGCACGAGAATGGCTTGAACCTGGGAGGCAGAGGTTGCAGTAAGCTGAGATTGCACCACTGCACTCCAGCCTGGGCAACAGAGCAAGACTGTCTCAAAAACAAACAACAACAACAACAACAACAACAACAAAAGGTGGGCTTCAAAGCTTTTGATCTTTTCACAATTTACAATCTGGGCTGTGGTGGTTACATTTATATTCAAAAGGAGCTTTTCAGGAGAGAAGTATCCCTGGCCCCTGTCTTTCATGAAAACTGCAAATGCTGTCATTATTCATCTTATGAATTACCAGGAATGCTTCTTTCCTTCCTTCCTTCCTTTCCCATCCATCCATCCATCCATCCATCCATCCATCCACCCACCCACCCACCCACCAATCCACCTAGTCTTTATTTAGTGTACCACTCACTGTGCTGGGTGCTAAAGACACAAAGCTGGATTTGCCAAGATTCCTGTCCTTAAGGAGATCAGATTTGAGTGAGGAAGACAGGCATGAATAACAGAAATCACCTGTACCATGAGACCTACAACATCCTATGATAAAGAATTACAGGTCTTGGTGATATTGGAGAGGAAGAAGTCACAATACTGATGGGGATCTGGGAATCTTGGCCAGAGGTGTGGACTGGGGAAGGCCAGCAGATTTCGTGCCTTGGCAGCCTGCCTCCCACCCCTGGCAAAATCCAGCTTAAGACCCTCTTTAAAAGAGGTGAGTACTCTGGAGTGGCTGAATGGTCACGTGAGTGGAGGGAGGTTCTGCAGCAAAGGCAGGCTGAGTGGGGGTGACCACCTGGACTGGGCTAGGAATGCCAGCTACAGAGCTGGGCAACCATGCCAGGAACATGGGGGTGCACCAGTTCTTTCTCACTGCCCACTGGAGACTCAGCTTTCAGATCTGAGATGCATGCTCAATGGCAATGCACTGCATGTAGGGTGCAGCTGAGGTGGGCTGTGCAGCATGCCTTTTCCTTTCCCCTAGAAAAGGCAAGCCCTTGCTGGAGCAACTGAGGGCCAATAATGCAGTACTGTTTGGCCATTTTAAATCCATGCTCCCTTACTAAAAAAGTAACCCAAAAAGTCACACCCCCTCCCCCGAGAGATTCTGAAATGCACCCCCACCACAAACACACATACACACACACATACACACACATGTGCGTGCACTAGGGGAGTTGGGGTAGTGTCCTTTGGTTTATGCTGCACAAGCCCACCAGCTTGCCTGTGTTCTTTTCCCATTTCTAAATATAAAATGACAATATTGAAAACTCCTCATTAAACTACACAGCCCCTGTCCCTGGGTCACCTACAGCTCTCAAGGACCAGGTTTCCACCTTCACCCCATCTTTGAGAACTGTGTTAGAAGAATGCAAGGTAGAGATCATCACATCTGTGGCTGCAGGCAGGGAGACCCCATGGGAAGCTGAGACCTGGAATGCGATGACAAAGGCTGAACAGGCAAGGCCTGTGGGAATGGCCTGAGAGTGATTGTCTGAATTACCGGGTGTAAATGGCCCCATCACCATGCAGTTCTGAACCCAAACTTGCACAGTGTATGCATGGAACCAGAGAAGTGATAGAAGAAGAATAGACGGGCCTCAGGCAGTAGGGGAGAGGGAAAACTCAAGGATGATGCCAAGATCTGTGACTTGGACAGCCTGATGGCTGGCCGTGCTGTTAACAGAGATGGGGACACAGGAGTGGACCTAGGGAAAAGATAATGAGTTCAACAGTAGAACGGCTAAAGCTTCAGGGAGATGGTGGCTGTGGGAATACGTGGATGAACTTCCCTGGCTCCTTATTTTGGGTTGATTGACAAGTTACAAAATAAGGCACAAAGCTGAGTCCTATTTAGAGTACCTGATTCCTTGATTTCTTCCTTCCTCCCTCCTCCCTATATTGATCATGCACATATTTTTATGCGCCAGGCACAGCTAGGGTTTGGGGGATACAAGAGAGAACAGACAATCTCTTGGCCATAGGGAACTTTGTCTTTCTTACTGGACTGCTTTAAACAACAACACAAAGAAGGTTCCCTTGGAGAAGCGCCTTTTGTGCTGAGATCTAAGAACGAGAACAGAGTTAGGGAGTTAGAAGGCCTTTCCTCGCATTTTGTTGTGGGAAGAGGAAGATTGAAAACGGGATCCTACTGGGAACAAAATATTTTTCAGCATCTTGAGACCCATGGGCAGGGCCTGGGCCTCAGTCTGGGGTGGAGAGTAGAGACTCCTTTAGGAGGCGGCTGAGAATTAAACCCACTAATTCAGCACGTCCTAGTCTGTCTCACTTCACGGTTCCCAGGGCCCTTTCCCACACATTCTTTCAGTTCCTGCCAACAACTCTGTGAAATAGATGTTATTACCCTCTTTTTAGGGATGTGGAAACCGAAGCTAAGAAACCAAATCAGGCTGCTCGTCAGTCACCAGAGTCGTTAGAATACAGAACACATCAAGCCCACCTTCAGACCTACTGAATGAGAACCTCAGGTTTGTGAAGGGGTGGCCTGGGGATCTGAATGTATAATAATCAGCCCTGGCTGGACACAGTGGCTCATGCCTATAATCCCAGCATTTTGGGAGGCTGAAGCAGGAGTCTCACTTGAGCCCAGGAGTTCAAGACCAGCCTGGGGCAAAGCCCTGTCTCGTAGTCTCAGCTACTTGGGAGGCTGAGGTGGGAGGATCGCCTGAGCTTGGGGAGGTTGAGGCTGCAGTGAGCCATGATTGTACCGCTGCACTGCAGTCTGGGTAAGAGAGTGGGACCCTGTCTCAAAATTTTTAAAAATTCATTCCCAGGTGGTCTCCAATGTACCTCACCTCCATTTAGGAACCCCTGGATCTCTGGGTGATCACAGCACTGGGAGCTCCATATGACACTCTCCTCCACTGTCTCTCCATTTATCCATCATCTCCCAGTGAAGTGTTTCTTGATTGACCATAAACTCCTCATCTGGTAACTCTTCTTGGTCCAGATTTAAACCACAACCCTGGGAATCAAGCCAGCAGAGGTACTCATGGAGTCTGCATAGGGTAACCTAAGCCAGCCTACTTTGTGTCTTCCCATTGTAATGCAAATTTGTAAAGCATTTCATTCACATTATACTGATATCAATATGAATTTTTAAATGATGACCAAGAGAAACTGATAGATTTTAGAATGGTACTGTACATGGACAAAGAATCAAATGGAAAAGGGGTGAGAAAGTCAACCATTTCATATGCAAAGTGACTCTCAACAGTGCACAAGGCCAATTCACTTCCTTCTTTTGAAAGTGAACAGGGAATAATGAAGAAAGCATTTGAATAAATTATGTATGGCAGTCCCAGTTCTGTATATTTACACAGATATGTTATGTTATTGGTAATTTTGCACTTCTAATCTGATGACCAATTAACGGTTTTACTTTTCAATATTCTTGCTTCTCCTTTTCACTTTTAAGTTTTTAGAAACAAGAAAATATGATTAAAAGAAAAAACAAACAAAGCAAAAGATCTAAAACCCTTGACCTAGTTCTCCTGTGGGCTTGAAAACACAGTGACATTTCCTCAAGTAAGACGAAGATGGAGTTACAAATAAACTGGAACTATGAAGCCTAGAAAACGAACTATAAAGGCCGATCTACAAAAGATCTTTAGACTACATGCAGATTTTTACTCAAAAGATGTTGCTGGCTTTGTCCTCTAGCTGTCAGCAGAAACACATACAGCCCTGTACAATGATGGACGTGCCGCCGCAGAAGGAGAAAGATAAAAGCCTTGCTTTGGGGACACCTGACTTGAAACGCTGATGAGTAAGAGAACAACAAAATCATAAGCAAGATTTAAAGATGATATTAAAGAAAACACCCTGAGAAGGTAGTCAACAGAGTCCTCTACAATAATGGGTAATGGGTTATTTGAATCAATAGGATTTAAAGAGACTCAAACGGAAAAACAATGTTATTTTAAAGTGCTCTTTTCTGGGCATGATAATAGAAGACATGGAAGAAGAAAAATGGTTGTTCTGGTCACTTTTGCTCAATAATGACCCTGCTACCTTCCGTTAGAGTTGAGCACAAAGTTGGAAAATTAGTTTCTCAAAGTATGACTTGGTTTTACATTAGAAATCCAAAGTAATAAGAGATACCAAAACAATCTATCCATTGCCTATTCAAAGATTCTACCTTTTCCATAGGAAGGGACTGGCAAGAAAAGATATTTTATTTTCAATATCAGTCAATTTTGCCTGATGTGTTATTCCTTGGTTTTATAAACAGCATCAATAGGATATCATTTAAAGCTACCCTGAAATGTTCCTTCTCTGAGGCATCAGGGCCCTGTGTCTGGACAGTGAATACCTGTCAAGTGAAGAGTCCCATGCATTGAAGGAAATTGGCAGTCCTCATGAATGAACGCTGAAAGGAAGTCTGATGTGTGCCAATCTATCATAACCACTGGCCTCCAGGTGGCTCACCTCCTACTCAGGGGGCCAAGTGGCAGAAGAAGCCACTTCAGTTCTGCTCAAAGCTAAGGCACACCCTCTAGTTCCCATGTCCCTGGGTGGGCAACACCCTCAATATAAAAACCAATCAAAAACTACAATGCTACATGTAGTATAGTATACTATGTAGTATGTATGTAGTATGTACATGTAGTACACTACATCACCTCTAATCAGAAAGTGTGCAGAAAGCGCATCTACCTGCATGTGCATGGACTGGGAAGGAAACGTTTAAGTGCATTTGTCACCAGTTTGTGCTGATTTCACCCCTTCACAGATGGGGGAGGTGAGCCTGACTCTGGCTGGGAAGCCTACCCACAGTGGGTAACAGGGTCCCTACAGAGGAATCAGATGGCCTGGAGAGTACCAGTCAGGCCCCAGCTTCCCTCTGCCTTTGGCCTGATAGCCTAGCATCTGCTCTGGAAGTGCCTCTGGAGACTCTGCCTCCAACAGTGTGGGATGATGCACAGACCTCAACCAGCCTCCTCACAGGGGCTAGTCCCATGGGGGCTGCCCAAGCAGGCACCAGGACCTCACAGACAGACTGCACCTATGCTTCCCCCTGCAAGACCACCTGTCCCACAGACATGACATAGGCTGTGAGAAGACATGGGCTCATGCTTAGGGTTCCAGATGCCTAGAACAAAAGGCAGAACCCATGGCAGGTCTAGACAGAGTAGCAGGGAGTTTAGGGAGGGGAGGAAAGGAAAAATAATGGTGTCTCCTTGCCATCTAGCACTTCCATCTTCTCTGGCTTAGAGGCAGGGAGAAACCAGATAGTGTTTTCAAAGGTACAATAGAGAAGACGGGCCCCTCCCTTGGATGCAGCCCACCTCAAGTCCTGTCTTCACCCCATAACTACTACAAAAAGAACAATCTCAGCCACCGTCTACTGAGTGCTTGCCAGCAGCTGGGTGTCTTCAGCACTTCACAAACCTTGTCATGTTCAGTCCCTAGAATGCTGCGAGGTGGGTACTGTGAAGAGGAAAGAGGAAATGGGGCTGAAGGAACGGTGAAGGGGCTTGTCCCAGCTCCCAAGGCTGGACAGGGCAGTGCAGATACCCCATCACCAAAGCCCTCACTACTGCGCTGAACCACAGAACTGGAATCCTTAGGGTGAAAGAGGGACCACACAGCTGGTCTGAATGCTGGGGTCAGCTTTGTGTGGGCTCCTGCTTGTCCTGTCACAAATTAACTCTTGTAGTCAATGGGGAAAAATGAATTATTAGCGCTAGATCATGGTCTCCCAGTGTTTTGGGTATGCATGCCACTTTGAGAGACTTAAGGATTCAGGCAAAGAAAAACAGCAGAGACAGAGGGATCAGAAGGAGGGACTGAGGCTGTGGGTAACAAGAGCCAGGAGAGTGTGGTCACATAAGGAGGTTAAGAGAATCGGTGGTAATGGCTCGCCTGCACTTAGCTTGCTTGCACTTAGCTTGCCTGCACTTAGCTCTGCCCCTGACTGCTGTGGGACCTTGAGCCAGTTACTCAATGTCACTGTGCCTCGGTTTCCTCATCTATTCAATGGGAACGATACCTCATGGGGTTGCCATGAGGATTAAATGTTTTGACTTAAAACTGTAAGTTCTTATTAACTTTTAGCTGTTACCAGATAGACTGGATAGTATAGCAATTTATTGAATGAGATATTTTAAGAAAAAGATCATGAAACCTATTGTACCTTCTTTGCCTCTGCAATGGTGCTCATCCAATTTAGTCTGGGTTCCCCAAAGAGCACTGCCTACAACAGTGGCTGGAAGGCAGGCAGTTTAGCAGGACTGGGGACAGGAGAATGGGATGGGGGAGGAGGTCACGGAAGTACAGGAGGCATCACTGGGTTCGCTGCCACTATGGGTGACTGGACTGGATCTTACAAGGACAATCCGGGGAACCTAAACAAATGGGTTTCAGAACTATCAGTAGAGGATAAATGGGGAAAGTAGATCTCTGCCAGCCCTCACTGGAGAGGGTCCTACTCCAGGGTGATGGCTAGCACAGGGCAGGAAGTGAGAGGCAGGAATTGCTCCTGGGAGGGCACCCCTGGTTGTGCCTGAGGGAAGCTGCCAGAAGCTGCCGGAAGCTGCTTATAACTAGGTTCTGCAATGGCTACAAGCTGAGAGGCTGCAGTGGTGCACAAAGGTGTCCAATATGTTCACTCAACAAATGCTTACTAAACACCTGCTGTGCTCCAGGTCGGCGGGGACACAGCAGAGAACAAGACAGGCAACGTGCTGGCTCCTTCCTCCACTGTCACAAAGGGAACAACCATTAAGAAGTAAGCCAATAAAAAAGGTAATTTCAACTGGGCACAGTGGCTTGCATCCGTAATCCCAGCTACTGGGGAAGGTGAGGAGGGAGGATTGCTTGAGGCCAGGAGTTGAGACAGGCCAGCCTGAGCAACATGGCGAGACTTCGTCTTTACAAAAACAAAAACAGAGTATCTTAGATAGGAATAAGGTACTTGGAAGAAAATAAAATGGGCTAATGGAGTGATGTGGAAGGCTTCCTTTAGATATAAGGACCAGGAACAACCTCTCTGAGCAGATCAAGTTTGAATTGAGGCTTAAATTGTGAGAATGAGCCAGCTGTGGAGTGCAAAGGGCAAATGCAAAGATCTCGAGGCAGAAAACAGCTGGTGAGTTCTAGGAATAACTAGGAAACCAGCCTGGGAGGAACAGTGTCCTGAAGGAGAGCAGGGAGATGGAGAAGAAGGGCAGGCAGGGGCCAGCTCCTGGAGGACCTCCGAGGAAGCCAAGGTAAAGAGCCTGGATTTTATTCTGAGTGCCCTGAGAAGCCAGGGGGAATTTTTAGGCAGGGGAATTACATGATCTGGTTGCTGTGCAAAGAAATAGAGCAAGATAAGAAATAGGGAGATGAATAATTCTCATTTTTATAGGTCAGAAATGGCTGAACTCACTGGCAATTTCATACAGCTCAACCTGATTCCAGTTCTACTGGTCTGTCATTGTGACCAAGAGCAACATCTTAAGAATGCTGGGCCTGCAACCATAATGGTATCTTCCAGGAAGGAGCCAGGGAGCACGTCTGCTGAACTAGGAACAGAAATCCAACCCTCCAGGTAGCTGGTGGTGGAGGCATAACAGGAGGGGTCTTACATGGCCCTTTAACTCCCACAGCCCACAGGAAATGATTTCTCAGTTACTGCTTCCCTTCCACCACTTTCCTGGCTGCTGGGTTACTCATGCTGTGCCAACACACAGCGAACTCCCCTTCTACGCCCCTGGCAACACCAGGTTACATGCTCAGACGCGATACAGTGGAGGAAGGACCTCAGCAACACTGCTTGCCTCCCTTGCTCTTGTTTCTCCTACTACCTCTAGCTTGCTTGGAAGGAGGGAAATTCTTCAGGACAGGAGAAGGGGATCTGCAAAAGAGGTGACTACAGTGTGCAACTAGTGTATCTGTTCCATATAACTAGCTTCCCCGTCAGGTCCCTGTCTTAATGATTTTGGAGTTAAGTAAAAGGAAGACTGGTCAATTTCCAAGCCTAATTTAGCACTCAGACCAGATTGGCACACATTCTTATTTTCCTACCCATCCACATTTTACTTAGGTGCATATGACAGTTCTGTAATGGTGTGAAGGTTATGCTATAATATATGCATAAGAATATATCACAAAAGTTTATCTTTGGGCTGTGTAACCACATCTAGCATCCAGTGTTTGCCATGCATATTTAGATATTCCACGATGCTACTATTACCACTTAATTTCAAAAACCATAAGCTGTCTAATAATTAAATAATACCTTGATGCTATTGTACACTTTGATTTTCATGTTGTAATCCTTGAAGCACAGAGGAAAAGCATTTGTTTTACTCCTCAGTCGCCTGGAGACTGTCAGGGAGAAATCCTGTGTAGGGGAGAGACAATGAAACCTCATTGCAAGTCAAGTCCCTCATGAGTCATTATTGATTATCAACCAGTAGAGCACTGTATTTGGGATAGAATTTGAAGAAAGGGTAAGAGGATTTTTCCTTGAATCTATTAGAAACTAGTTACTGAGGGCCTTTGGGGCTTCCTGGAGCCATTCTTAATTTATTCTTTCCAAGATATGTCGGGTTTGTTAACATTGGTCAATCATCTAGAGTAGCAAAATAGGCCACTGACCTGAAATAAAGTGCTTAAAATATGTAAATTACATAAAGAAGAAATCACTAAGGTATTTTACGGTCTCTCCGGAACAGAGTTTTGCGAAACACTACCAAAATCAGGCCCTTTTCAAGTACATAGAAGACATAGTTCTTTTGGGGAAGAGAATCATCCTGATCCCAAAATAATAATGTTAAAGTGAGGCCAGAGACAGTTTTGACTAAAAGATGGCTAGACGTCAAATACTGGCTACAAATGGAGGTCCACTCTACCAGCGTGGACAGGTCTTTTCATTCCATCTAATTTCTCAGGGAAATTCAAGACATCCTAGTGGGGTAACGAGAATGCTCCAGGCCCACAGACAGCCACTAGAAGAATTCCATCTTACTTTTGGCCACATTTAAAAATACAATGCATAGATTTGTGTATCAGTAAATACCTACACATATAATTTCTAACACTCCCCAGTAATTTCATTCCCAACCTCACCCTTGATAAACAAGGGATGATCACCAGCATCTACAAAGTAGAAGGGACTTTCTCCTGCTTCTTGATTCAACCACAACAGACCATGAAACAATACCATTGCTTGGGTATAGGCTTTTCTATTAAACAGCTCCCTTTTAATTATTCATCAAAATGAGGAAAGTATTTTTGTTAGCAAATCCTTGAACCAATAGTTTGACCTCAAAGCCAAACCTCAAATAGGAGGTTTGTCTCAAATGTTTCTGATACTGAGAGATAGTTCACTTTGCTATTTTTCCTCAGAACAGAGGCCTAAACAAACAGACAAAAATGCTTTTTAATGGTCAAGAGTTTCTGGTAGAGAAAAGGTCACTTTCTAGGTTAAAAAAGTCTCAGCTAGTGATCTGAAGGGTAATGGTTTGTAGTGGTGTTTTCAAAATTCCATTATAGTCTTTTAAATGAATTTAAAATGGACTTCAAGAACACATGCTCTCCTGGGTTACTATTTAATGAATGTGTTTGCATGTATGTATTTCGTAGGACCACGAAAGAATTCAGACCATCAGTAAAAGACTGTATATATACACCATAATCATCCCCAGGGATTTAGTGCCAACTCTTACCTACAGTAAACAAAAGGCCACGTAGACACAGCGCCGCGAAAGGTGGGGCAGGGGAGTGCGTACTGTCTGCTCACTCAAAAATTCACATTTCAAGGCATAATATCTCTTTGCTCAGGATGCAGTCAGCCCAGCATCACTTTAATTCTTTCATTCCTTATATTCTCTGTGGTAAGTTTCTACTATGCTCAAGACCTCAGAAAGATCTATGTACTGCTTACTAGGCTAAATGTATTATTGCTGTGTTAAGTCGTTACACATTCCTTCCACGTGTGATACATCAGTGCTGTGGTTCGAAGACAAAGGTAACGTGCCTTCTATAAAACAGGCACAAAGACACCAAACACACTCTATCTACATGCTAGATTTTTTTCCTTAAGCTTAACAATTACATTCCAACTCATATCTACTATCATTAATCTTAAAAATCTCTCACACCATCTGCAATAATGTCAATTCTATGATTACTTTTCAGCAGATGATAAAGGCATTTCAAACATTTTTATAGTAAATATACAAAATAAAAACAACATATTGCCTAGTAAATGTTCTGTCTTCTTGTTTTTACTTAATCACTCCAACATGAATATGATACCACCAGGAAAAGCTTATTTAAGAACTGAAAGAAAAGAAAAGCTTTTTGGCCCTTTTTCATGCTGGTTACTTACAAGTTATCGATCTGGGGTGGTTTCTCTCTTGCGCTCTTTCTCATAGAGGCAGATGCTTCATTATTCTCATCCTAACGGCTGTCATTTCTATCCATAGATTAAATCATATGTGTATATATGCATATTATATTCATCTATTTAATATATAATATAAATTCACAGTACATGAAAAATTAAGTGGATTTGTTAAAAGTGATAGAAGTATATCAAGTAGAATATGCAAGTTTACAGAAAACATGAACCCAGAACAAATGTTACTGTACTTTAGTTATCCATTCTTACATGGCTCCTTCCTCCAAAAATATAATAAATGCATACATTTTCTAGAGTTAAAAATCAGAGTAATATTTTACACAGTAAAATTTCTATTGTTGTTAGGTCAGGTATTTCCATAAAGGAAATTTAGAATAATTTAATCAACAACAATATAAATATCTTTTGTTAGAAGCACATTTTACATCGATTAGAACCGGTTGGGTTGAGCAAGCTTTTAAAGTACTGACACTAAAAATAGGTTTATCGAGATCTGTAAAGATATTTTTGCTAAGTGTTCACTGGCCTAAAAATATCTTTTAAAAACAATTTAGATAATTTAGCTGAGGGGTTCATATGCACATATCGACCCATAGGCTGTGATTTCCTGTATGACAAAATAACCTACCAAATTAGTAACACAATCCAGGTCAAGTTTATAGGCATAATAGAGTTCCTGAAAAATAACAGAGTCTGTGGAGATGATTTTTTTTTTTAATGATGGGGTTGTGTATGGATGGATACAGGGATATGGAAGAAGAAAACCAAAGTTGAAGAATAAAATAAGGATATAGAAAATACAGTTGAAGGGATGTCTCCCTGTTCACTGTGGTATCCTTTGTAATGAAAAGGCAGCATTTATTTTCATGTACCTTGATGGGAGCATACCAGTGACTGTCCCACAGACATAACATCAATCCCATAATCATCCCTAAACTGAAACAACACACCACACTGTCCAGTCTTTACAATACACCTCAGTAGTAGTTACCTGTCAAATGTTATTTAAAAAAAAAAAAAAAAGCTATGTGCTTTATAAACACTAATATTTATTTCAGCGATTCCTCTGGGAAAAAAAAATATTCCATTCCTAATTAGCCTTCCACAAAACAACAAAGTCAATGGTCACTAGCTAGAAAATGAAGCGGGGTGCACGACAACCTTTGTCTTTCATGCCCAGCAATGAACATGCCTGCGAAGTGCAGACGGTTCCCGTGAATTCAGGGTTCCCTAATTACTAAAATAAAACACACTTCCTACATAAATCAATAAATCAGCCTGCAATGGCAAGACGGCCAGTCGGTTACTACACAGAATGAATATGCATGGGCACCACCTCCTAGGAGAGCCTCTGTGCCGGACCAGATCACCAAATCCGAAAGGACAGTTGCAGAAAAGCGGCCGGCAATGCCCCGTGAGAAATGACACGTAATACACCAGCAAGAGAAAATGCCCCGCAAAGAAGTCGGGGGAGGGGGCGAGCTCAGCCCGCAGGAGCTCTGGTGAGTGTGAAAACGACCCCTTACCTTAGGGAAGGGGAGGAGTAGGCGGCCGGCAGCCAGGCTTGGTCCCCGCGCCGCCCTTGCGCATCCGGCCCGGAGCGCACAGGGGCAGCGGATGCAGGAGGCCGGCCGAGGACCACGCAGCCCGGTGACCACCCCGAGGAGCGCGGCTCCGTTACTTACCCTGTCGGCGTTATTAATAGATGTTAATGGCTCCGTTAGATTGAGGAGAAACCTCTTTCTTTTTTGTCATATGGAAATTCCAAGTTAAAAAAAAAATCCCGAGGTGGCAGTGGGCTCCTGGTACAGCGGATGCGAGTCCGCACTCCGCCCCCAGTCACCGCTACACTCCTCACCAGCCCCCAACTTGCTGCAGCGGGGGCCAAAAATCAATCCCAAGCCGGGAGCGCTCGGGCGCGCAGGCAGACAAAGACTTCCTACCCCGGGCAGGGCCGGAGTCTGGCTTTGCTTTGAAAGCTGTAACCTGCAAGTGGCATTACGAGAAAGGGTTCCTACATGTTTTTTTCCTCCAAAGGTTCCTTTTATGACACCTAAAATACCACAGTCCTGACACTGTCCCATGATAGGGGGACAGTCATGCCCCATGATTCTCCAAAAAAAAAAAAAAATTCCCAATCCTTCTGTGCCAGACCAGAATGTGCCTGGCAGTCTCCTGGGCCCCCCAATACACGACACCCCATGATCTTTCTTGACGCATGCACCCTCCTGGCGGCTAGTCTCCAAAGACCTTCCTCAGCCTAGCCACAGAACAGCCTTTAAAAGCCCCTTGGGTATAGGGAGGGAAGGAGGGAGAAAGGAGGAAGGGGGGAAGGAAGAGGGGGAAGGAAGGATGGAAGGAGAGAGGGAGGAAAGGACTCCCTTCAGTCCATTCAGAGGTCTCATGTTTAACATCAATCATCACTGCTTTTAGTTTGAAGACAAACTGTTTTATGAAATGGGTAAAAAAATTAAAAGAAAAAAAGAGTTTAGACATATAGTCTGAATACACTCTTAGTGGGAGAAATACAAAGTGTGACTGTGCCGTACTCCTTGGCTCAAGGGTCATTTAACCCTAGATGGGCCGAGACCATCTAGGTTTGTCCTACACTGACGTCCAGCAAGTCCTGATATGTTGGTGACTGAAGCATCCCACATCACACATCTATGGAAGATTCAACTAATATTTGCTGGAAAAGTGTGTATTCATTCAACTCTATCTTAAGAACTCACTGATTTTGAGTCTGTGATGAATAAATCTGTGTAGGCCAGCCTAAGTGGGGGAAGAGCTGATTTCCACCTTTCCTGATAATCAGGGTCTTCCGCACTTATCTGGGAAGGCCCCCCAAGCTAATGGCCTTTGTTTCTTCAATATGTCTTCCAGTTCTAGGTCCAGCAATTATTTGTTAATGGAAATTTGTAGTTAATATATAATCATGCTAAACATGCCTGATGTGAATCTTAATTATTTTAATTAATTACCCTTTTCTATTTCTTCTTATTCATTCAAAATTATATATGCTTTTCAAAAGTAATGAAACACCATTTGTACAATTGCTATTTTTCAATAAATCACATGGGACTTCTTATCATGATTCTCAATCAGTAAGAATTAATGGCATATTATCTATTGGTGTTACAGCTGAAAACACAAATGAGAGAAAAATTGGGAATTTCACTAGAACCTCAGAATAGTTTGTCCAATACTTTACTCTTGCTCTTCTTTGTCCGTGGGCACCATGCAAGAAGGATGGGATAAAATGTGATAAAGTTTTAGAATAATGGATATTTATAGAGAGACACATATACTTTACAACAGCCAGTATGCTTTTTCTTTTTAATTGGCTTTTAATGAGCAGCTGCAAAAGTTCAAGAACAAGCTATTAACCACTTCAGGGTCTGCTTTATGAGAAATGTGATCTGCCTGTACAATCCAGAGCTCTGCAAATTCCAGTAAACTAGAGGCAATACAGTTTTAAAAATAAATCAATAGGCCAAAGTAATTGCATTGGGGCATGCATGTCTTGGTAGGTGAGGGTGGTGGGAGAGGGAGGCATATTGCAATTCACCTTCTTATATGCAGATAAAGAGCTGCAGCTGTTTTCTTGGTTTTACCAAAAGAATGAAAAATGTCATTAGTTCTTTCAAGACAAATGCAAGCAACTGGCTTTGTTGCTGTTTCTCTCTCTCTCTCCCGCCCTCCCTCCGCGCTTTAGAGAAAGGCTGCCTTAAGATTGCAGCAGCAACGGAATCACAGGGTCTGGGTACATTAGCAGAATCACAGACAGCACCAGGGTGATGTCTTCGCTCTCCAGCTCTCTAATTATTTACCCAGATCAAGCCTGACTGCTGGAAAATCAGCTCTCTCCAGGAGGTAACCGAGCTGAAAGGTTCTTTTCACTGAGAAATGATGGGCTGGTGGCTGGCATGGAGCCTACAGGCCAGTGAGCCCTTGTGGGCAGTGTCATGAATACCCAGGACCACACCATTTTCCTCAATCGTTTCCAGGAAAGTATCGGTCAGCTTAAGAAAATTAGGCAAGAAGAGCAGATCTGTGGTGCAGAGAACACACAAAGATTGAGTCCCTAGAAGACACTGTCCTAAAAATTAATTTTGTGAAATGAGGAGAGGAGGCCTGCTGAGATTGTTGGTATTTTATAGCTGGAGCGTCCATTTAAAGTCCCTATAAGCAGACAAAGCAGATTGCTTCATTGTTCCCACTTACGGGTGCTGTTTTCTCATGCGGGTCTCCTGAAAACAGAGAATGTTCAGGAAGCATTTACGTTCTAGTTTGCTAGAGCTTTTATAAAAACAGAAAGCCACCAGCACTCTGGCCGCTCACAAGCTCCCCCAAAGCTTTGGGTCACTTCCGAAACTCCACAGAATAAAACATTTTTAAAAAATCAATTGAAATCAATCAATATCATTTATATTTGTCCATTTCTAAAAGCTTTGTTAGAGGCAACACTTAATTTAAATGCTTTCCACTTTCTTATTTGCTTTCCTAGAACTGCAAAACTACTGTCAGACATATGCAAATTTTTAATTTATCAGGCCCACGATGGGACGAATCACCTTCAGATTCCTTTATTTCTCACAAACGAACATGGCAGCCAGCGAGGATCTGTCGTGAATGTGTGGGTGAGGCACACACGCCACCACTGCCTTCGAAAGGCGCAATGACAAGGTTCACCCAACAAATACACAATAGGTTGGGGGAGACAATATATGTATTTTCGGTTGGCATTTCAAATTATGCTGTGTTTATTCTAATGTTAAAATCAATTTGTATTCTCCACATATACAGCCACCTCTTAATAGTACATTTGAGAATTCTTTTTCCTGCTTCCCGGTCAGGACTGGGATTCAAAATCTGCCGTGGTTGATTAGCTTGCTGATTTTTAAAAATGAATTTTCCCTTTAAAAATAAATCCCTCTTTTGGGGGCAACTAACGTTCTAACTTAGACCTTGGGAAGCTGTGGAATTTTATTCCTGTGTTCAACATCCAACCAAACTGCTTCCCTTCAAGTACGACTGGAATTTGTAATATAATCATCAAATTTCTATCATGAAACATTTGCATCCATATTGAAGTGTCTACATTCAAGGGAAGGGGCTCAAATTCATTTAGAAAGTAACTAATATGGGTTTGCTAAAAGTGTGTATCAAGCTTCCTATTAGGCCCTATAGGAGCACAGCAAGCGTTCCACAGAACAAAGTATTAGCAGAAGAAGTAACAGAATTTTGAAGAGGGTATAAATTGAACCAGGTAGGACTATGCAGTCATCCCTTATTTCTAGTATAAAAATCACTCCCCAACTGTCTTGAGATGCCGTTTTAAATATGGAAAAGTTCATCTTGGTGGGAGGAAAAAAAGAAAACACTTTACCACATCTCATGTTAATAATTTTTAATAGGAAAAATAATTTCTACTAGGTTACTATTCATTGGGAGAACACAAACAATTTCCTCTTTAATATATTTTTTAAAATTTAAGGGGAATATAGATGAATTTCCCATTCCTAAGAGAAAACAAAAATCTCACCATTCTCATAGCCATTACATAGAATACAGACAACAGTGTTCAAATTTAGATTTTTCATCCTCTATAGAAAAATGTTTATTGTAGTGATTACAGTTTAAACAACAACAAAAACAAACCTCCTAGGATGTTGGGGACATTTTCACTGCTCATAGGATTTACAGCTGTTTAAACATTTTGAGCTTTTTTGTCTCAACTGCATGTGGTTCTACTCAGACCAAAATCACTGTCTTGTTCACCTGACTGCAGGACAAGCTCCATTTTCCTTCTTGGTACCGGCTAATGGCTCCTGAGCTAGAGTTCCCCTCTTTATTTTTCACCCAACAGTACAAGATATAAAGTTCCTGGAGCATTGGTCCATAATCTTAAAACAAAGAGACTAAGACAGAATCACTCCATCCTGCAGAGGAGTCGGTCCATTCACTTTATGATGAACTTGGGCAGGGATTTTGGGATGGAGAGCAAGAGCAATCAACTATCTGGGGGAAGGCCTGGGACTGTCAACTGGAGGGCATCCCTCGGGTGGAGTGGGCCACTTGGGACAGCTCATCTTCCAGCCCAGTGCCCTGTGCTTTCCTCCTGGTCCAGATGTCATTGGATGCTCATTTTCTTGGCCTTGGCACTAATCGTTATCGACTGTGTGTGATCCTCATGTTATGGAGGCAGTCCAGTTGGACCACAAGTGCTTTGTGAGTCTCTCATGTGCAGTCACAAGATGATAATTATAAAAAACTAACGCTACCCTGTAGAGTTACAGGGTCACAGTGGTTTAAGCCATTAAAGTATCTGTGTTTGAAAGGAAAACAGAATAGACCTGAATGCAGTTTGCATTTACATAAACTTGACATTTGTGGCACTACGGTGAGGATGGTGCGTGGCAGTTCTATTTTGCAGAAGAGGCAAAGTGACAGGAAGGAGGTGACCCAGCAAGTTACTGTCCCAATCCAACATGATGTCTACCGACTTCAGGGCGTCTCCCTCAGGAGTCTGGAGCACTGAATAACCAGCATGGGATCATCTTGTGCTTGGATGGTAACTCTGGAGAAAGAGTGGATGTGGGCGGGAGGGAGATGAAGGAGCCAGAGATGACAGCAGGGTTGGGCTTACACACTGGCTGCCTGGGGTTCCTGGTGCCTGGCAACTACAGAAGAGACTTTCAGTCCCCTGAAGTGTACCCACATCCTGGCCACCATGAGGATAAGAATGTCCCACAAGGGAGCAGCTGGGGCAGGGAGGGGTGGATGAGGTCCTTAAACCACATCCCTTGTTGTATATAATGACACGCACCCTCAGGCCACCATCTGATGTCTTCTTTGTGGAATTTAGATGTGGCAGAAATGCCTGTAATAACCTGACTCGGCTGTCACTACTGGGCTGGCCTATAGAGGACTTTGCCACTGGATAAGGCCTTAGTTTTTCAGCACAAGAGAGGCTTTCTTAAAAGAAAAAAAGAGTCATGTTAGCAGGTGCCTTTCAAAAAGACACAGATATACACAATGGCAGGTGGACAAATCCCTCCCCCCACCTGTCACCCCTGCCAGGCAGAGGGAATCAAAGGCAACAGCAATGCATCAAGTACAGGCAAACACACAAAGAATGGGATTGCTCTGATAGGACCAGTCCAGCTTCCAGAACTGGGGCCAATTCCTGCCCTAATCTCATTCACCAAGAAGCCACAGAACATGGAGAGAAAGCAGACGGAAGACAGCTCAGACCCTGCGTGGAACTCAGCGTGGCACAAATAAATTAAATAAACAATAAATCACATAATCTCCCTGAATCCTGTGATGTGGCTGGAAAGGACCTTTTCTGATTTTAGGTGGGCACCTCACCAGACCTGTCAACCCTCTCTGCCTATATAAAACAGAGGGATTACTACTGGATGAAAAACAGCCCCAGCCGTTTGTTCTGAAATCAGTCTCTTGTCTCCAGCAACACTGAGCACCTAACATGTGCCAGGCACTTTTCTCAGTGTACTGTATACATCCACTCATTCAGTCCTCAAAACTAGCCTGTAAGACGGTACTGTTACTTTACAGATTCAAAAACTGATGCACAGAGAGGTCAACTTACTTGCTCAAAGGTACACAGCAGTGAGCAAGTGGCACAGCCAGGATGTGAACCCAGGCCATCTGCATCCAAGCCTGCGCTCCACCACTCATAAACAGGCCTGAGGGCTCAGCCCTGTGTTGAAGGTTTCAGCCACTTGTCCTGCCTCCCTTCTCTTCCTCCCCTGAAGCCTGTGCCCATCTGCCTCAGTTTCACTTCTTACTAACGTGGGTTTATGGAGGTAACTGGGATGACAGATATTGTGTATCCCTGAGCCTAAACCTGTTCCTTATTCTCTCAGCATTTCTCCAGTTAAGGTTTGTGTTGTCTTGAGACAGAATGCTTGATTAACATCTAGGTTAAAAAATTCAGGGTGTCTACTCTACCAAAGCCAATATCCAGGGTTGACAGCATATGGTTATACATTTTGCAGAGACAGAAGTCTAATATTCAAACAAAAATAATTCTGAAAGTCTCTGAAACACTTTTAAAAATGATCTGCAGAGGCAGACATAAATCACTGTGAAGGAAACTTTTTCTTCTAATAGGGATAAAAACCCTAAGGAAAAAAAAAGTTGAGGAAATGACTTACTGATATGTAGGGAGGCAAAGGAAAGTGGGCCCTAGGGAGCCATATTACAGAATTACGGAAGCCTGGAGGCCCAGCTGGGAGGAGGCAGCTAGAAAATGAGGCCCCTGGAGCATACCCGAGCCTGTGATTTGTTCCTTCTTTTTCTTCTTCCATGGCTCATGACTCAGAAACACCTGAAAGAGGCAGTGAGAAGGACCCAGAAGCCTGGGCTGAGGCAGCTTGGAGTCTGGGTCTCCGAGGCAACATGGCCTGGCTCTACCTCTTTCTAGATGTATGACCTTGAGCCATTGGCTTGCCCTCTCTGAGCCAGTTTCTTAATCTACAAAATGGTGGTAACAGTACCTAATGCATAGGTGGTTATGAAGATAAAATGAAAACATCCAAGTCAAGTGCTAAGCTCAGGAAATGCAACAAAGTGATAGTTAATAGCAGCAGTAACAACAAATAGTAGGGGTGGAGAGGCCAGCAATCCTCTTTATGTCCTAGATCATGATGCTTAGAGACCAGGTCTGTGACAGCCCCATCCTAGACTGAGAACCCTTTGCAGAATGACACAGCAGCCCATCTGGGCAGTGGGAAGCCGTTCTCACCGACTTCACACATTCCAAGAAAAGCTTGGGTTCATTAATGATTTAAGATTACAGTATTAGAAACAAGAGCCCCACATGGGAAGGACGATGGTTTTCTGTAACCCTGAATGTGGGCTTGAGTGCTCCATCAGCCAGTAGGAGGAATGGAGAGCCCACATCCGGGCATTCCCAATCCAAATGATATCCCTAGAGCCTGAGCCAGCTGCAGGGTGTGATCCTCAACTGAAGGGGACCCCAGACTCTGACCATCCTCTGCATGCCTTCTGGTGCCTTGGAACACAGCAGGGACTGCAGACCAAGGAGGCCGGAAGAAGTGACCTGAGGTGGTGGGGCAGGGTGGGGTTGAGGGGCAGATGGGACCACATGAACGAAGGCTCCTGCTGCAGGTTGCGCTCTCTCCAAAACCAAACCAGGTCTCTCTGAAGACAATTTCTTCAGGTCAAGGTGTCTGTGTGAGAAGTTCAGAGAGTGTTTGTGGGAAGTCCTCCCGGGTTGATGGAGCATTCGTGCCAACAGCCAGGGTTACAAAAACCCAGGGTCCTTCCGATGTGAGGCTGCCATTTCCAATACTGTAAAACCTTAAATCATTAATGAACCCAGGCTTCTCTTGGATTTGCGTGAGTCGGTGAGAATGGCTCCCCACTGCCCGCATGGACTGCTGTGTCATTCTGCAAAGGGATCTCAGGCTGGGCTGGGCCTGTCACAGGCCTACGACCATGAGACAGCTTCCTCGCCTCCCCCCTACCCTGCCACCCACGGACTCAACCACAGAGGCTCTGCCAGCCAGAGCAACCCTGCAGGCCCTGTCAGCTCCACCACCCACTCAGCACACTTGGACCGAACCCCAGGCTGCTGGGCCGGGCTCTGTGCGGCCTGGGGACAATGAATCCTCTCAGTGTGCTTCAAATCGAATGACCAAACACCCTTCTTAAAGCAATGCTGCCTGACCATTCTCAAGTACAGTACCTCCTATAAATAAAGACATAATGGTGCTAATGTGGACGACGGGGCCATTCTTGCACATGAAAGGCCTTCTCTGTGTGGGCCTGTTGTGAATTGTCCTTTTTCAGTAGCCTAATTGTCAGCCCAGAAACTGAGAGCAAAGCGGAGAAGAGATGTTCTTCCGGGAGGTGCCGGCCATGTTTGTGAGGAGGTGCTCACAGGGGGGCCACCCAGAGTCACCCACCTCCTGTCAGGCTTTGGGGCCCACGGAGCTGCCAAGAAAGAGGGCCTGGGAAGGCGGTTTGTTCAGTCCAGGGCCCGGTGTGCTCCTGGCACTGCAAGGGGCTGCAGCAGCCCCTGGGGAAGGGAGACCGGCCATGCTCTTCCTCCCAAAGCTGCCAAAGGGTCTCTTGGCCGAGGGACAAGTTCGGACGAGCTACTGCTCATCCTCATGGTCACAGTCCATTGTGGCTTTGCTGTTGTTTCCCTATGGGACTAGTTCTCCCTTCTCACTTGAGGCTGATGGATGATGGGAAAGCCTGTCAGTGTGCCAGCCCCGCAGGGATGAGCCTCAGCAGTCCCCACACCTAACTTCAGGACCTGCAACACAAGCTGCCAATGAAAGCCATGGAGGAGCCATGCCCCGGCCCAGCCAGCCTGGAGTGTGTGCGTAGGGGCACCAAGCGAAGAAAGTTCCCAGACAGAGGCAGAATGAGGATGGCAGATGAAGGCAGCCCAGCTGGGGACTGCAGCGCTGAGGATAGAGTTGAAGAGTCTGTGCAGGGCAAGGCAGGCCCAAGCACTGGCACTCTGGTCTCTGCCTGCCTTCTCTCCATTTCTACCCCACACTAAAATGCTTGACATTCTTGCAGTTCCTTGAATAAGCCCTGCCTTCGCACCCTCCCTCAGACCTCTGCACACATCCACATAGGGGTCTCTCAGCCTCTAATGCCTTCCTCCTCCTCCGTCACCAAGATCGAGCTTTGGAAGCTGCTCCATCCTGGCCCTCAGCACTCTGGGTCAACTTCCTCAAAGGCTCCTCTGCCAACTGGCGCCCACCCTTTCTCCCCAAGGAAACAGGAGAGCAAAGGCCATGGCCTCTGTCTCCCCATACTTGTCTACAGCAGGGGCCTGGTCCTCCCATATTCCCTGAGGGATCTCCTGGGAAGGGGAGGATGGCTTTGAGGGTGTGGTTTAGCTGTTAGAGGCCACCCTCAAAGCAGCAGCCCAAGAAGGGGGCTCACAGGGTACAGCCAGGATGGCTGAAACTGGAGACGCTAGACTAGCTGGATTGCGCTTCATGAGGTGTCCAGGCAGGTTGGCTGCGCTGGAGACGGCGGAGATGGGGAGACGATGGGGGTTAGTTACTGGCATCCTTTCCCCCTCCAGTACAGATACTTACCAGCCGTGTCTCAAAGTTATCATTCCCCCATAGAAGAAGGAGGTGCAGGAAGAAATTGTTTTCCAAAAGTATCACCAAAGCACTGGGAGGCTGCTCTGAGAATGCAGGTGTGGGTGAGGGAGGGAAGAGGTGACAGCAGGAAAGACAGAGCTCACCGGGGAGGACGATGCATGTGTGCATTTGCACGTGTGTGGGTATTGGGCAGGGCCAGTGAGAGGAGCAGCAGCAGTAGGCTGGGGGCACCAGAGGAAGGCTCCACCCACTCACACTCAGAAAATCCAAAGGCCTCTGGCACTGTCCAGGGCATCTGGTCAGGAGCACCCAAAAAACATGCCACAGGCAGCCTCTGCGAGAGCATGTGGTGCCCAGAGAGCTTGTACAAAGGCCTGCACATGGGAGGGGCAGACTGTGATTCCGGCCTGCAGGGGAATTGGAGTGGGAGCTGCCCCTGTGAGTACCCGCACATGAGCCAGGAAAGATGAGAAAAGAGGGCCAAAGACTAGAGGTGCAGAAGGTGGGGACACCTGGGGAATGAGAGGTTTGGACAAAGCCATTAGAGTAAGCTTGTAGGGTGACCTATAAACCAGAACTGAAGGGAGAGACAGATCAGCAAACCAGAGGAGGAAGGCAGATGGGCAGCCAGACCACGCGGTGAGGCCCAGGATACAGAGCTAGGAGGGCACAGCGAGCAGGCCCAGTGTGGCAGGAGGACGTGGCGGCTGGGAAGGCAGGTGTGGGCAGATGGGGGAGATGTGCACTGTCCTGTCTTCGCCAAGAAGCCCTCCCACGTTTTCAGTGGCACACGTTCTGTGAGCCAACCTATGCTTCAGCAGCTGGGGAAGGATGACTGGACAAAGACACAATCTGAGGAGGCAGAAGCCAACTGAGAGCATTGTGAAACAGCCCATGTACGAGACGGTGCAGGCCTGAATGAGGCCAGCATCAGAGTGACCAGAGAAGCCAGGCATTGCAGGGGACCACGGGGGTGGAGGTGGCAGGACTCAGGACCAAACTGGACTGTGGGAGGAAGAACAGCAGAGGAACACTGAGATTTGTACCCCAACTCGCAGGGAGAAGCATGGCAGGGTGACTGACTCAGGTTCACCCATGCTGACGGAAATGCCCACTGGGAACTGCAGAGCTGGATCTGGAGGGGTCACTGCTGGACACAGGCCTCAGGGTCATTTGCCCAGGGGATAGAGCAGAAGTGGTGAGGCTGCAAAGGAGGCAAGGAAGAAGCATGGGACCAGCTAGGGACTGAAACACAGCACCATGCCCAGGAGGGCCTGATGCATAGCGGTTACACAGCAAATGCATACAAGTGAGGAGGGTGGGGCAGTGGACATCCCAGCCTAACGCTCATTGCATACCCTAAAACCCCTCAGAAGTACCTGGGGGGTGGGGCATGGTGGCTCCTACCTGTAATCCCAACACTTTGGGAGGCCAAGGAAGGAGGATCACTTGAGCCCAGAAGTTCGAGACCAGCCTGGGCAACATAGTGGGTCCCCATTTCTACAAAATATTAAAATATCAGCCAGGCGTGTTGACATATGCCTGTATTCCCAGCTACTTGGGAGGGTGAGGGAGGGTCGCCTGAGCCTGGGAGGTCAAGGCTGCAGTGATCTGTGATCACACAACTATATTGCAGCCCAGGTGACAGGGCGAGACCCTGTCTCAAAAAACAAAAAAGAAAAAAATTCAAACAAAAATGATACCTAGGGGACTTCACATCTGTCAGTGTTTAGGTCCTTCCCTGAGACTGAGTCAGTCTGGGGTGGTACCCCGACATCAGCATGTTGGAAAAGCCCAAAGATCATCATAACCATAAAGACAGATTTCAGAGGACTGAGAGAAATGTTAATGTTTTAATTCTACAAATGGAGGTAGGGACAGGAATTTGTTTAATAATACTTTTTTTTTTTTCCTAAAGTATCTCCTGGGTGATTCCGAGGCATGACTAGTTTGGAGGATCCTGGTTCTAGGGGGAAAATAGTGGGGCGTAGGCTGTGGGCCTCTGGAGGACAGTGACCTGCCTTACCCCCCTCAGTCCCCTAGTTCAGTGTCTGTCTCTCCCCACACAGGTCTCAGGCTCCTGTGTGTGTCAAGCAGCATGGGGTCACCCTGGGCAGGACAAAGGGAATGGTCACAGCTGCAAGGCATCCTTCACTGTCTTCTCCTCCCCACACACCCATTTTTAAGGTCCTACAATGGTGCAAGCAGAAGAAACGCTCCCCCATGAGTAAATCCACTCACCTGGGGACTCTTGTATTCCTCAACGGGCTCTGAAAGCTTCCTGGTCAATCTGAAGTTGGAAGACTCACTATAATTTATGAGGAAAGACTTACCTAGTTTGAGTGAGAGATCTGTCTGTGGGTAAATGAATTGTCACAACTTCTTAACTGGTCTTGCTCAACTGAGGTTAGTAGTACTTGCTTTTTAAACACACTCAAGGTAAATTTCTTTCAAACACAGGGGTCGAAATGCAAGTCAGATGGCAAAGTTTTACTGTGTGTGACACCAAGGTACGTGGTGACAAAGAGAAGATAAAACAGTAGTGGGTACTTCTCTGGAAGGGCGAATCCAGACTTCTGTCCCTAAACCCCTTCTCCCAAAGCCAGAACTCTATAAGCACTTTGGATGTGCCCTCAAAGCCAGACAAACTAGTCAAGACCTGGAGAGGCTCTGGGACAACTGAGACTGTCCAGCTGGGGACTGAGTCTGAGAGCAGCAACGCACTGTGTCCAGACTAGGAGGATTCAGTTCTATTTAAAAATGTGGCTGGGCGTGGTGGCTCATGGCTGTAATGCTGGCACTTTGGGAGGCCAAGGCGGGCGGATCACGAGGTCAAGAGATCGAGACCATTCTGGCCAACATGGTGAAATCCCGTCTCTACTAAAAATACAAAAATTAGCTGGGTGTGGTGGCGTGCACCTGCAGTCCCAGCTACTCAGGAGGCTGAGGCAAGAGAATCGCTTGAACCCAGGAGGCGGAGGTTGCAGCAAGCCAAGATCGTGCCATTGCACTCCAGCCTGGGTGACAGGGCAAGACTCAGTCTCAAAAAAAAAAATGTAAATGCAAAAATCCAACAAGAACCACTATGATTTGCAGGGCAGCTGTGCAGTGTCCACCAGGTTGAGAGCGCACCATGGTCAGCACTGACCAGTCTCCAATTTCTGGAGTATGTGCTGCCATGGCTTACACTGTCCACAAAGAGGACTTCACAGCAAAGTGACTCATTTTCATGATTTTCTAAGGCTACTCTATCCAACACAGTAGAGCCACTGGATATGTGTGACTTTTTAAGTTTAAATTTTAATTAAAATTAAATAAGATAAAGAAATTCAGTTTCTCAGTCACACTGGCCACATTTCAAGTGCTCAGCAGCTAAAAGTGGCTAGTGGCACTCACTGGAGAGCAGAGATATAGAATGTTTTCTTCACTGCAGAAGGCGAAGAAAATTCCATTGTGCAAAAAACTCCATTGGACAATGCTGTTCCAGATACAGGCTCTATAAGGAACCTTGTCAGCCTCATGTTTAGATCTAGAAAAATTAAGAATATTTAGTAATTGTGGCCACCATTAGTGGCATCCCTTGGCTATTACCAAAAAAAAGAAAAGAAAAGAAGTGAAGGAGGAGGAGGAGGAGGAAGAAAGAGGAGGAAGAGGAAGAAGAAAAGAAAAAGAAAGAAAGACAGAAAGAAAGAAGGAAAGAAAGAAAAAGAAAGAAAAAGAAAGAAAAAAAGAAAAAGAAAGAAGAAAGAAAGAAAGAAAGAAAGAAAGAAAGAAAGAAAGAAAAAGAAAGGAGCTGCTTGAATATAACAGATTTTCCTGCATTTACTAATATCTCCAAAGAAAAAGAAACAGCAGCCCAACATCCCAGCTCTATAAATACTGGGCTAAGGAACATCTCCTAAGGGGTTTAATGAAGGCTAGAGCTTTCAAGATGTAGCTAGAGCTTCTGCTGAGCTTAAATTTCATGCTCCCAAAAATTATTTCCAGGGATTATATTAGAGTGAGAGAGTCTGACAATGCGGCTCTGTAGTAGGTGTCATATTTTTAAGCTTTATTTTGAATTCTGCAATCTTTTGTTTTTAATAAGAGAGAAATGGTTTTGAAGAACTTGTGAAAAAGCACAAGTGTCTGCAGTGGTATAACAAGAACATACCAACAAAATGGTAAGTATGAAAAGAGTGTAGCTACCTTAATGGAAAATAACACTGGCTATTCAAATCCTCGGGGACAGAATTCATAGAATGGGCACCCCCTCTGCTTGGATGAAACAAAATCAGGTCCGTTAGACACTGGGTTTGCATGTCCAGTTGTCACATGTCAGTGTGACCAAAGCACAATCTGAAGTGGGCCAAGACCACAGTAAGGTGGAGAAAGAAATTGAACTGGAAAATAGGATCAACTGTTTCCACTGGATTTTCTGATTTTTAAAAATCAGAATTTCACTCCTTCAAATGTACTCACATGCACACCCCAAAACTAAAACCAACAAAAAACTACCACCCATTACTTTTCCACCAAATTCCTACACAATCATGGCGGATCTGCCTATCATTAAGAAAATAACTTTTGCCACAGCATGTATATCAAACAAAAACTAAGCAGGGGAAATAGTCAAGCCTGTCTTCTTTAATGTCATAGGGCATGAGATCACATCTAAGTATTGCTTTTCTAGTGAAACAAGAATGGTTTAGGCTCATTTGAAATGGCATATACATTTAAGTACAGTTAAATATAACATTTCAATATACTTGGGATAAGTATGTTATACTTATATATGTATATATGTAATATGTATATTAATATAATCAATAAACATAACCTAATAAGTAACCTGGCTGGCCATAACCCCTAAGTTATTCTCCTCTTTTAGAGGATATATATTCTTAAAAGGCACATGGAGGTGCACTAAAGGTTTTTTCTGAGTTATAATATTTCCCTTAGTGAAACTAACTTAATATAACAGGGCGTAAGCAAATCATCTTGTTGATTTTGCCTTAGCAACAATTAAACCTGAATATAAACTTTATATTAAATATAAAGCTAAACTATTAAAAGTAATATATACCAAATTACTACTTTGCTAATAACTGAATTAGTTCATTGCAATTTTTCTTTACCCAGATGTTTTTCATTAAAGTGAAAAACAACACAATTTTTTAAAAGCCTATTATCCTTAATCCATGGCATCACCTAGTTCTTATTTAAATCACTGTAGGAAGAAAAAGTAGTTCCACTGCTGTGCTTGTATTAAATGAACATAACTTTAAATACGCCGTATCTAATGGAAGAGAGCTCTGACTCTTTGGTTTCTGAAAATGACAGCAGTTGCAAAAAACCCAAAAATACAGGAGTTCCAGTCATTTCCTAGTCTTGCTTTGGCATATATAAAAATCAAACCCTAGGAATTATTTAGTGTAATGTCCATTTCTGTGAAATAGCTATAAATTCAACTCTATTTTCCAAATTTATGCTTAATATTTTTTAAGTGATTTAAAAGTCTTACCAAGAACCTGGCAAGTATATGGATGTTGTTTTTAATTCTACTGATAAGATATATATAAAAGATATGTTCTTTAACTTGTTCTATTTGTCTTTAAATATTCTCACTGTAAGGGCTGGGCATAGTGGCTCATGCCTGTAATCCCAGCCAAGGCGAATGGATCGCCTGAGGCCAGGAGTTCGAGGCCAGAAGTTTGAGCCCAGCCTGATCAACATGGCAAAACCCCATCTCTACTAAAAATACAAAAATTAGCTGGCCTGGTGGCACATGCCTGTAGTCCCAGCTACTCAGGAGGCTGAGGCACGAGAATTGCTTGAACCCAAGAGGCGGAGGTTGCAGTGAGCCAAGATCACACCACTGAACTCCAGCCGGGGCGACAGAACGAGACTCTGTCTCCAGGAAAAAAAAAAAAAAAATTCTCACTCTAAGATATTAAGGACTGGTGAGAAGGCAATCTATTAAAACTGAGTATTTATATTACCAAGCTGGATATGGTATTTCCAAAAGATGTTAATATCTTTTCAACAGAAAATAGTTCATGTAACTTCTTAGTTCATATTACTCTTTCTCCTTTCAGTTAATCAAAATAAATTAGTAAAACTATTCAAAATTTAAGACAACAGCAAGGCCTATAAATGCAGTTTTCAGTTTCAAATTTCTCTGGAAATTTTTTTCTTTCCAATTTTTTTTCCCTGGGATTTAATTTTTCCCATTTATTGGTGACATCCAATAAGTCCCAGTTTTAACATTTGCAGACATACATTTCTCTGTAGGTTAAAATTAATGAAGCATATTCAAACAGCTAATTCCTGAGTTTAAAGTTCTTGTATCACCTAGCTTCTGCTTAAATCTCAAAAGCATAATTTCCCAAGCTTAAGCTATCAAATTTGATTGCCTCTTCGTGCAAAAAGCCACATACTACAAATAGTTTCTAATTGGTACAGAACTATTGGTACATATATAAGGAAATATATGGATATAAGATTTTACTTCTAGAAGATATTACTAAAATACATAACACTCGTGTAATTATATATTGTTAAACCTCCGCAACTGGTTAGTTCTCAGATAATCCCATTTCTCAGCATATTTACATTCTCTGTGACTGCTAATCAAAAACCTTAAAAAGCAAATTGGAAGCATTTCAGTAAAATAGATGAAAATGGCAAAAAATCTTGCTATGGAAAAACAGTATGTATGATCAGGGCTTGATGTCATGTCTTTTATATCTTAATAATGTCACTTGTCCTATTTTGCATCTGTAGTAAGCAGATTCCTCTGGCTATCATATTTGACCTGAGGCTAAAAAAGTGAAAACTCTGACATAAAACAGTTTTTAAAATCTTGAGATATTGTACAAGGACTGAAGGAGATGTTTGTCCAGGGTACCATTATTATTAATTTTTTTGACTATAAAAAAAAAGAAAATTAGAACCCTGTTAGCAAAGAGCCAGTTGATTTCATTCATTTACAGGAGATGAAGAATTCCTGATGGAAGTTGAGTTGCACCCCACTTAGCAGACTGGGAAAAACGTGATGTACCCCACACTGTCCTGGCATGAAGCAGGGTTACAGCTAATATGATAGATACCCCCATGTTTCCAAACAATCAGCCACAACGAAGTCGGCTATCAAGTCAGCTGTATAAAGTAACCCAAAATATCACTTTCCCAGACATATCTACCGTCATAATGACTGCTGTATCAGGAAAATTGATTTTAAAGAATTACATATAAAACTTTAAAAGAGAAATTCCTTATCATTCAATGGGAAACTTAAAAAAAGAAAAAAAGATTTGGCTTTCCTAACGCATGGCTACTCCTCTGCTCAGTTGTTCTTAAAAATAATTTATGTAAAGCAGACTTTTCTCTAAATATACTGTGCTCTCCCATATACACACTGAAAATGATATTTGCATACAGTGAGTGTATGCACTGATACACACATGGTAAAAATTTAAAAAATATGGACTGCATAAATCAGTAGCTGATTTTAAATACACACCAACTTAAACAGATTTGTTTGCAATTTCTGAATTTCTCAGGTAGAAAAGCTCTTTCTTGCTGGCTGTAGTTCTAGAAGATGCTTATACTGTATAGAGTGTACAAAAATGCTTCCCACATAAACAAAGAAAGTTTCCAGGATCTTGGTATTCTAACCTTGCCTTTGCTATTAAACACCCACCAGATGAATATGATGGAGACGAGCAAAATCAGTCTGTCATGCTACAGTAAACATGGTATTTTGTGTGCGGCCCAAGACTTTTTTTTTCTCATGAATATAAGTCACCTGCCATTTATTATGAGATTTTTCCCCGATTGACACCCCATTATGTATATTCAGTCAAGCTCAAATGAGATTTCAAGTGATCAATATACTATCTGCGCCAAAAGTCTATCAGCAGCTCTAGCAATAAACTCTGCAGAGAAGCAAAAATGGAAGTGATATTTAGTGAACTGAATTACATGAAAATCTATGTTTTGGGAAAGGGAGCACAGACAGGAAGGCAGAAAAACAAGGGATAAGAGAAGGTAGAAGAGATATTTTTCCTAATAAAAATCAGCTTTCTATAGCCTGACCACTGATGAAATGCATCGAATGCCTAAGAAGTTCTCAAAAATATCTCAAATCACATGTTGAGATTTCTAAAGAGGTAGGGAGGGGTCCAAATCAGCACTAGGTTCCTTTCAGAGACTGAGAGTTCACTCTTTAAACAGCCATACTTGGAAGTACTTGATATCCTTCAAATGGAAAAGGTGGATCCAGCCCTGGGAAATCTGTAAAATCCCTAACCATTCAAACTCTGTGTGAAACAGCAATGGCTTCCCGTACACTTTAACACTTTCCATTTTATAATTTACGTGTACCAGATCCTAACAGCCTAAACGTCATCAGCTGGGTTATAGCATTTTGATTAACGTACATTCGGTAAGAAAGGTAGCTTGACAGTAGCCATAGGATTTCATCGGGCCACCCCCCACCCCAAAAACAAAACAAAACAAAACAAAACAAAAACCTCTGTTTCTGGGCCTGGATGTTTCTACATATCAGAAGCCATCTGCTTGAACCAAGAGAAGATTAGAACAGGCAGGGCCACACAGAAACGTATGACATCTGGGGAAGTGTCAATTCAGCATTACCCAAGCACCAAAGGTTCGTATTCTATTACCATGAAAATAACATGGGGGCAGTGGGGGTGCACAGGAATCAATGGCTGTGATTGCAGTCATATAAAGTTATGCTGCTGGGTAGTGAATAAACGTTCATCTAGGTTAGGCTCCCCCCACCCCCTACTCAAGGGTATAGCACTTCCTTCTAGATTCTTATTTATGAAGCTAGAGTCCTTAGGCAGAAGGAATGAAAAATAGGAAGAACTGCTCTGCACAGATGTTCAGAATTATTAATATTTAATTATTTAGTTTACTGAACTTACATTTTGAACCACTCTCAGGCAGAAGAGAAGAGTCACTATCCATTGTGATCAAAAGAACACCTGTAAGACCAAAATGTTTAGATCATTAGCAGTTGGGATAGTTTCCAAATTCCATGAGAAGCAAGGAGGATACATAGTAATTTGAACAAGGGAGAGATGCATCTTGAGCTACATCTGAACGAAAACTATTTCTCATGATATTTTTAGTTCTAAAATCCAGAGCTGAAATACTTTTAAATTAGCAACCTAAACGATGACACACTGCAAAAAAAAAAAAAAAAAAAAAAAAAAAAATGTACTTTATCTACTTTTAAGAACTATTCATTCACTGTCTTTTCTTGATGGTCCTACCTACTAAGTAAGATCCTAAGCACAACAGATTCAGAGCCCACTTCTACCAGGAAAGAAACAAATAAAAACCCTCCCCACTACCCAAGTTAAGTCTTCTCAAAATGAAGAGTTTAACAGTCCTAAATAGCAATTCCAGTTTGTGTAGGATGCATGTGTATGTGGCACAATGCGCACACCAAAGCACATTTCTTGAATTTTGCAGAGATGCATGTACAAGTGTTTAATGTCACATAATTTTAAAGGAGCAGCAATTTCCAAATGGTTTTTCTAAAGGATACTCTCTATTGCCTCAATCCAACCCTCACACACCCAAAAATATCATTAATTTTTAAATACTTAACGCCAAAGATATTACTAACTACAATTCCCTGTAATAAGTGGATGAGCAAACAATTTTCTTCAAATTCTTCAAAAAAAAAAACTCATAACCTGATATCCTCAAGTGGAAAAAGAGAGATTCTTGGAGGCCAACTCTACAGGAATTCAGACATCAGATGCCCCTTTCCATGCTACAAGGCTCTGCAGTGTCCTAAAAAGGCTTAGTGTACATTTGTGGTAAAACATGAGACTTGTTGCCATTTGTGGGCTAAAGCAGCCCAGGTGTTTATTCAGCCAGCAAATTTACTTTGCTGGGAGGTGGGTGTTCTGGAATGCTCGTCATACAATGATGTGTGCATATTTACTGTCGAACTCAAGGAGGTACTGTTCTGGAACCTTCTCATACTGCAATTAACTGTGCAAGTGGGTAGAGCTAATTTCCATAAAATAATCACTGCATATCTTAGGAAAAGACCCTCTTTGAAAGCAGGCTGCTAGGGCGCCGGCATCTGAGCAAAGCACCAGAGACGTCTGACCAATTTGATTCTTGAAGCCGCCGCTGAAATCTATTTTGATTTTAGAATGACCCGCAATCACAGACAATTTACCTGATTGTGTGTTCCTGGTGACTCTCAAAGCCTTCTAGGTGCTAGGATTTGTAGGTATAGTTTGTGGATTTAAAAGAGGGGAAAGATAATATAAGAAAAAAAAAAAACACAGGAAAAAAGCAGAAGGTAGTTTCAGCAGCTTAAGATTATGAGTTCAGAACAGAACCTGCAATTTTCACCTAGAGTATCACGTTAGACTGGAAGAACTGTTGAGATACTGCTAACTGGTCACGACATTCAGGTCTGAAAATGCATTAATTCACTCTAGCCATCAAGGGAAAACGTATCATTTTCTCTTCCGTAAATGATATATTTACCTTAAAAAATGGAAGGTAACCAAGTAGGGATCCTTTTGAAAATTTTGTCTTAAAAAAAGGAAAGAAAAAAAGTCTTTGTATCTCTTTTCTTCTTGGTCAGACCCGCTATCTGCAGTAGACGATGCGGATAAACCTAACTATAATAATGAACTGTAAATTTATAATGCCTCTTTCTTCAGAGCAGCTCAAAACATTTTCTTTCCCATAGATTTGAAACAAGATTTGAAATCTCCTTGTCTTGTTGTAGAAATGGCCTTCCTCTAATCTGATGTGAAATGACTGGGTTCTGTTTGAAGGACCAAGCAGTAAAAGGTAAGCTCATTCATCTGTTTCTTGCTCCAATTATGCATCTCTGTTCAAACTGAGATGCCAGGTGCTGGTCTATCGCACAAGCTGATTTATTCCATTCACTGCCTAAAAAGGAGCCCCCCTCTTTCTAAAAAACTTAGTTTTATAAAAAAAATTTTATTAAGAATATCGAAGCAAAAATAACTCTTTTTGGCTTCACTGTATGCTTTAATATGTGTCCTTCCAATCAATTATGGCTTTTAGCCCTAGGATCTTAAAATTTGGAAGCTCTCGATCTGTATCCCTTTTCTAACAAAATCAACCTCTCAAAGTTAAATGGACATTTTAACAAGCTGACAGGTGAAAAGAAATAACACTGTGCTTTTTAAGACCTGCCTATGGATTAAAGCCTACCCTCCAAATTTGTTAGTAATTATTTAAATAAAGGTAATGCCCAAGCCTAGAAGCTGCCTCTCCCTGCACCACTGCAATTGTCGAATTCCTTTCCTGGTCTTTCATGCAGATGCTCAGAAACAGGGTGGGGCTCCCTGGTCTTGCATGCAATGTTAAGGGAGTCTGTGCTGTAAAGAAAATTCAATTAATCGTTCATATTCCAGTTTTTCAGTATCCTTCAAAAATACCTTTGAAATAATCATGTTGCTAAGAGTCCCACCGTTTCTCATGTTAAGATTCAGATTAAAACCTTTGTGTCAAATCAGATGTGTTTTGCACAAGCATGGATGACAGGTATTGAAATAAAGGTGACAAGTCAAGGAATCAGGGAGAAACCTCCTGGAAGAAGAGATGTGAGAAAGAGAGACTAGCTTCTCTATTATGGATGTCTCCGATGATGCTTTTTCAAAAATCTTTTTTTTTTTTTAACAAGTACAGTTCTTTAGAGTCTACAAGTAAAATCCAATCTTGCTAAGCCATGCTTGTTCCCTTATGAGTCAGCAGGCCACTGAGCATTTCAGACAGTGCAGCCAAGAGTAAATGGGCAAAGGCTGTCGCTGGACACACCCATTTTACTAATCCTGACTCTGATTTTTTTTTAAATTCATCTTTATGTTACATGGTGTCTGACCTCAGAACTTGCATCAAAAACTGCACCTCCACCAAGGACTCAGGTTCCAATGTGGAAGGACTACCCTCCAGCTCCTTCACTGAGTGCAATCGGATAAGGGCTTATGTCTTCCTCAATGGGCAACTCCTGTTTCATTTTCTCTCCAGTCTGCATGTTATCAGCTTGACATTCCCTTCAGTGGCATATGACAAATCAAATTGATCAAATTGGCCATCACTGCATTCATCAGAGGAGGATTTTTTTATTTCCCAGGACTGATACCTCCACTCCCTTTACAATCATGAACACATCAGAAATAAATAAATAAATAAAATAAAAATAAAAATCCCATGTCTTGGGTTTTTTTCCGGGGTTTTGTTTGTTTTGAGGGTAGTGAAAGTGGTAAGAAGTAATGAATGGATACAACTAATCATAAAGAAAGAAAAGCAACTGATAGTCATAAAGCCAAGGGCACAGTCTTAAAATATGATTTTAAATACCTAGTGCCTACATCTTAAATTTAAAGCATTGATCCAAAAATGCAGATATTATTAGCTTTGGAAAACTTTACCAAAACATTAAGTAAATTATTTTCCTAATCTTTTTGCATGATTCAGCACTTTTAATACTAATTTCTGTCAAGAAGTTATAAGGTAAAAGGAATCTTTTCTGGGTGCCTTAAAACCTCACACACTCTGTACTGAACCATCTGCACTCCTTCTACTACAGGGTCATATCAGAAATACTGGGGGTCACTGGTTTGCTGCCATAACATCTAGTGACCACCTCAGAGCGGCTCAATTTCACTCTCCGGAATCTAAGTGGCTCTTGGGGACAGAATGACCCGTCGCAGAGGCTTCTCCCCATCTCGAGCTGACCCTTACCCAGGAGCCACACACATATGCGTGCACACTCGACTGCACCTGTCTCACCCCATCAGCAGCAGCTACAAGCTCCCACCTGATGTGTCTTTTCAACCTTTGTCAAGTATCTCAAGGCAAGAATGTCCTGAAGCCCTTCCCCCAAATAGAAGCTTTGGTCCGAGCCCCCAACCCGCAGGAGCATCAAGAGGAGGCCAAGGAGACAGACACCGCAGACTCTCTCTGCAAACTTGACCTGGGCATCGCACGGACTCGCGTTCGCATCCGAAGACCCCACACGTCCCCCGCACTGTCCCCACAGCATCCCACGCCCGCGGTGCACGCTCACCTGCCGGTAGACGAGCCACACGCCTCGGCGGTCCAGACTTCCGTGTCGACCTCCGTGGGCGAGCCTACGCGCTGGGTGCCCGGCGCGCCCTCAGGAGTGGCTGGGACCGCGGGCTGGCGCCGGGCAGGGCGGTGGGACGCCTGGAGCCGGCGGGAGGAGCACGCCCAGGCGGGTCCGCGCCGAGCCCGAGCGAGCGGGCGAGCCGGGCGGGAGGGGCCATTTGTAACCGAGCAGACGCTACCACCGCCCCTTACTCGCGGGGGGCGGGGGCGGGCGGTCAGGTGACGGCGGCCCACCCTCCGCCGCCGAGCCGGGTGGTTCCTGCCCGGGAGGAGCCCCCTGGCGCGCTCTGATTGGAACTCCCGCCGCAGTGGCGGGGGAGGGGGGACACGTGACCGCCCGGCCAGGCGGCCCGGCGCGCCCCATTCGCGATGGGCACCCCATCTTCCTCCTGGAAAAGCCGGGGGACACAGAGAAGGCGGAGGAGCACGCGGGGTGCAGGAGAGCCTACCAGCCCCTTTAGCCGCAGTGCTGGTGATTCCGGCCGCTGAACCCGGAGAGGAAAGGCTCCCACGCGGCCAGCCGGCCTTGACTGTCCTCTCGCCCTGCCCTTGGCCGCAGTACCCTCCCCTCGGCTGCAGTAACCGCCCCCTACACCTCCAGGCAAGGGCACGCTCAGTGTAGACCACTGCCACTTCATAGATGCCAGTGCCACTTAAGAGTGGTGTTGGGTTTTTTTTTTTTCCTTTCCTCCTCTCTGCACACCAGCACATTGTACCCGAGAGAAACTCACGGCGGTGCACTGCAGACACCGCCCAGCTCCAGGGCCCGAAGACCCTCCGACCAGGCCCCGGGATGCCTGAGGTCTCCCAGGTCATTACGTGGAGGAACTCAGGCCTGCTCCCTGCGCAGGAGGAGGAGGCGTCGCGGGAGCTGCAGTCCCCGATCCTTCCCAGGAAGCCGGCCGGGTGGAAGGGGAGAGGGCCGTTATCGTGGTGCGAATCCAACTCGCAGCCTCTGGGAGCACGTTGCTAATAAAGGTCAAATTAAAACAACTAAGTGGTGCCGGCAGGGACGCGCCGCATGGTCAGGAGAAGCCCGGCTATTAATCATCCATAAGGAGCATTGCTCTTCTGGTGTGGGAGAATGGGGCTGTGCGACAGCCCCCCGGAGTTGCGCTCTGCTCTGAACCCTAAGCTCCCCCAGAGCAAGTGGATTGCGCAGCCTATTACCCCACCTCCCCACGGCCCCCTCTTGGGGCGGCACCACCCTAGATGGCAGGAATTCGGAGAAAATGCGGTGTCACGTCCGCCGCTATGCCCGCACACGCGTCTGCGCCAACTCCAGCAACACGTGGGGACCGTGAATCTGGGCGTCTGCTCTCCACTTAGGTGGTTATGTGGGTATACTTATATGATTACTGATTAAAACCAAATTGGACGGAGAAGTCTGTTTCTACACTGGATTCTTTCAAACTTCTGTCCAAGGGAGTTTTGCGCTCGATTTGGGCGGGGACGCAGTTTTCAGCCAAGACCGCCGCAGCGCTCAGCAGAGCCCGGGGACCGGTGGTGGTGGTGGCGGGATGGGGAGGAACAGAGGCCCTTGATTCTTTGGTACTCCACTTTCTTTCCTTATTTAGACCAGTCGGGCAACACGTCCCTCGCCCAAGATGGCCTTTCCAACTGGAACGTGACTCAGACAATGTGGAAGCCAGGGGTCCTTGACCCATCGTACCTGGGCTTCGCTGGGCATAGGACAAGGGTTGGGCAGGTTTACCTGGAAAGGGAGTTTATTCGTAAAGCTTCGGGCATAAACGCTAGATAGCGAAACTTTGAGGAAGCTCAAAGTTTACCTATTGTAAATTGGTGGGGGGTGGGGGAGCATCTTATGTAAAAAGGAACGGCCCTATTAAATTAGTAAGTATCTTATTTTCGTAGTGGACGTCTTGCTGCCCTTGGTCCTCCCCTCCCCCACCTCATTTCTCCAAACCACCAAGGTTGGAGAAATCTCATAAACAAAGTATAAGTCCGTGGGGGGGGGGGGGGGGGGTTACTTGGTGTTTTAAAAAAACAACAACAACAAACGACCTTTGTAATAAGAAAGGTGGGTACGTTTTCATTTCTAGGTCTTAATCTTAACGTTACGGCCACGTTAAAATTGAAGTTGATTGAGACAAGAGAATCCCAGAGCACAGCACGCAGACAGACAATTTCACAATTAAAAAATATGTACTTCCTTCTCCCCGCTCTCGTCACCTCCCCCTTTCCCCGCCATTACCTACTCCCGTTTGGACTAGGGGCTGGGAGAGGAGGAGGATGTAGTCCCTCCGAGTGCACAAGGGAGGCGGCGGGGCCACTTGTTGCTGCACCGCCAGAAGAGCTAATTCCGAGCGGATCTGGCAGGGAGTTAAAACCCTTCTCCTGGATGCGACGCCCCAGAGACCGAGGCAGACGGCGAGAACAGATTCAGCGCCTCGAGATGTGCTTTCCAATTTGAACTCTGGACCATCTTTGCTTGAAATGCTTTGTCTTGCACGTCTGGGAATTACTCTGTGCGATTAAACGCGTGACACACACACGCATACGCGGGGTCGCCCCGCAGGGGGGAGGGTGCGTGGCACAGGAGCCTCGGACTTTCAGGGGCTCTGCACTTGGGGAGTGGTGCGAGGGGGACCGCCTCGGTGTGGCTGCTGACGTGAGACAGGTAACTCGGAAAGGTCTTCCTCCGGCTGCCTTGGTAATGGGAAGCTGTGGGCAAAGGTGCAGGGGCGGTCCCGGAGCGCACACGGCGCAGTCCGCAGTGAAGGGCAGTGGTGTGGTGGGGCAGAGAGACTAGACAAGGGCAGGCGGGTTTTGCCGATTCCGAGTTCATCCGTCTACGGGGTCACGTTCTGTTGAGAAAATGCGCGACACCCGGTAGGGAGAGAGTGACACTGACCAAGTGTCCCTGGAGGGCCGAGCCGTTTGCCCTCGGGAGGGGGTCGCGAGGCCCGTCAGCACTCGGCTCCCGCGGAAGCTGTGCTAGCGCGGCAGTCTCGCCGGCGCCTGGCCCCACCAGCCTTTGCCTTCAGCGTCCTCCGGTGGCATCGTCCGAGATTTGCGGAGCAGAAGCCGAGGACACGAGCAACTCGCTGTGGGCTTGAAGTGACCACGCCTTAGGGCTGTGAAAAGCTGCCCCGTGGTGACTTGGGTACGAGGAGGTTAATAAAGTGCAGAATTAGTCTTGATTTTTACCTAAAATGAAGCTGGTAGTACTGAGCGCTTAAATGACTCCGCTAGGACCCTGGAGGTTGTGGGAGCGGGGTGGGAGAGGGTAAATGCTAGGTTTAGGACAACACAGGATATGTCTAATTTAAGGAAGCTCCCCTTCTCGGGCCACGTTCTCTGTAGCTCTACCCAACTGGAATCGCCTCTGCACCCGGGGTCATCTCCGGCATTATGACACCCAGCGTTGCCCTCTAAACTCCAAGTCCCCGCGGCCACATCCTTCCGTGCCTGCTGGCACCAGCAAGAGTCTCTGCCTGCCCTTTCTCCTTTACATGGACCCTTTTCCTTTCACCCCTAGACCGCAGTGCGACTGGCAGGCACCTCTTCGCCCCCTCCGCGCCCCGCGCCGACGGTGGGAACAGCAGCGACAGCGCGACCGCAGCCTTCTAGTGCCTTCGCCCCCTCCCCCGCGGCCACACCTCACCCACCTCACCCGCCAAACCCCGCACTCCGCCGCCGTCCCTCCCCTGCGCGCTCCCGGCGCCAACCCAGCCAGAAGCGGGTGGAAGCCCGGGTCCATGTGCAGGTGTCCTTGTGCGGGAGTAGGGGAGCTCATAGGTCAGCGATCCGCGACCCTACCCTGCCCTCAGCTCGGGGTCCACCCACGTGGAACCCGCCGGCCCCCGCGGGTACCCAACACCAGTCTCCCGGGCTCGGCTGCCGTTCCCTCGAAGCCCCAGGGCGCTCCCACGGGTCAATGACCACCTCAGTCTTTCCTCAAGCCAGGGTTTGGCCAGTTGGGAAACCTCTTCGTCCCCTGCCCACATCCCCTGGCATCTCCGGACAAAGCCACTCGGCTTCCCGCCCCGGCATCGGGAAAGATGCGCGTGGAGAGCGCCTCCAGGCGCTGGGCCACGGTCCCGGTCCCTGGCCGTGCCTGCTGTGTGCGGAGCTGGGGCGGCGGGTACCGCCTGCGCGGGGCAGGCACCCCACTCGCCGTTCCTCCAGCACGGGCACTCGACCGCCGCGGCGCTGCAGGAAGGAGGCCCCGCCGCGCCGGTTCCTCCACACCCACGTGCCCCTCGTGTGCGCGCCCCCGGCCTGCAGATGCTACAAGGCTGGCGCCGCCTGGATTTCCGGGCGGCCCCACCCTCCGCGGCCGCTACGCCTCGCTCCCTGCATTCAGTCTCCTTGGCGTCTCCGCTGCAGCATCCAAGACCAGGCGCCGCCTCTGCTAGCCGTGCTGCCCAGCACGCCTGAGGGCCGCTGCCGGCAGGCCTCACCTCCCGCCCGGGTCCCCCACTCACCTTTCCTTCTGGACGGTGGGGTTCAAGCTCTGCACTGGGGCTGTTAAGCCACCGCCCACGACCTCCTGTAGGGTGCAGCGGGAGGGCGTTCCCGAGGCGCCAGCACCCTCTTTAAGCCCTTCCCCGGCTTTCTGCACAGCACCTTCATCAGCCGGCCACCCTCCCTGACACTAAGGGAGGCATAGCTCTCGCTCTTGCTCCCGCTTTCTCTCGCTCGTTCTCACACCAACGCCCACCTATACACACACCTGAACACCGAGAGGCCAGGACCGGTATCTCTCTCTTGAACTCTCAATTCCAGCACTGCAGAGCACATCACGTCGCTGACAGCAAAGTGAGGAGGTGGCACCTGTGAACTAGGTGGTTTCTTAAAATTTAAGAAATAGCCTTCTGCCCCTTGGCCTTTGCGTTCTTAAGACGATTGTACTTTATTTTTTAAAAATATATAGCCCAGTAGTATTCACACATTAAAAAATACATATTTAAATGTTTCGAGATAATCATAGATTCACGTGCAGTTGTAAAAAATAATAATAATACAGAGAGATCCTGTGCACCCACCCTTTACCCAGTTTCCCCCAGTGGTAAAAATTCCCAAAACTATGGTGCAATATCACAACCAGGATACTAGCACTGGTATAACCCCACCCATCTTACTGAGATTTCCCGTTTTACTTGTACTCATTTCTCTCTCCTTCAACCTCTGTGTGTGTGTAAATAATTCTATACAATTTTATCACATGTGTAAATTCAACTACCACCACAGTCAAGATGCAGAACCGAACTTATCACAGGATCCCTCTTTTTGCCTTTTATAACCACACCTACCTGGAGGGTGAGTGGCGATCCCTGACTACTACTAATCTACTTTCAATTTTTTCCAATTTTGTCGTTTCAAGAATGTTGTACAGATGAAATTATACAATAATGTAGTATTTTCGGATTGTCTTTATTGACTCAGCATAATTCCCCTGAAATGTATCCAATTATTATGTATTATCAATAGATGATTCTTTTTTATTAGTGGGTAGTATTCATGGGATGGAGGTACCACGACGGTAGATTATTTAACCATTCTCTCATTGAAGGACTTATTGCAGGGTTGTTTCCAGATTTTGGCCGTTGCAAATAAAGCTGCTGTGAACATTCATGTACAGGTTTCTGTGGGAACATAAGTTTTCTCTGGGATAAACGCTCAAGAGGGCAATTGCTGGGTTATGTGGTAAGCACACGTTTAGTTTTGTAAGAACTACCATACTCTTTTCCAGATTGCCTGTGCCATTTTACAATCCCAGCAGCAATGTAGGTGTGATCAATTTTTTTCTTCACACTTGGCAGCATTTGGTGGTGTCACTGTTTTTTTATTTTAGTCATTCGGATAGGTAAGTAATATCTCATTGTGGTTTTAAATTGCATTTTTCTGGTGGCTAAGGTAATGATAGTGAGCATCTTTTTATGTGCTGATTTGCCATCTGTATACCCTTTTCTTTTTCTTTATTTCTTTTCTCATGGAATGTCTGTTCCCATGTTTTGCCCATATTCTAATTAGAGGTTTGTTTTTATTTTTTACTGTGGCATTTTGAAGAGTTCTTTATATATTCTAGGAAAAGTCCTTTGTGAGATACATGGTTTGCAAATATTTTGTTCCAGTCTCTAGCTTGTCTTTTCATTCTCTTCACATGGGCTTTTGCAGAGGAAAACTTTCCAATTTTGAGGAGACTCAATTTACCAATCTTTCATTTTATGGATCTTGCTTTTGGTGTCAAGTGTAAGAACTTTCGCCCAGCCCTAAATCTGGAAGATTTTCTTTAATTTTAAAAGTGAGTTTAGTTTTACATTTTACATTGTATCTGTGATCCATTTTCAGTTAATTTGTTTCTGAGATGTGAAGTTTAGGTTGAGGTACAGTTTTTGCCTGTGGATACCCAATTGTTATAGCATCATTTGTTGGAAAGGTTCTTTTTCCTCCATTGAATTGCTTTTGCAGATTTATTTTTTAAAATTCCAGCAGGCATATTTGTGTGGGTCTGTTTTCGTGTTGATCTTGTATACTTCAACCATGCTGAATTTGCTTCTCACTTCTAGGAATTTTCTGAGTAAACAATCATGTTATCTGCAAATAGTGACAGTTTTATTTCTTCCTTTCCAATCTGTATGTCTTTCATTATTTTTTTCTTGTCTTATTTCTTTTTTTTTTTTTTTTTTTTTTTTTTTTTTTTTTTTTTTTTGAGACGGAGTCTCGCTCTGTCGCCCAGGCTGGAGTGCAGTGGCGCGATCTCGGCTCACTGCAAGCTCCGCCTCCCAGGTTCACGCCATTCTCCTGCCTCAGCCTCCCAAGTAGCTGGGACTACAGGCGCCCGCTACCACAAAGTGGCTAGAACTTTCAATACCATGTTGGATGAGTGGTGAGAGCAGATATATTTGCCTTATTCCTGATCTTAGCAGAAAAGCAATCAGTCTTTCACCTTTAAATATATTAGCTGCAGGGTTTTTATAGATTTTTTAAAAAATCTAATTGAGGTAATTTCATCTATTCCTAACTTGCTTTGAGTTTTTATAATAAATGTGTGTAAGATTTTGTCATATGCTTTTTCTGCATGAAATGACATGATCCTATGATATGGTGAATTGATATCACTGATTGATTTTCAAATGTTGAGCCAGCCTTGCCCACCTGGAATAAATCCCACTTGGTTATGATATAGAATTCTTCTTATACACACTTGGATTCAATTTTGTTAAGGATTTTTGCATTGAAGTTCATAAGAGAAATTGACATGAACTTTACTAGTTTCTTTTTTACTCTGTTTGGTTTCAGTATCAGGGCCTTATAAAATGAACTGAGAAGTGTTCCCTCCTCTTGTATATTGTGGAAGAGATTGTGTAAAATTGCTATCGATTATTTAAATGTTTGGTAGAATCCTTTAATAAAATCATTTGACCTTGGACATTTTTTAATGAGGTTATAAATTACAAATTTAATTTCTGTAATAGTTATTGGATTGTTCAGATTATCTGTTACATCTTGGTTGAGTTTTTGTAATTTATGGTTTTCAAGAAATTGGTTCAATTTTCTAAGCTTTTGTATTTATTCTAATGAGTTGAACATGAAGCTGTAGATTTCCCTTATAACGACTGCAGGACCTGTGGTGATACACCAGTTTCATTCCTGATACTGGTTATTTGTGCCTTATTTTCATCAGTTTTGTTGTTGTTGTTGTTGTTTTTGGTTTTTGTTTTTTGAGACAGGGTCTCCCTCTGTTGCCCAGGCTGGAATGCAGTGGCATAATCTTAGCACATTGCAGCCTTGACTTCCTGGGCTCACTTCAGCCTCCCAAGTAGCTGGGACTACAGGAATGCACCACCATGCCTTGCTAATTTTCATAGAGACAGGGTCTCCCTATTTTGCCCAGACTGTCTTCAACTCCTGGGCTCAAGTGATCCTCCTGCCTCTGCCTCCCAAAGTGCTGAGATTATAGGCACAAGCCACCACACCTGGCCTTACTTTTGTCAGTCTTGCTAGGGATTTATCCATTTTATTGATTTTGTTGAAGAACCAGCTTTTGGTTTCATTGATTTTTCTCTATTATATTCTTATTTTCAATTTAATTGATTTTTGCTCTCTTTATTTTTTTTCTTCCTCTTGTTGCTTTGCATTTATTTTGCTGTACATTTCTAGCTTCTTGAAATAGGAATTTACATTACTGGTTTGAGACTTTTCTTCTTTTCTAATGTATGCATCTAGTGCTATAAATTTCCCTCTTGGCACTGCTTTAACTGTGTCTCACAAATTTTGACATGGGTTTTAACTTTCATTCAGTTTTATTATATTTAAAATTTTTTCTGAGGCTTTCTCTTGGACCCTTGATTTATTTAGAAGTGTGTTGTTTACATTCCAAATGTTTGGAGATTTTTCTCTTATCTTTCTTCTGCTGATTTCTAGTTTTATTCTATTATGGCGAGAGAATACACTCTGTATGCTTCAGTTAAGTTTGCTGATTTTTTTTTAATGACCCAAGATATGGTCTGTGTTCCATGGGCTCTTGAGAAAAATGTATATTCTGCTGTTGTTGGGTGAAGTGTCCCACCTATGTCAATTAGCTCCTGTTGGTTAATGATTTTGTTGAGTTTGTCTATGTCCTGAACAATTTTCTGTGTAGTAGTTCTATTAGTTGCTAAGAGGGGAGTATTGAAATTTCCGACTATAATTATAGATTTGTCTATTTCTCCTTTCAGTTCTACACGTTTTCCTTTGTATATTTGGAGGCTCTGTGGTTTGGTGCTTACACATTTCAGATTGTTACATCTTTTTAGTAGGTTGATCTTTTTACCATTTATAATGTCCATCCTTGTCTCTAATAAATTTTTTTGCTCTGAAGTCTATTTTATCTAGCATTAGCTTTAAAAAGTACTTTAAAAAGCACTTCTGCTTTTTAAAATTAATATTTGAATGGTATGTCTTTTCCCATTCCTTCAATTTCAGTCTAACTATAATGTAGAATTTGGACATTCATGAATATTTTAAGGTGTTTTTTGCTGGTAATTGATGAAATTCCAAAATTCATTTTGTTCAATAAAAAGTTTATGGTTCCGTGATGTTGGATTTGGCAATGATTTCTTGACTATAATACTGAAAGTATAGGTAACAAAAGAATTGGACTGTATTGAAATTAAAAACTTCTGTGCATCATAGGACGCTATTAAGAGAATAAAAAGACAATCCAAAGAATAGGAGAATACATTTGTCAATCATATATGAGATAAGGAATTAATAGCCAGACTATAAAAATAGCTCTTAAAATTCAACAATAACAACAGCAACAAAAACAATATAATTTAAAATAGGCAGACACCCCAAAGCCTGGCCCAAGCAGAAAGATGCCACGCACCGTGGATTTCTGCAGAGCAAAAGGGCTAGTCCTGTTTAACCTGCTAGTACAAACAGCAGCTCTGCTCAACCTCACCCCAAGGTACTTCCCAGGCGGGGAGACACCTGCCACTATCCATTTCTATGGAGCATAGCCTCTGGACCCATCTATCTGGAGCTGTGACTTCACCTAATCTTTGAGCTCAGCCTATACCCTTGTCTAACTATGGAACTCCAACAGTGGCACCACCCAGCCAGGAAATACACCCTGTGACTGTGCCCAATCAGAAGTCATCACAGAGCTCAGCAAGCAACTCTGCCTGCTTGCAGGGCCAAGGCAGTGGTCTTGCTGGGCAGCAGAGCCAGCTCCACTCCACCTCAGAGCAAACGTAGTAGCCCAGCCAACTAGAGAACTTGGCAATAAATTTTGCCTGCCTGGGTTGTTATCAGCTAGCCCTTCCAGAATTCCAGGCTAGACTAAATAACAAAAGTCTATGCTTGCCAGAGAATACCTATAAAGGCCAAAAGAGGTGGCTGTTTCCTCAAACGCACATACACCAGTGCAAGGACACAGAATTACAAAGAATCAGAGAATCATGCCACTGTCAAAAGAAATTAATAAAGTTCCAATAATGGACCCTGAACTAATGAAGATCTATGAAATGACTGACAAAGAATTCAGAATAATCATTTTTAAGGAAGTTCAGCAAACTGTAAGAATATATAGATAGGAAATTACATGAAATTTTGACAGCAATATGTGAACAAATTGAGAAATTTGACAAAGAAATAGAAACATTAAACAAATAGAAATCCTAGGGATGAAGAATACAGTGACTGAACCAAAGAAATAAGTAGAGAGTTTCAGCAGCAGACTCAATCAAGCAGAAGAAAGAATTGGTGAGCTTGGAGAGAGAACATTTGAAATTATACATCAAAGGAGAAAAAGGAAAAAAATGAAAGGGAATAAAGAAAGCCTATGGAAATTCTGAGACACCATCCAGAGAAATAACATTTACATAATAGGAATAAAGAATGAAATGAGAGAGGAAAAGGGCCAGAAAGCATATTTAAAGAAATAATGCCTGAAAACTTCCCAAATCTGGGGAAACATGACAGCCTCCAGGTACCAGAAGTGCAGAGGTCACCAATCAAATTCAGCTAAAGAAAAATTCATCAAGACACATAATAATCAAACTGTCAAAAATCAAAGACAAAGAAAAAATTCTAAGAGAAGCAAAAGATTTTTAAAAACTTATTACATACAAGTGAGTAACAATACAATGGGCTTCTCAGCAGAAATCTTGCAGGGTAGGAGAGAGTGGGATGATACATACAAAGTGTTGAAGGGAAAACAGAACAACCTGTCAACCAATAATACTGTGCCTAGCAAATCTGTCCTTCAAAAATGAGGGAGAAATAAAAACTTCCCCAGATAAACAAAGGCTATGAGAGTTTATCATCAGCAGACCTGTCTTATAGGAATTGCTGAAGGGAGTTTTTTAATCTGATAGGAAAGGCTGCTAATTAATAATATAAAGCATATGAAACCACAAAACTCAATGACATAAGTAGTACAGAGTCATATTCAGAATACTCTAATATTCAGCCATATTCAGAATACTCTAATATTGCAATGATGGTGTATAGAGCAATTTTATTTTCAGTATGAAGGTTTTGTCTTTTAAGACAAAACCATTAAAAACAACTATAGCTAAAATAAATTTTTAAGGGACACAAATTATAAAATGATGTAAATTTTGACATCAGAAACATAAAATGAGGAATAGAAAACCAAATACTGCGTGTTCTCAATTATAAGTGGGAGCTAAATGATGAGAACACATGGACACAAAGAGGGAAACAACAGATGCTGGGGCTTACTAGTGGAAAAGGGTGGAAGGTGAGAGGAGGGAAAGGAGCAGAAAAAATAACTATTGGATACTGGTTTAGTAACTGGGTGATGAAATAATCTGTATATCAAACCCCCATGATACATGTTTACCTATATAACAAACCTATGCATGTACCCCTGAACCTAAAATAAAAGTAAAAAACAAACAGAAAAACACAAAATGGGTGGGTGAATTAAAGTGTAGAGTTGTTGAAATCAACATTAAATTGCTATCAGCTTGAAAAATTGCCTGTTAAAGATTTTTTTTTTTAAAAGCTCCATGGAAACCAAAGTAAAAATCTGTAGTACATGCACAAAACATAAAAAGGATTCAAAGCATACCACCACAGAAGCAATCAAACCACTGCAGGAAAGGAAGAATGAAAGTATCTACAAAGCAACCAGAAAAAAAATTGCAAAATGGTAGTGGTACATCCTTACCTATGAATAATTACTTTGAATGCAAAAGGATTAAAGTCTCCCATCAAAAGACTGAATTCATGACTTAATGAATAAACAAATAAGACTCAACTATATGCTGCCTACGAGAGACTCCCTGCACTTTTAAGGACACCCACAGACTGAAAGTGAAGGGATGGAAAATGATGTTCCACACAAATGCAGATGAAAAGACAGCAGGAGTAGCTATACTTTTATTATTCAAAATAGATGTTAAGTCAAAAACTTCAAAAAGAGACAAAAATGGCATTATATAATGCTAAAAGGGTCAATTCATCAAGACGATATAACAATTGTGTGTATATGCATCCAACATCTGAAGACATACAGCAAATCTTAAAGGATCTGAAGGGAGAGATAGATTGTAATGCAATAATAATAGAGAACTTTAATACCCTACTTTCAATAATGAGCAGATAATCCAGACAGAAAATTATAAGAAAACATTGGACTTGAACTACATTTAAAACCCAATGTATCTAGCAGACATATATAGAACATTCAATCCAACAGCAACAGAATGCACATTCTTCACAAGCAGGCATGGAACATTCTTCAGGATAGATCATATATTAACCCACAAAGCAAGTCAGAGAAAATTTGAAAGTATTGAAATCATATCAGATATCTTTTCTGATCACATTGATATTAAACTAGAAATCAATAATAGGAGAGATCTTGGAAAATTCACAAATATGTGAATTTTCACATAAACACATGCTCTTCAGCAACCAATAGGTGATAGAAGAAATCAAAGGGGAAATCAAAAAAATCTTGAGACAAACAAAAATGAAAACACAATATACCTAAACTTAAGGGTTGCAGCAAATCAATCCCAAGAGGGAAGTTCATAGCAATACACACCTATATCAGAAAAGAGGAAAGATCTAAAATAAACGACCTAATATTACACCTTAAGGAACTACAGAAAAAATAAAAAACTATGCCCAAAGTTAGCAGAAGGAAGTAAATAATAAAGATCAGAGCAGAAATAAATAAAATAGAGTCTAGAAAAACAACAGAAAAAAATCAACAAAACTGAGAACTGATTTTTTGAAAAGATTTTTAAAAAGTCAACAAACCCTTTATTTGACCAACTTAAAGAAAGAGAGAGAAGACCCAAAATCAGAAAGGAAAGAGGAGACATTATAACTGATACCAAGACTGAATTATGAAGAAATTTAAAATCTGAACAGACCAATACAAGTAGGGAGATTTAATCATTAATAAAACATCTTCCATCAAAGAAAGGCCCTGGACCTGATGGCTTTACAGATGAATTCTCACAAATATTTAAAGAAGAACTAATGCCAATCCTTCTCAAACTCTTCCCAAAAGATTGAAGGATAGGGAGTACTTCCAAACTCTCCAAACTCATTTTATGAGGTCAGCATGATTCTAATTACAAAGCAGGACAAAGGCATTGCAAGAAAAGAAAATTATAGGCCACTATCCCTGATGAACATAGATACAAACATCATTAAAAAAATACTAGCGGCCAGGCACAGTGGCTCACGCCTATAATCCCAGCACTTTGGGAGGCTGAAGTGGGAGGATCACAAGGTCAGGAGATCGAGACCATCCTGGCCAACATGGCAAAACCCCATCTCTACTAAAAATACAAAATATAGCTGGGGGTGGTGGCACGTGCCTGTAATCCCAGCTACTCAGGAGGCTGAGGCAGGAGAATCACTTGAATGAGGGAGTCGGAGGTTGCAGTGAGCTGAGATCACGCCACTGCACTCCAGCCTGGAGACAGAGACTCCAGCCTGGAGACAGAGACTCCAACTCAAAAACAACAACAACAACAAAAATCCAAAACAAAACAAACAAACAAACTGAATTCAACAGCTCAATGAAAGGATCATTCACCATGATCAAGTGGAAGATTTCCCTGGGATGCAAGGATAATTTGACATATGGAAATCAATAAATGCAATACATCACATTAACAGAATGAAGGACAATAATCATGTGATCATCTTATTAGATATAGAAAAACAACTTAAAAATTTCAACATCCTTTTATGATAAAAACCCAAAAGATTATAAAAGGAATGTGCCTTAACACAATAAAGTCCATATATGACAAGCCTACAGCTAACATTATACTCAATGATAAAAAGTTGAGCTTTTCCTTTAAGATCAGGAACAACACAAGCATTCCCACTGGCTTAGTCTGTTTTGTATTGCTATAACAAAATACCTGAGGCTGGGTAATTTATGAAGAAAACAGGTTTATTTAGCTCATGGTTCTGCAGGCTGGGAAGTACAAGAAGCATTGTGCCAGCATCTGCTCAGCTTCTGATGAGGGCCATATGCTGCTTCCACTCATGACAGAAAGTGGAAGGCAAGCAGACATGTGCAAAGATATCACATGGCGAGGAAGAAAGCAAGAGAGAAAAACCAAGATCCAGACTCCTTTTTAACAACTTCCTGTCATGGAAAACTAGCCAATCCCCAAGAGAGTGAGAATTCATTTACCCCTACAGGAGGGCATTAATCAATTCATGAGGGATTCATTCTCATGACTCAAACACCTCCCACTAGGCCCTACCTCCCAATACTGCAATACTGGGGACCAGATTTCAACATGAGTTTTGGAAGGGACAAACCATATCCAAACTGTAGCACCCACTCTCAGCACTTCTATTCAAAATAGTATTGGAAGTCCTAGGCAGAGCAATTAGGCAAGAGAAAGAAAAGGTATTCAATATGCAGAAAATTGAGACTGGACCCCTTTCTTACACATTATATGAAAAATAACTCAAGATGGATCAAAGACTTAAATGTAAAACCCAAGAATATAAAAACCCTAGAAGAAAATCTAGGCAGTACCATTCAGGACGTAGGCACAGGCAAAGATTTCATGACAAAATTGCCAAAAGCAATTGCAGCAAAACCAAAGTTGACAAATGGGATCTCATTAAACTAAAGAGCTTCTGCACAGCAAAAGAAACTATCATCAGAGCAGACAGGCAACCTACAGAGTGGGGGAAAATTTTTGCAATCTATCCATCTGACAAAGGTCTAATATCCAGAATCTACAAGGAACTTAAATTTATAAGAAAAAAAAACTCCATCAAAAAATGGGCAAAGGACATGAATAGACGCTTCTCAAAAGAAGACATTCATGCAGCCAACAAACATATGAAAAAAATCTCAACATCAGTGATCATTAGAAAAATGCAAATGAAAACCACAATGAGATACCCTCTAGTGCCAGTCGGAATGGTAATTATTAAAAAGTCAAGAAACAACAGATGCTGGCAAGGTTGTGGAGAAAAAGGAACACTTTTACACTGTTGGTGAGAATGTAAATTAGTTCAACCATTGTGGAAGATGGTGTGGCAATTCCTCAAAGATCTAGAACCAGAAGTACTCTTTGACCCAGCAATCTCATTACTGGGTATATACCCACAGGAATATAAATCATTCTATTACAAAGATACATGCATGTGTATGTTCATTGCAGTACTATTCACAATAGCAAAGACATGTAATTAACCCAAATGCCCATCAGTGATAGACTGGATAAAGAAAATGTGGTACAGATACACCATGGAATACTATGCAGCCATAAAAAGGAATGACATCATGTCCTTTGCAGGGACATGGATGGAACTGGAAGTCATTATCCTCAGCAAACTAACACAGGAACAGAAAACCAAACACAGCATGTTCTCACTTGTAAGTGGGAGTTGAACAATGAGAACACATTGACACAGGGAGGGGAACAACACACACTGGGGCCTGTCAGAGGGTGGAGTGGGAAGTGTGAGAGCATCAGGAAAAACAGCTAATGTATGCTGGGCTTAATACCTAGGTGATGGGTTGATAGGTGCAACAAACCACTATGGCACATATTTACAATTGTAACAAACCTGGACATCCTGCACATGTATCCTGGAACTTAAAATAAAAATAAAAATTAAAAAAAAGGAAAAAAAAAGAAATAAAAGGCATCCAAATAGGAAAGGATGAAGTCAAACTGTCTCTGTTTACTGACAACATTATCTCATATATAGAAACCTCTAAAGACTCAACTAAACAACTGTTAGAACTAATAAATGAATAGTCACAGGATACAAAATCAATACACAAAATCAGTAGTGCTTCTATATATTAACAATGAATTATCTGAAAAAGAAATTAAGAAAATACTTCATTTATAATAGCTGCAAAAAATACTTAGGAAGAATTCTAACTAAGAAGGTGAAAGATCTATACACTGAAAACTATTAAACTCTGATGAAATAAATGGAATAAGACACAAATAAATGGAAATAAATTCCATGTTCATGGATTGGGAGAATTAATATTGTTAAAATGTCCATACTACCCAAAGCAATCTACAGATTCAAGGCAATCTGTATCAAAATTCCAATGTCATTTTTTCACAAGAATAGGAAAAAAATCCTAAAATTAATATAGAACCATACAAAAAAATCCCCGAATAGCCAAAACAATCTTGAACAAAAAGAATGAAACCGGAGGCATCGTACTGCCTGGTTTTAAACTGTATTACAAAGCTATAGTAATTAAAATAAAAAGATACTGGCATAAAAATAGACACACTGACCAATGGAATAAAATAGAAAGTCAGAAATGAACTCATGCATGTATGGTAGAGCTACCATATGATCACAGAACCCCACTGCTGAGTATATACCCAAAACAAAGGAAATCAGTATATCTAAGAGATATCTACACTCCTATGTTTGTTGCAGCACTGCTTACAATAGCTAAGGTTTGGAAGCAACCTAAGGGTTCATCAACAGATGAATGGATAAAGAAAATGTGGTACATATAAACAATGGAGTACTATTCAGCCATAAAAAGAATGAGATCCAGTCATTTGCAACAGCATGGATGGAACTAGAGATCATTATATTAAGTGAAATATACCAGGCAGAGAAAGACAAACATCACATGTTCTTACTTGTTTGTGGGATCTAAAAATCAAAACAGGTGAACTCATGGACATAGAGAGTAGAAAGATGGTTACCAGAGGCTGGGAATGGTAGTGGGGGTGCTGGAGGGGAGGTGGGTATGGTTAATGGGTACAAACAAATAGAAAGAACCAATAAGACTACTATTTGATAGCACAACAGAGTGACTATAGTCAATATGGTCAATTGGTTTTCAACAAAGGTGCCAAGAATACACAATGGGACAAGGACGTCTCTTCAATAATGGTGTTGAGGAAACTGTATATCCACATGCAAAAGAATAAAGCAGGACTCCTATCTCATACCATAGACACAAGTTAACTCAAAATTGATTAAAAACTTAAGACCTGAAACTATAAAATTACTACAAGAGTACATAGTGGGAAAGCTACACAACATTAGTCTGGGCAATGATTTTTTAGGTTTGACATAGAACAGGCAACACAAGCAAAAATAAACAAATAGGATTACATCAAACCAAAAAGCTTCTGCATAGCAACAGAAACAACAGTATGAGGAGACACCTATGGATTGGGAGAAAATATTTGCAAGCCATATGTCTATTAAGAGGTTAATATTCAAAATAAATCAGGAACTCAACAGCAAGAAAACAAATAACTTGATTTTAAAAATAGGCAAAGGATCTGAATAGACATTTCTCAAAAGAAGATATACAAATGGTCATCATATATATGAAAAAATGTTTAATATCACCAGTCATTAGGAAAATGCAAATTAAAACCACAACGAGATATCATCGCAAACCTGTCGGAACAGTTATTATAAAAAAAACTGAAGATAATTGTTGAGAAGGTGGAGAAAAGGTACCCTTGTACACTGTTGGTGGGAATGTAAATTAGTACAGCTGTTATGAAAAACTGTATGGAGTTTTCTTGAAAATCTAAAAATAGAATTACCATATGATCCAGCAGTCCCACTTCTGGGTATGTATCCAAAGGATTTGAAATTAGTATGTCAAAGAGATATCTGCACTCTCATGTTCATTTCAGCCACAATATTCACAATAGCTAAGATATGGAATAAATCTAAGTATCTATCAATCGATGAATGGATAAAGAAAATGTGATGTATATTCACAATGGAATAATATTCACCCTTTAAAGAAAAGAAAATTCTGTCTTTTATGACAACATGGATGAACCTGAAAGGCATTATGCTAAGTGAAGTAAGCCAGGCACAGAAGGACAAAACCACATTTTCTCACTTATATGTGGAATCTAAATTAATCAGACTCATAGAAGCAGAGAGTAGAATGGAGGTTACCAGAGGGTGAAGGGTGAGGGGAATTGGGAGATGTTGGTCAAAGGGTTACAAAGTTTCAGTTAGACAGGGGGAATAAGTTGTTTGAGATCCATTGCATAACATGGTGACTATAGTTAATAATGATGTATATTTCAAAGTTGCTAACAGTAAATTTCAAATGTTCACACCACAAAAAATTAAGTATTTGAGGTGATAGACATGTTAATTTGCTTGATTTAATCATTCCATATTGTATACCTATATCATAACAACACTTTGTACTCCATAAATGTATACAATTAAAAAATAGGCAAAGGACTTGGATGGACATTTTACTAAAGAAGTTATACACGTGGCCAATAAACAAACAAAAAGGTGCTCAACAGCACTAGTCATTAGGGAAATACAAATCAAAATCACCATGAGATACCACTTCACACCCATTAAAATGGCTATTATCAAAAAAAACAATAACAACCAAAAACAGAAAAATAATAAGAGGTGGCAAGGATGTAGAGAAACTGGAACCCTTGTGCATCGCTGGTGGAAATGTAAAATGGTGCAGCTGCCGTGGAAAACAATACTCTGTGGTGGTTCCTCAGAAAAATTAAACAGAGAACTACCAGATGATGCAGCAATTCCACCTCTAGGCATATGCTCAAAATAATTGAAAGCAAGGACTCAAACAATTAGATACTTGTATTTCTGTGTTCATAGCAGGATTATTCACAACTCAAATGTCCATCAACAGAAGAATGGATAAACAAAATGTAGTATGTATATAAATTGAACATTATTCAGTTTTTAAAAAGCAATGAAATTCTAACATATGCTACAACGTGGATGAACCTTAAAAACATTATGCTAAGTGAATTAAGCCAGACACAAAAGGACAAATATTGTATGATTCCACATATATAAAATACCTAGAATAAACAAATGCCCACTAACTGGAGAGAGGAGGGTATGGAGGTTATTTTTTAACGTGTACAGAGTTTCAGTTTGGGATGATAAAAAATAGTTCCAGAAATGGTTAGTGGTGATAGCTGTACAACACTGTGAATGTTGTGATGCCACTGAACTGTAAACTTAACAATGGTTAAAATGGTAAAAAAAAAAAAAGTTATGTATATTTTATCACAATAAAATTTATGCAAAAAAAAGCTTATGGTTTGATTTTTTAGAAGTATTTATCCTGTATGACTAAAGTGTTTGTTTCCATGCAGCTTATGATGGCTCACTGTCAAGAGTTCCTTCCTCATCCCTACCCGATCCCAATTTTGTTTTGTTTACTTTGGGCAACTTGAATCTATTTCACCCAGGTTTCCTGCTGCATCAATTAGAAGGTATATATTTTTTTGCCACCATATGATGATAGGAACAAAAATAGCCAAGGAATATCAATGCTTTGCTCAGGAAGTGTCGTCTCTTCATCTGGCCACTTGTGGTCACTGAAGACAATATTGCCCTCAGTGAATAGCAGCAATTCCACCTTTAAGCATATATTCAAAAGAATTGAAAGCAAGGACTAAAACAATCACATACCTGTACATGGGTGTTCATAGCAGCATTATTCACAACTCAAATGTCCATCAACGGAAAAGTGCATAAACAAAATGTAGTATGTACATAAATTGAATATTATTCAGTCTTAAAAAGCAATGAAATTCTGATATATGCTTTGACCTACCGCTTTCTGTTACTGAGACCGTGATACAATATGGGCAGCATTAAGACCCAGGAGCCCTGGGATCTGCCCTTAGCAAGGTTGTGTGGGCCTTGCCAGTCTCATTGACTTGCCTTCTCAAACACAAATATGTGGGCCAAGTGAAAACTGACTTCTTTTTTTTTCTTCAAATTTCTTTGGCTGTTTGGATAGTTTTAGCTTTCACTAATATTGCTGTACTATTGCAAAGATAAAGTACAATTATTAAAATCATTTTTTAAAATCTCTATGCCTACCCCATCAAAAGGACAGAAACTGTATTCTTTGACCTACTGCTTTCTGATACTGAGACCGTGATGCAATATGGGCAGCATGAGAACACAGGAGCCCTGGGATTCGCCCCTAGCCAGTTGCATGGGCATGGACTTCTTGGGCCACTTCGGGAGGTCTGCTGTCCGTAATCAGAGCAGGTGGACTAGAGAATTCCAAAGAATCTTTCACATTCAAAGTGGGACGATAAAAGGTTCTGGAGTGTTGCCCTGTGACAAATATTCACCCTCTTCTCTTACTACAGAGAATATTCCGTATTTTGCAATAAAAGTTTTCTTCATATGACATTTGAAAATCTTACCCATGTAAGTATCACTCATATAAAATGGCTTAACTTCTTTTTTCCAAGATCGGTCTCTGTCCACAGGGTTGGCTACATCATGTATGGGGTCCAGGGCAAAACCAAAAGGCAGAGCCCTTTGTTTAAAACTTATTAAGAATTTTAAAGCAGAGAAAGCAGAGCATCAAACCAAGCACAAAGCCCCTCTGAGCACAACAAAACAGGTTGCATGCTGTCATGAAGCCAGCACTGTCTGGTCATATGTGAAAAGTCACCCCCATACCACTCCCGGGAAAGACATTTAACTTAACTGACCAGCCTGAGCACATTGAGAAGTTGTGTGTGTGGGTTGCATTTTTATGCACAAATAACATCAACAGGAGGCCAACCTTCCGACCTGCCATGCAGTTAGTCCCTCACTAGTAGTTTGTGCTAATGAGTACTTCCTGATGAGCTGGGAGGCAGCATAACAAAGTGAAAAGTCTACAAAACTGGCTGGAAAAAAGACTCAGCTTCTTTGGTTAACAATTATTTATTGAGCACCAAATAGATGTCAGGTCCTTGGCTATGTGTTCCACAGTGGTCACTTAGATAAATCTGTCACCCTGGGCGGCTCCTCAGTCTTTGAGACCTTGATTTCCTGGGTTGTTAAGTGGGCACAAAAGGATTTCTCACCTGAAAATCTTTAGGAAGGAAGATGGCTCCAGAAGTTCAAGTTAAATTATCTGTTATAGCTATTGTTTTGCAAAACTGTAATGACGACAATATCTGTCCCCAAAAATGACATTATCAAAAATAGAGAATGAATATAGATTATAAAGTCTCAGCGTAGCTTCTGATTTTCCTCTATTTTGCTTTCTTTCATCTGAACAACTCAGTGGGAGATTCCCTGTCCAGAAACCATAAGCAGGTCCTCTAATATCTTGTATGAATTTATAGGATTTCATCCTTGAGCTTCAAAGACATAAAAACCTATAAATAGCAAATTTTAGGCATACCTGTTTTACAGGTTTTATACAATGATGTATTCCTTTTTTTAAAAAAAAGCCAGATGAATTGTTGGAAATGGAATCGTATTTGAAATGTACTAGAGAACTTGCTTATTAAAAAGAAAATTGCATTGAATCCTTTTGCACAACAAAGAATAACTTTTATAAAGCAAAAAATTACCCCTAATTTGCTTGATGTGAAAACTTGGCCTTAAGCATGTAGAGTTATGTGGCTGTAAAAATGGGAGCCCATTTAGACTGAAAAATGGCTCCTCCTTTTCCTTTTCAGCCCTGAAGATGTGCAGGTGGAAGTAGCGGTAGTAAAGGTGGGAGGATGTCAGCATTCTTTGCATATGTTCAAAATCCATTTCCTACTCAAATGAAAAGTGTTTTCTGAGAGCCTTTGAAGGGATCAACACTGATGTGAGAATGGGAGCACTTTTCAGGAAACACACTGTGAAGAGTAACATCAATTAAACTCACAGAATTTTAGTCAGCAGGGTGAGGTGGTGTGGTTTGGAAGGTTCTAAACATAGATTGCCAAACTCTCAAGTAAGTGTGTGATTGAAATGATGACATTTTTGGAGATGCAGTTTACCAGCCTCAGGTGCTCTGTGAAAAAAAGTCCTGAAAGCTGTTTTCTTACATGAAGAAAAAAAAATCAAAGAAAAAGAAATAGGATCCAAAAAGCAGTGGTGACTAAAATTCCCTAGTAAAATTTATTGCTGGGTGTAAATAACAACTGGTTGAAAAAAAAAGCCAGGGAGAGAAAGACATTAATAATTATCTGGGGCGGCTGGGCACGGTGACTCACACCTGTAATCCCAACACTTTGGGAGGCTGAGGCAGATGGATTTTCTGATGTCAGGAGTTGGAGACCAGCCTGGCCAACATGATGAAAACCCGTCTCTACTAAAAATGCCGGGCGTCGTGGTGGGTGCCTGTAATCCCAGCTACTCGGGAGGCTGAGGCAGGAGAGTAACTTGAACCCAGAAGGCAGAGATTGCAGTCAGCCAGGATTGTGCCACTGCTCTCCAGCCTGGGTGACACAGCAAGACTCCATTTCAAAAATAAAATAAAATAAAATAAATTAGCTAGTGCTAGTCTCCTGGGTGGTATCAATAGAGGAGGTAAACCAGAGGATGAGAATGAGAGTCAGAAAGTGAAACCATGGCAACATTATTGTCTTCTTAGAGTGAGGATATAGACAGTGAATCTTTCTAACAATTAGTAGACAAATACAAATTTAATTGTGTATTATGATTTAAGAACGCTCACTAGAAAAACAGGGTTTTTTTCTTCCAGATTATTACAGGAGAAAAGATGGATCAAAGAAAATGCAATCAAGTCAATAAAAGAATAGGAAAACAGAAAGAATAAAAATGTATGGTAAAGAGAAAACAAGATGAACTCCAAACGTATCAGTAATCAAAACAATTGTGAATGGCTTAAATTCACCTGAAAGTCACCCATTTCAAAATTAATTGGCTTAAAAAAATCAAAACTAGATATGTATTGTTTATAATAGATATACCTAAAACAAAATGACTTGGGAAAGGTGATAATAAAGAGTTAGAATAAGATTAACAATCCAAAACTTACAGAAAAAGGTGGGGCAGGCCGGGCACACTGTAGCTCACGACTGTAATCCCAGCACCTTAGGAGGCTGAGGCAGGCAGATCACTTGAGCCCAGGAGTTCGAGACCAGCCTGGTCAACGTGGTGAAACCCGTTCTCTACTAAAAATACAAAAATTAGCTGGGTGAGGTGATGCACACCTGTAATCCCAGCTACTTGGGAGTCTGAGACAAGAATCGTTTGAACCAGGGAGGTGGAGGTTGTAGTGAGCTGAGATCACACCACTGTACTCCAGTCTGGGTGACAAAATGAGACTCTGTCTAAAAGAAAGGGGGGGTGTGGGGGGAGCAGAAAAAGAGTGAAATTCAAAATAAAAACAAACAAAAAACAAACTTACCCTTGAAGGAATAGGGACAAAAGCTGTATTTCCCTCCTGGTTGAAGGAATGCTAATGTGTGGTTATTAGGAGTTCAAGTGACCTTTGGCAGAGAAACTTTGGAAGGGGCGGGAGAGGGAGCCAGAATGAGGACATGAGGAGACAAAATAGGGACAACAAATATTATTTCCACCCCCTGGTATAATACACCATATAATTCTCTCCCCTTGAGTGTGAGTAGGACTTATAAACATGATGGAATAAAACTCCCACAATCCTATAGGTTCCACTGTATAGCAAAGATGTAATTAAGGTCCCTAATCAGTTGACTCTGAGTTTATCAAAAAGGGGATTCTCTTGGGTGAACTTGAACTAATCATATCTAGGTCTAGAGGTCAGAGGCAGAGGTCTCCTTGACTCAAGCTGAAGCAGATGCTTTCCTTCTGACCTCAAAGACAGAAGCCACTATGAGTTCTGCTGCTGCAAGGAACTGAGTTCTGCCAACGAGCTGAATGATACTGGAAGAGGACACCAAGCTCCAGAGGGACTGCAGCCCTGGCCTGCATCTTGATTGTACACCTTGAGCAAAGGAACCAGCAGAACAATGCTTGGACTCCTAACCCACAGAAATTGTGAGATGATGTTACATTTGTGTGGTTTTAAACCACTAAGTTTGTGATAATTTGTTACACAGCAGAGAAAAACTAATACAGGCATACATTGGAGATATTGTGGGTTTGTTCCAGACCACTGCAATAAAGCAAATATTGCAATAAAATGGGCCACACAAATTTTTTGGTTTCCCACTGCATATGAAAGTTATGTTTACATTATATGTAGATTATTAAGTGTGCAATAGTATTATGTCTAAAAGACAGTGTGCATACCTTAATTTAAAAACACTTTATTGCTAAACAAAAAAAATGCTAACAGCCATCTGAGCCTTCAGTGAGTCATCATCTTTTTGCTGGTGGAAGGTTTTGCCTCAGTGTTGATGGCTGCTGACTGATCATGGTGGTTGCTGAAGGGTGAGGTGGCTGTGGCAATTTCTTAAAATAAGACAACAGTGAAGTTTGCCACATCAATTCACTCTTCCTCTCACAAAAGATTTCTCTGTAGCATGTGATACTGTAGAATTTCTTTCAAACTTGGAGTCAGTCCTCTCAAACCCTGCTGCTGCTTTATCAGCTAATTTAATGTAATATTCTAAATCCTTTGTTGTCATTTCAACAATATTCACAGCATCTTCAGCAGGAGTAGATTCCATCTCAAGAAACTACTTTCTGTTAAGGTTATATTTATGGGTATTGGAAGTTATTTTTTCAGTTATTTTGCTTACACTGTCTGCTTTCAAATTTATTCAAGTTAATAAGAGCGTCCAGCAAATTTGCCACATAGAATAACAGCAAAAATATCAGTAGCATTCCTTTACACCAGCAATAATAAAGAGTGAAATTTTGAAAAATCTCAGTTACAATAACAGCATAAACAATAAAATTATTTGAAATAAATCCAACAAAAGTTGTATAAAATCTATATGTAGTTTATAAAACTTCACTGAAATATTTAAAAGATGTGAATTAATAAAGTGACATACTATGTTATTGGATAGGAAGATCTAGTGTAATAGAGATGTTTATTTTCAATGAATTAGTCTATAAGCTTCATATAAATTCAAACAAAACCCCAACAGGATTTGCCTTGGAAATTGACAAACGATTTGAAAATTAATCTGGAATGGAAAATAAGTAAGAAGAGTCAGGACATATCTTTGAAGAAGAAAAACAATGAAGCATCCCAAATGCCAAAACATACTGTAAAGCTTTTGTAATTAAAAGTGTCGTGATAGCCCAGGAATAAACAAAGTAATCAAATCAGAAAAGGGAGTTTCAGATACAAATTCGTATGAATTAGAATTTTGTATAAGAAAAAGATGATACGTTTAATTCAGTGACAAAGGTATGGACTACTTAGTAAACATGGTTAAGATAATTTGCTATCCATTTGGAGAGAAATAAAGTTTTGTTCATAAACAAAATATTCTAGGTAATTAAGGAGCAATTGTTAGACAAGTAAGGAGCTATGAATTAGAATGTTTATAGCTTTAAGAGTTAATTATGCAAGAGTAATTTAAGCAAGACACAAAATACAAAATATTTTTAAAAATCTACCTTAAAAAACTACAGCATGATAAAGGGAGGTGAGAAAGAAAACTAAATCGCATGCTATTGACCTGAAGCAACTTGCAACATATATAACAAATAATTGATATTGAGAATATCTAATTAACACTCCAGCCCCCCTCAACACAGCCCAATTAAAAATGAAAAATAATGTGAATAGATAGTCTACAGAAAAGACATGGCCAGTAAACATGTGACATAATGCTTAATCTCAACAGAAATTAGAAAAATGAAAATTAAAACCATAAGATATCAGTCTTAAACCATTCAATCATTTTTAAGTGTTACATGTTGATAAATATCATCAATTGAAGAGGGTAAGGTAGAATTGTATACTCTTGTACATATTGTTGGTAGTGAATACTGGTAGCTTTTTCTTCCTGAAATCTATTAAGTAGTACGTTTTAAAATTTAAAAGAGCAGAAATCAATGAAGTAGAAATTGACAAAGAATAGCATAAATTAACTAGGCCAAAAGTTTATTATTTACAAAGATCAACCAGCTAGAGAGATCTATAACTATGAAAGAGAAAGAGAGAAACACAAATTTCCAATATCAGGAATGAAAGAAAGGCTATTGCTACAGATCCTATAGACATTGAAACTATAACAAAAGAATATTATAATATAAATAATTTTATGCCAACATATTTGATAAATGAAACAGATAAATTCCTTCAAATTATTTGACAAATACAAGTTACCAAAATAAACACAAAATGAAACAGAAAATCTGAATAGTCCTGTAACTATGGAGAAATTAAATTTATCATAAAAAAACTCTGACACATAAAATTGTGTGCTCAGCTGGTTTTGTTGGTAAATTCTATTAAACATGTAAGAAATAATACCAATTTTATACAAACTCTTTCACAAAATAAGGAAGGAGGTGATACCGTCCAACTTATTTTATGAGGCTATTACAACCCTAATACCAAAATCTGACATAGACATTACAAAAAATTATAGATCAATATCCCTCGTAAATATAGATACAAATATCCTAAATAAAATATTAGCAAATTAGGTCCAACATTGTATTAAAATAATAATATATCATGACCACGTATTGTTTATCTGAGGAATGCAAGTTTGGTTTAACATTTTAAAAATATCAATCAATATAATTTACCACATTAAGGAAATAAATGAGAAAGCCCATATAATCATCTGAGTAGATACAGATAAAGCATTTGAAAATAGTTAACATCTATTTTTCTTTTTGAGACGGAGTCTCGCTCTGTCGCTCAGGCTGGAGTGCAGTGGCACAATCTCGGCTCACTGCGAGCTCCGCCTCCCGGGTTCATGCCATTCTTTTGCCTCAGCCTCCAGAGCAACTGGGACTACAGGTGCCCACCACCACGCCTGGCTAATTTTTTGTATTTTTAGTAGAGACAGGGTTTCACCAGGTTAGCCAGGATGGTCTCAATCTCCTGACCTGGTGATCCGCCTGCCTTGGCCTCCCAAAGTGCTGGGATTACAGGCGTGAGCCACCACGCCCAGCCAACATCTATTAATAATAACAACTCACAGCAACCTAGGAATATAAAGATATTTCTCAATCTGGTAAGATGAATCTATTAACAACTAATAGCTAACATCCTGCTTAATGATAACATTTTGAACCTTTTCCTTCTAAGATTGGGAATAAGGCAAGGCTGCCTACCTTCATCACTTCTATTCAGTCTTGTACTGGTGATGCTAGCCACTGCCATAAAGCAAAAAAAATAAATAAAAGTGTAAATATTGCAAAGAAAGAAGTAAAAATGTTTATATTTACACATAACATGATTTTTAGGTAGAAAATTTATGGAATCTATAAAGTAACTATTGAACTAAGAAGTGAATTTAGTAAGGCTACAGGATACAAAGTTAATATACCAAAATGAGTTATGTTTTTGTGCACCAGCAACAAACAACTTGAAATGATATTTTTAAATCATATGTTTTAAACTCTTCCCCTGAGAGTTTCCTCAGAACCCACAGTGAGAGGGGAGGGCTCCTGGGGGAGAGAAGTTCCTTAGGTTTTCTTTGGAATGAAGTTCCTCCTTCCCCCATCTCTGAGTGGAGGAAGCCCACCAATCTGCCCTTTGCAGTGTGCAGGGTGGAAGGTAAGAGACTGGTGTGGAGTTGGTGGGGGCTGCTGCTGGGTCTGCAGCCTGCTGGGGCTAAGGGCTGGGGGAAAGCTCTGTCACTCCAGGCATATTTTTCCCCATCTCTGTGTCTGGGGCTGCAGAATAGGGTGCCAGAAGGACCCTGTGTCACCCACACTGTGGGTGTCTCACTCTGGGGGATCTTCCCCTAGACCTCCCCCTCACTTACATAAAGCTCCCTTGAAGCAAGAAAGAAGGTCCCAGGGCTGCAAAACTGGAAGCACAGCCTCTAGGATGGGGAGGGAAAGATGGTACTATATCCAGTTCCTGCTCTCTGCTCATGGGTGGCTGTGACAACCCTGGCCTCACTTGATTTCTTGCCACCCCCTGGGAGTCCCCATCCATCTTCACCCTGAGCCCAGCCAGGCCCCACCATTGGCCTCTTGTCCCTTTGCACACTTGTACCCACATGTGAGGGGCAGGACTTGAAGGTGTTGGCCTGTTCAACTATCAGTCATCATGGGTGTTTTTGTCAACTGCTTGTTAATTGATTTGGGGATATTTGCCCCAAATCAGAGGTAGAGGAAAAGACTGTGGGTGAGGAGGCCCTGCCTGGCCCATCCCTTTTCCCTTCTGGCCCCAGCCTAGGTGGAGGCAAGTGGAATATCTTATATTGGGTGATTTAGGGACTGGGTGAGGCAGAGAATCTCTTGGGAGTCTTGAGTGGCACTGGTGCATTCTGTTTCCTCTTGATCTCAAAGCACAATGTGGATTTGGGGACCAAAGGTCAGGGACACATCCCCTTAGAGGACCTGAGTTTGGGAGAGTGGTGAGTTGTGGGGAGGAGTAGCAAGAAGCAGCCTGTTGTCACTCAGCTTAATTCTCCTTCCCAGACAAGGGGAGCCAGTCATGGAATCTTGCTGCAGGCCCTCCCTCTACTCTTCCTGTCCTAAAAATAGGAGCCGTTTTCTTACACAATCCCAGAGAGGGGAGGGACGGTACACTGGTGCTGAGGGACCCAGGGGCTGCTGGGCATCCATTCCTTACTAGAACCATCCACCCCTAGAAGAGCACAGAGCCCCGAGGGCTGGGTTGTGCTGTGCTGGGCTGAGCCCCTGGTCTACCCTACAGTTCACAGAGGTCTTTCAGCCCGTATAATCCCAGGAAAGATGCATCAAAGCTAGAATGTGAATATAACTTTTGTGGACCAATAATAAGAATAACAAGAAGCCTAGTGGTGAGCAAAGTACATTCTCCCAGCACTGCCTCCTGTTTTCTCCCACTCATGTCCCTCCAGGGAAAACTACTTTATTGCTTAATTTCTGCCTTCCCCCCCTCACACATGCACTTTTGGGCCTTTTTTATAGCTGGAAAAAAAAATACCACCCCACAAACCTGTATTTAAAAAGAAACAGAAATGACCACGTGAAATTTGCCTGTCTAAAATTTCATCTGTGTGTGTGTGTGTGTGCGCGCGTGTGTTTGTGTGTGAAGCTGCCCATTCATCTTTTTATGATGAATGGGTTGTTGTCTCATTTCGGTCTGTTTTGGTCCCCCCCGCCTTCGTGGGCTTGTGCTTGGGATCAAGTTACAAAAAAGAATGAGTTAGATCCATTTGTACTGAGACAGAAAGATGTCCAAGGTATATTTTAAAGTAGAAAATGAAATTATAGAATAAAATGTAAGACGTATTATTCTTTATGTAAAAATTTAAAAAGCCAACAGTTAGCAAGATATATGTATAAATATACATGTATATAAAGGCTTGGGAAAAGATCTAGAACAAAAAGTGCATTTTTCTGTAAAGGACAAGATAGTAAACTTTTAAGGCCCTGCAGGCCATATCGCTTCTGTTGCAACTACTTAACTCTGACATTATAGTGTAAAAGCACCCACAGGCAACAAATAAATGAATGAACATGGCTGCGTTCCAGTAAAACTTGATTTTCAAAATCAGGCGATGGGCCAGATTCTGCCTGTGATCCGTAACTTGCCAACCCCTGATCTAGAAGTGTCACTGATTGCAGTGATGGCCCCAGTTCTTCACTCCTTCCTGTTTTCATCTCTGCTATGTACCTTTCTTTTGCCCTCTCCTTTGGACTCTGGGCTTAGCTAAGCAATTTGCTTTGAATCAATAGGATGAGAGATTCGATTTGGTGAGGCTGATGCAAGTAGAGGCTTGAAAGACACCGATGCAATGGGGTTTGCTTGCTGTTGTGCCTTTGCTGTTACTCTGAGAACATGCCAGCCTAGCCTGCTGGAGGGGGAGAGAGATGGAGGAGAGTCCAGTCTCCCCAGCTGTCCCAGCTAAGTCTACCCTAGATTGTCACCCTAGATTAGTCATGTGACCCTCAGATTTGTGCGCAAACCCGGTCAAAATGAGTACAGACCACACTAGACATGTAAGCAATCAATACCCCTTGCTGTGTGCCAGTGAAGCTTTGTTCTGTGGCATTAGCTAACTCATAGAGAAATAGAACACACTCAGCTGATAACCTAGCTTACCTCTGAGGAGGGGAGCAGAATGGGAGTAGCTTTTGTAATTTAAAAATATAATAATATATTTTAACAGAGAAATTATGTAGTGATGTTCTAGGATTCCGAAAATGTAGGTTCCAGTCAAGGTCAGGCAGAGGCACAGATGCAAGTAAAGAATCAATGTCTATTTGCCATTTCTTTTCTTCTATCTTTAATATTTTTCTACCCTTTTTTACTATCCTCTTCCTATAAATATGTCCAAACTCTTATATTCTTAAAAACAAAAACAAAAACAAAAACCTTTCTTGCCCTTGTAACCTTGTTTGGCTTTAATCTAGTTCTCTTCTTTCTTTTTTAAAACTTAATTTTATAAATAACAAGGGAATTAATGCATGTACATGCCAATAAAAATTCAAACAGTACAGGAAGCCTAAAATAAAAAATAAAAGCTTTCTTTCCTGCCCACCACCTCTCCACTAGAGCTGCTCCCTGGAGCCAATAGCTTTAAAATGATTCTGCTTCTATTTTTTTTCTGGCGGTTTTCTACATTTTTCTAAATAACATGCTTATACCTCTATTTCTTGACTTATATATTTTGGCTCCTCTACATGAATGATGCCCTCACCCTGCCTTTACACAAATCATATCTTTTTAAATTTTTAGTTCTATCTTTATACTTTATAGCTTTCAACCATATTCTAAAGTATCTATTCCTTTCTCTATAGTGGTGTTTACATTTTTATCAAAGCCATATGCCCACCTGATTAAAAGCAATAGCCCAGTCCTTCAATTATTGAGTTCCCACTTTAATCCTCTTTTCAGAGGCAACCACTTTAAATGCCAGGTGTGCAGGTGAAGCACCTGGGGACCGATTGAGATGCAAATCCTGAGTAGTAGGTCTGCAGACTGTGCTAAGAATCTGCATTTCTGACAAGCTCCCAGGTGACACTGATGCCTCCCTCTCAGATCTGCCGAATCACAGATCGCACTTTGAATAGGAAGAGTAGGAATGTGTTCGGGGTGGCAAAGGGTTGCTAGTCATATAGGCTCGTGTTTTGAGGCAGAATTTAAACAAGGAGGTAAAGCCCAGGCCCTGACACAAGGGCTCTGCACTACAGGGAGGCTGAGCTGGGCAGCCTCTGTTCTTCCCAAGCCTGCATCTTCATCTTGATCCATAGTCCCACAGTCTTCATTCTCCTCAACTCTGCACAAAAGATCATATAAAATACTTCATGAAGGCTGGGCTCCATGGCTCACGCCTGCAATCCCAGCACTTTGGAAGGCCATGGCAGGTGGATCACTTGAGGTCAGGAGTTCGAGACCAGCCTGGTCAACAAGGTGAAACCCTGTCTCTGCTAAAAATACAAAAATTAGCCAGGCATGGTGGCGGGCACCTGTAATCTCAGCTACTCAGGAGGCTGAGGCAGGAAAATCGCTCGAGGGGGAGGTTGCAGTGAGCCGAGATCATACCACTGCACTCCAGTCTGGACAAGAGAGTGAGACTCTGTCTCAAAACAAAAATAAAAACAAAAAAACTTCCTGGTGGTCTAGTTTGACATACTAGAGTTCCTGAGATGCAGAAGTTCCAAGCTGACCCTTTGTAACCTAAAGAAAACATAGAAGTGCTATTTAGAGGCCTGCGTTGTTGTTCTCCTGCATCCACTCAATCTTTTTTCTCTCCATCAATTTAGTTCCCAGCTTCTACCTTGAGGTCATGATACATAATTCTAGCATATCAGAAACGCAAATATCTGGCACTCTCCCTTATGGTTTTTATCTGTATTCTGGAAAAATAAGGACTCTGCATAAGCATAATGGAAGTAATACATTTGTCTTACTGGGTTCCCTCGGAAGCCAACCCTGAGATAAGGAATTGAGAACAAATAGTTTATTTGGGAGATGATCCCAGGAAACATCAGGAGTGGAGTAGTGAAGTGAGACAGGGAAGAGAAGGCAGTCAGTAAAGAATGTGGAATAAAGCAGGTTACTTCTGTGAGTACCTGGAGCTTAATCCCATTGAGCAATGCTAAGAATAAGTGTGAAATACATACCTTAGATCTGTCCTGCCCGAGGGCGAGGGAGCCGGGGTATTCATGCAACAGCTCTTTGGATATGGGTTGCTCCTAGGTGGAGCGATTGCCCTGGCACTCAAGGTCTGCTGCACAGGCAGCAAAGTGGCAGCAAGAGCTAGACCCCCCAGAAAACTGTGTCTATGGGAACTAGAAGTCCTGCCCCCCGCCTCTAACCATTTCAAATAGTTCCAGGGATTGAGGGTGTCAGCGTTGGCCAGACCAGCATCCAAAGCCTGAGAGGTTGGAGAGCAACCCCAAATGGGGTGTGGGGACCCCTGGCCTGGCACCCCTGACATTTTATTTACACTGTGAAACAATCAGGTTTGTTCCTCCCTCCATGGAATCTGCCCTGCACCCTGCTTCTTAGATTTACCTCCCCAGGAATGTGTGTCAAGGAGATAGATCTGTGGAGAAAAGCCACCCGGAGGGGCTATTTTCAAAGAGACTATTTTAAGGCTGCCCTTCCAGCCTGCCACATCCTGACATTTGGTATATTTAGCATCATCCATAGACAGGGCTAATGGATTTTTAGTTGCAAATCATTATGATTCAAACCACTGCAGTCTTTATTTTTTTAATTGCAACTAAGTCGTGCACATAAACACACACACGCACAACACATACATTAATAGCTACCTTACATTTATACATGAAAAATGCTTCCAATAAAAGCGATTTCTCTAGTTAAACTTACAAGCCTTTGCTACTGAACTCTTTATATTGGGGGAGGGGCTGGTGCTGCAGGTTAGCATGTATTGCCTTCACACTGTGTGTGAAATGCACATGTATTCGGTCAAAGAAAAGAATGCACAAAAGGTGTTTTAAATTGACAGCCCAAGACAGGAGTAATTTAACATGCCATTCTTTGCCTCCTGCTCCTGTAGTTGCAGAGCACTGCTGATTTGCCTTGCTGAATACAAATTTATATTGTCCCTTTCATTAATATGGTTTCTTTTCATCCTGTGAATTAATCTCCTTTTGCCAGCACAATAAAGACTGTAGAGTAACAAGTTCCGATGTCAGGAATCAAAACTGCAGTAGGTTCAGGCTTTCTGATGGCAGTCTCATTCCAATGCAGCCCCAAGAGCTGTATTAATTAACTGCAGATAAAATAGGGATCACATAATCAAAAGACACATCCTCAGCTCACCTCTGCCCTGTGGTCGCCTTGTCAAGGCTTGACTTCCCACTTCCTCTGATGATTGATTTAGTGAGTTTTTCGGTCTTGGCCTCTCCATTCTGAGACTAATTCAAGCATCAAACACTCTACTCTTTTTAAAATCATCTGCCTGGTGTCACAGTTTGGGCCTGAACTTGAAAGCTCCACCCTAGACGGAACCCACATTTTCCAAGGCAGACATTTGGTCTCATGCGTTTATGTGTCCCTACAGCATCTTGCACAATGCCGGAAACAGTGGGTACTCAGAAAATACAGGTTGGAGTGCGTAGATAGTATATGTGAGCATACTACAAAGTATAGTAGCCACACCAAGGCCCAGTTCCCCTGGGATATGAGACCTGAATGGGAACAGGCACTATCCTTCTGATGAGATGGATCCATTCTAACAAACATCTTCAACAGCACTAGAATAGTGGTTCTCAAAGTGTGGTGCCTGGACCAGCAGCAGCATTACTGGAAACCAGTAGAAATGCAAATTCTAGTGCCCCATCTCACCCTGCTGAATTATTATAGGAACTCTGGGGGTGGGGTCCAGCCATCTGGGTTTTAACATGCCTGCAGTGAAGTTTGAGAACCTCTGTACTAGACATTAAGAACTCAGGCTCTACAGCCAAACTACCTGGACTACAATCATAGCTGTGCAGTCTTGAGGTTCTTCAGTGCCTCTGTGCCCGCATCTTAAAAATGGGGAGGTCATAGTTTGGGTTCCCCCTATAACAAACCTGGAGACAAAGATTTGGGCAAAAGTATTTTATTTGGGAGCTGATCTCAGGAAGAGAGGGTAGGGAGAGTAAAACAGGGAAACAGCTCAGAATAGATCCTGATTGTCAACAGTGGTAAATTCCACTGGGGACTCTGTGAGAGAGGATGGGGATAATTACCCCAGGATTTATTACTATGACTGGCCCATGAGTAGGATGAATATCAGTTATATTCTACAGACTCCTTGCCTTTCTTAGTTTAGGGTCACTCTGACCTGTCTTGTGCATGGGCCTGACCTGGGACCAGAAATCCTCAGGCATTGGTCTACATGTTGGAGGACTGTCTGCAGGTGGCCTTCCGATGGGCTGCAGGGACATGGTTGGGCTCTGATGGAGCCTGCCATAGGAATAATCTAAGTATTTACCTCCTAGTGATGATGTGAAGATTAAATGAGGTAATGCATGCAAAAGTGCTTGTAACGATGCCTGGCACATCAGTAGAAATAGCTCAGTTCATCTTTGTTATCATCCTTTTGTCCTCCTTTTCTCTTTCACTCTACGTGCAACATGCCAGCAAATTCTATTGGTTCTACCTTTGTGATGTTTAATCCATCTACTCCTCCTCCATGACATAGTATGATGATGGCAACAGTGATAGTTATTACTCTTTTAGAGCTGAAGGAAGCAAGACCCAGAGATGCTAAGTAACTTGTCTGAGGTCACCCCACTGGTAAGTAACAAGGATTCCAGTCAGCATCTGCCCAACTCCAGAGCCTATGCTCTCAGTGACTGTGCGGTTCTGCTGCTCACAGATCAATTTCCTGCATGTGTGCTCCCCAAAGCACAGTCATTTAGAGACAGATTTGGAGAGACTATGTGTGCAAACTGTACCACATCCCTGTTAGGCAGATGTATGATATGAAATTGATGGGGATGGGGGTGGCCAAGGGCCTGGGGACCCCTTTCTCTCTGGCAGAGCCCTGAGCCCACATAGAAGGGGAACCCAGCCAAGACAAAGACACTCTCCCCTAAATAACTGTGTCTCCAGCTGCTGAACCTTTCAGACCTACATTAAACAGAACTGGGTATACCTAACAACATCCCTGTGGTCATCCACTGGCCTTGGCACTGTCTAAAGAGCTGTGTTGGTCCAGACCAAGGCAGGTGGATCACCTGAGGCCAGGAGTTCGAGACCAGCCTGACCAACATGGAGAAACCCCATCTCTACTAAAAATACAAAATTAGCTGGGCGTGATGGCACATGACTATAATCCCAGCTACTCGGGAAGCTGAGGAAGGAGAATCACTTGAACCCAGGAGACGGACGTTGCGGTGAGCCGAGATTGTGCCATTGCCCTCCAGCCTGGGCAAAAAGAGTGAAACTCCGTCTCAACAACAACAACAACAACAACGCCAAAAAAAAAAAAAAAAAAAAAAAGAGCTCTGTCACCCCCGCATGATCTTGTCTCTCCTGAAATAAGCCTGGCATGAAGATCAGGCTCTCAGATTTTCCACGGCTGCTGTGGACATTGTCTGGACCCATGGGGCTGAAGCAAGTTTTGCCAATCTGATTGTATAAAGCAGTGTGCCAATCAAGCCAGGCAGTGTCTTCTTCTCTTGCAGCCTCAATCTAAAATCCTAATCACTGATCCCCCATCTTCAAAAGAAAAAAAAGTAAGTAAATATTGATATTGTTTACAAGCAGGCTGCAAGTAGACCTAGACTGAGGAACTCCTTGAGGGCAACACTTGGATCTTGCTAACTATTATGTTTGCAGTTCTCAAGGCAGTGCCTGGTATTAGTAGGTGCTCACTAAATGATTTTTTGAATGAATGGCATGGAGGAAAATGATGGTGGCAATCATGAAAGAGATGATATTCCAGAAAAAGATGACCCCAAACCTTTGAGATTCCCTAAATTTGCATATCCCACTGTGGCAAAGCTCCCATAGGATGTAATAGAGTAAAACTTATAAATGTTAAGTGTCTCCTTCAAACCATTAAATAGTGGTGAGAAGGCCTTGGAGAGATGAGGAGCCACATGGCCTGCTAGACTCACATACTAGCTTTTAGCTTGTGCTTAACATATAATGCAACAATTCTCTTTTGCAGGGCAGCAAAAAGGCCAATGTGTACGTGTTGTTTTAAGTTGCATTCTCCCAGAGGCTGATTCTGAGAAAAGAATTCAAGTGCAAGTGGCTAATTTGGGAGGAGACCCTAGGAAGCTACTCTAGCGGTTGGAGAAGTTATTCAGGGAAGAGAAGGAATTCAAAGAACCCAACTCCTCTCTGGGTTGGCTGGAGTGCGGTGGTGCGATCATAGTGCACTGCATCCTTGAACTCCTGAACTCAAGTGCCCTCCCACCTCAGCTTCCCAAGAAGCTGGGACTACCAGGGGGCACCACCACACCCAGCGTATTTTTTAATATTTTATTTTTTGTAGAGGTGGGGTCCCCCATGTTGCCCAGGCTGGTGTCAAACTCTGGGCTCAAGCCATCCTCCCACCTCAGCATCCCAAAGTGCTGGGATTACAAGTATGAGCCACCGTGCCTGGCTGCAGGAGGCTTTTATGAGCAGGTCACCACTGAGCGCTACTGGGGCTCAGTCTGACTGGGACCTATGGGAATCTGTGCAGAAGAAACCTCAGAGCTTTCCCACCCGAGCTGACAAGGAAGCTGGACATGTATCCACCACCTCCCCATCTGTGTTTAGTGGAAGGCTGCTTCTGGGGCCATTAACTCTCCAGCACTTCCAGCTTTCTGTGCACATGCATGGAGCATGCTGCCATGACCAAAAGGATGTGCCCAGCCAGAGCTGTGACTCTTCAGTGAGTAGGGACCTGGCATGTCCAGGTGAGCCCCATGGTGCATGGATGGGCACTGGTCACATCTGCTGCATGCATCAGGGACATTCGGGGCTACATGCGAAGAGGGAAAGCTGCAGATGTCGCCAAGATTCTGGTATAGTTGTGTTTAGTTCTGTGAGAATCAGCACAAAGGGAGAAAAGCAGCCCATGTGTCCCCCAAGCCTGTAATGGGGCCACTATAACCCGCAGAGCCCCCTTACCTTTCCTTCCATCCTCAGAAGGCAGAAGAGGAGAAAGGCATCCTTTTTCTTGCTACATCTTCAGGTGACAGTTGTGGCAATGAGAAGACTGCAGCTCTCCCCCAATCAAGTACCTTAAGAAACTGGAAGCTTTTAATTACAAAGGGAAAAAGGGAAAAGGTACCTTTTGTGGCAACCAAGAGATTATAGAGATTGGGTGTCTCTTCAGGAAAGGACTTGCCGGTCAGCTGGAAGGAGCATGGTGGGCAATGACTCCCAGCTATGAATGCCTTAAGTCTCTGCCTCAGTTAAAGCCATGGGCTTTCCAGGCCACTCCCAGCTGATGACTGGGCATGGTGAGGGTAGCAGGGCCAGACCATTTTGACCAACACAGATCTCTTCAATGGGCAATCCACTCTGGAACTCCTCTCTGCATTGGCCAAAACTCTGGCACCCTTGCACGACAAGCTGAGGCTCTCCCTGCTCAATCCTGCTGCTTCTGTCTTGTATTGATATCAAAGGTGTTACCTCCCAATAGACCTCCCATACTCTTCTTAACTCTGCCTACACACACACACACACACACACACACACACACACACACACACACACACACACACACACAGTTCATATATACATGGAGAGAGAGAGTGAATAAAAGGGACCAAATGTTCTAAATGTTAAAAATTAGTGATTCTGAATGAAGAGCATATGGGTGTTCATTGTCCTAGTATTGCAACTTTTCTCTATATTTGAAATTTTTTAAAATAAAATTTGTGGGAGAGAAACAGAAAAGAAACTGGGACTTCTCTGAGAATCCCCGTCTCTGGCCTAGGGCAGCTGATGAGTTCTGTGCCTTCCTGCCTCCCTGCAATGGACCTCACCAGGTGCCTCTTTCACTCATTTCTTTTCCTGGGCAGTGGTGAATACCAGACAAGTGGATTATTTGGCTTCTATGGAGGACCAACTGTGTGCTTTACCCTAAGCAACACACCAGCTTGTATGCAGCTTAGGGACACAAGGGGCACCGTCCAACACTGACACATTCCAATGCCAAGCCACAGAGCCCAGTATGGGCTCTTGTGTTTGTCATGGGGAGCTGCATGAATGGGCTGAATGAAGGCCAACATAGACACAGAGCCTTCCCAGTGGGCAGAAAATCTTCTGCAGTATGTGCAGAACACAGGAATTGACCAGAAAAGAGACAAGCGCAGAGAAGAACCTAAAAAAAAAATTGAACAAAAATGGCATATTGAATGTCTTTTTAGGAGCTTAAGCAGTATAGAAATAAATACTGAGAGCAACGAGAATGTCAGTTCACGCAGTTGTCTTTAGGGTGAGCAGATGCCCTCGTGTACCCGGTGTAGTCCCTGTTGCCTGATCATGTCCAATCTCAGAAGTGTCTCGATTTAGATGTTAAATTGTGTGGTCACCTCACTTCTCTCCCTTTGATGCTTCCTGTTATTAATTTGTCAAATATTTGCTGTGAACCTCCTGGGCCAGGGCTCTGGGCTTATTCATGACAGGGTCAGCGGCATGGTTTCTCCGGCTCAGAGAGAAGACTTTCATTCCCGATGCACGGCAGAGCAGAAAGAGCAGGGGGTTTGCAGCCAGGCCGAAGAGAGTCTGGATTCCTCTTCTGCCACCAGCTCTCTGGCCAAGTAAGGAACCCCCCATGACTCAGTTTCCCACCTATAAAATGAGGACATACCATGTTGCAGTTTTTCAGGATGCTCTAAGGATGAACTGTAGGGAGTGAAAAGTGCCTGGCACATGATATGTTTTCAATAAATGGTGTTATTATTAATAGGGAATCTCATCAAGGGTTCTGTAGCTCAGAGCCCTTCCCACTGTAGAGTAGGCCACCTGCATGTGGCCTGTGCACGCACATGTCCTTCCCCTTCATGGCTCCTTTCTCCCCTGCCCCCGTGCTACAAGGAACTAGAGATTACAAGCTCCTGCTGTCTACCTGGCCTCTTGCCAACACTCTTCCACTTGTGGTCATAGCTAAGCCTCACAACTATCTTTTGAAATTGATATTGCCACTTTATAGGTGAAGAAATTTAGGTCCGGAGAGATGTAGATATTTGTTATGCACTAAAATTCCTCTTAGGGCACTGTGTGGTTTAAGGAAGTACAGCCAGGATTGACTACATAATTGGCAGGGCCCAGTGTAAAGAAAATAAGGAGTCCCTTATTCAAAAGTTGTTACGAATTTCCAGATGCTGACAGCAGAGCATTAACCAAGTGCAGGGGTCTTCAAAGCAAGAGGTCCTGAGCAACTGGACCAGGCCCGTAAGTTGACCCTGAGTGTAGTCCTTGGAAAAGTAGCTGTGGTGAGCAGGTGAGGCCCCCAGGGTGGATGCAAGCAGCAGATGGCTTCTGTGCTGCTATGTGCCACCTGGGAATGGATTAGCTTTGCTCCTGACAGCAGAGGAATAAGGAGGACATCTGGAAGGCAGAGGAAGGTGTGTTCTGTGCTATGTGACCACCCTCCTGTCTTCAGTGGAGTTTACTAAAACACACAGCGATGAGTAGGGGCGGAGCAAAACAGAGGCAGCCCTGAGGGGTACTGAGAAAGTGGGCTTCAGGAATTCATAGAGACCTCAGGGGAAGACTGTGGGTTTTCAAAAGGATTGGGCAGCTGGGCCAAGTTTGCTCAGCTCTCTGCCTGTTGGGTGAGGTTCTGAGGCTCAGGGAACGTGTCTACAGGGCAGAGGGAGGGGCTCTCTGGGGCTCTCCTGGATCCTCCACTTGTGCTTTAACCAAAGTAGCCCGGCGTTAATCTGCTTGATATCGGGGTTCTCCTCAGAATCCACTGGCAAAGGTTTACACAGTTGGGGCTCCCTGAGCAGCTGTCTGTGGTGGGTGGGTGTGGGTGGAGGCCTGTCCCCTGAGCCCCTCCCATGAGGTGGAGCAGTTGCCTGAGCGAGTCAGCTTGCAGTATCCTTAGCTCAGCCGAAGCAGGCTTCTGCATCATGCTGGGCTGCTGGAGAAACAGCCTCCCACTGCAGGTCTTGCTTCCCTCAGTTTCTTTGAATCCAGCAGTATTGTTGGAGAATTCTAATGGCAGACAATGTAAATGCATTCCCCAGCTCTCCCTGGAGTGATGTGGACAATAACTACGAAGGTCTGCAAAGTTCATAAACAGCAGAAATTTCTCTAGGAAGCTTTCATTCACCTATGGAAATTGCCAAAAGGCTTTGGGTCAGATCTAGCTCACAACTGGTACATTATTTGGCCTATACAACACTCAAAAAGTATTTGGACGCAGTGTTTAAAAATCAGAGATTTCATGTAAAATTTTGGATTTTGGGTTTTTCTGGGGAAAAAGTGCCAGCTTTTGGCAACCCCAGCTTGTTTCTACCTGTAGCTAAACTTACCTGCATGGCACAGCAGGCGCTTCCTTTACCTGGCACCGTTCTGCATTCACCATGCCCTGCACCCCTCACCCATGTCATTCACTTTATCATGGACTTTGTGAACTTTTTACCTGGATTTTGTGAACATGTGCACTTGCTCTGGTGATGCTCACAGTAATGTCATAAACACACTTGCCAACCCCAAATGTCTCCCATGGAGTTATTGGACTTCAGATGCCATTTAGCACATCCTTCATCTCTGAGCATAAGCCTCTGGCCAGGGCTTTAGAATTAACTGAGTTTGCTTAATTTTAGAGTTAAATGTTTTATCTGTTTTGGCAAGGTGAGTTTTTTTTGTGACATAAATGGATGCTGTGAGTGCAGGTCCTTAAGTCTGGATTCAGAAATCAACTTGCTCCTTACAAACTTTACACTGGGTCCAAGGGCTTACATTTTCAGCAACTTTCTCAAAGATTATCTGAGAAGGGCTATCTTTGGACCCTATTATCTCTCTCTAGCTCTCTCTCTCTCTCTGCAAGATGAATTCAGCAAAAGACCTGTGTGGCGGATTATGTTATTAGCAGAGCCCTCGCAGGAGAAGAGTCTCTGGATACTAAGCATGTCGATAATTACGTCCTTGGTTTGAGGCCAGAACCCCCTCTCCCAGCCCGGCTGCTTGCCAGAGACCACAGGCTTCCGCAGCCCTACACGGGGAGAGCTTGGAGCCCCAGCCTCCCACTCTGGAGAAGTGAGCTATTTCTGTGTGTGTACGTGGGAAGGGTGGGAAGACGGAAAGAAAAGTGAGAAAATGTATGTAAGCAAATATTTCAAAAAAAAAGAGGGGGAAGCTCATCTTTAAATGGCATTAGAAAATAATCAATGTGATCCTGCCAGACCCCAAAATGAACAGCAGGCCCCATGTCCCTTTGTAGCCCAGGGAGACACTCATTGCCAGTTGCAGCCTCCGGGCAGCCTGGGTGTTCTCAGGAAAATGAAGCCAGTTTCAGTTCCCATCTCACCTGCCTGGAAATGATCAGTGGGGCCCTGAAACTACTGTCAACCCAAGTTGCAGAAGATAACTGTGCTCTGTTCCGCCGCAGTCTTCTAGAACGATGCCTGAAATTTAACGTGTCTAGGGCAATGCCAAAATGTACTTCAGCGTGATTTTCTTACAGGAACAAAGGATGATGATAAGAGAGGCAGGAAAGGGAGTCATAAGCCGAGGAGTTAATTTTGTTCTTTAATATGCAGGAAAAGCAACCAGGCAAGTTTCCAGCTAAACAAGAGTAATTTCTTCTCATCAAGTCTTTTCCTCCCTATATGTTCTACCAATTCTAAAACTAGCCCCTCCCCACTCTCCCTCCTTCACCTTTAAGGGGCACGTTGAAAAGGTAAATGATGAGATTTTTGAGTGAATGCAGAATGAATAGAACTGAGATGAGAACATGGTGACAGAACTGATTCAGCTGCTGATCAGGGACAAATGTCCACAAGTGACTCAAACCAAATGAAATTGCACCAAAAACATCACTTTCAGTTTTGAGAGTATTTTGACATTCAGGCTTTTCTTTGTTTCAGTAGTTTCAGAAAGTGTATACATTTGCTTCTGTTTTAGGCTTTTGATTCACATTCCAGTTGAAAGAATATGGATTTGGTTCTATTCGAATTTGGCAAACTAACATCTTTTTTTGGGTTTGGCTCTCAGTTGAGTTGAGACCCAGGCACACAAAAGCACTAGCTCAGAAACATACACAGTTCAACATGGCAAAGCTCACCAGAGCCAAATAGTTTAGTTATTGATTAAAATAATTAAAATATCAGAATCTAATGGATGGCAAATATCTGAGGAGCTTATATTTACTCACAGGAAATTGAGATAAGCCAGTTAAGGAGCCCCTCTTTCACAACAAGCTGGGGATTGGTCATGTTAAAGAATCACCCAAGAAATCTTAATTCACATTGCTTTTAAACGTGTATATTGACGTCAGCTATTAACGTGGATGAAGACAGCCTGAACTTTGGTATTTCCTTCAGTAGTGGACACTGTTGGTACCCTGCTCAGATTCCTTTACAGCTCATAGCTGCTGTTCCCCAGCCCTGGCCTCAGCCTAGGGAACAGGAGCCACCTCCCCGCCCTGGGTTACAAGTCACCGTAACATCCACAAACCTGACCAGTGACTGGCACAGAATTACAGAAGTCAACTCCTTTGCCTCAGGGTGGGACAACTCTGGGGTACAATTCATGCTTCAGAGCTCCCTTGGGAACAGGCTGAGACTGGTCTCCAGCTGAGACCACACCCTTGTTTAGCTCCTTCCCCTGCTCCTTCATTCTTCTCTGAGGGCCCCTTGTTTAGCTCCTTCCCCTGCTCTTTCATTCTTCTCTGAGGGCACCCCCAACTGAGAATCCCCATCTCAGGCTCTGCTTTCTTCCAAGTGCTGTTTAGGTGAGAACAACTCTCTTCTGAAGGAAGTCATATGTGGTTCAGATGTGCTCTGCTGAAGTCCTGTCCAGTATCTTAATATTATGTTCCAGTGACCTGAAAAGTGTTTGTGACTTAGCAAACTGGTGGTGTTCTCTGGGATAGGTGCCTTTGAACACACAATAGGCAAATTTTCCTTGTCCAGGGGCCCCAAGATGAGTAGAGATTTCCAGTTACTAACAAGAAAAATATTAAGTCAAAGTGACTCTGAATTTCTTTCTGAGCTAAAAGAATCCATTCCAAGTAACACTTCAGTCCCCATTCTCTTGTATCCTAAAATGCAAAAGAAAAACAAAACAATAGAAAATGCCTCAACCCAGCAATTCTATTATCAGCTCTCAGACAGCTCTTTCTCCACTCTTCCCCCGCCACCCCAAATTGCTCTTTCTCTCCCTCTTATATATCTTCCACACAGCTGGAAAGACCATTGAATCTAAGAGGAAAATCAGCAAAACCATACAGCTTTGTTGCAACAAAATGGCACTTCCTTCCTGGACACCCGTGTTTGAGCTCTTTTGCATCTGTATGATGGTGCTTGAGGACGTGATTCTGTGTTGTATACCTCATTCTGTTGACTTGATGTCTACACTAACTGTGACATAGGCAGAGTATGGAACTTCAGATCGCAAGTAAGTAAATAAGTGCTGACCATCTGCAATGAAAGCAATATGTCTGGGTTGGAAAGAGCTTGGGGAAATCTTTTAACTCTACAGTTCAGTATTACCGATGGCCCACTCTTCTGGCACACTTACATCTGCAGCAGATGCTGTTGATTCCCTGCCTGAGGGCTTCCATGCCACAGGAAGGGTCTTGGCTGCAAGCAGGAGAGATCTGAAGTGAATGATAGTAGGGCAGTTACACCAACCAATGAGAGATGGGAAGAGGTACAGAAATGTCCCAACTCCTTATTCTGCTCGGAGACCTCTCTGAGACCATTCCATATGGTCCATCCTCAGGGAGTCCCCAGTGGGCCTGAGCCCTTCTGTTTTCTCCATGACAACCCATTTATTAATATAGTCTTTATTCACTTTTCTCCCTTCCTTCTCTTACTTTCCCCACTCATTTCTGCTTCCTGAAATCACCTCTTAGAGAAACTGCCTGCACCCAAGTCCTTATGTTGGGTCTGCTTTTGGGTCATCTAAATAAGATCCCTCCATCCATCCCTCCATCCTGCCATGATCCCCTACTAGGTTCCAGCTACTGGACACGGAGAGGGGAAGGGAAATCAAGAGAATCCCGAGCTGAAAATATATCCTTTCTCTTTCCAGAGATCTCTCAGTCTACTTGAAAAAGATGATTACCATCGGATGGGGCAGTGCTAGAACAGCTGGAGACACAAATTGTCATAAGAACACAGAGGAGAGAAGAACAAACTCAGCCTGGGCATACAGAAAGTCTTCAGGGGGAGGGAGGCATGTGTCTGCTGGGCTTGAAGGATGTGTGGCACAACAGAATGATGCATAACTGGAAGAGGGAGGGTCCAAAGCTGGCACAAAAGGTGAAAACTTACATATGACAGAAAGTACACTTTTGATACTAGAATCCCATTCAGCTTAGTATCACTGACAGTGCCTAAAATTTTCTCTTTTTCTCTCTCTTTCAGCAAGACATTTTTTGTCAATTAAATTCTTACATGTCATGAGTCCATGGATACTTTCCAGGTGGAAAGAGAAGACGAAAATGCATGGAGGCGTGAAGACACGTGTGGCGATTAGTTAGGGTTCTGGGGTGTAGGTGAGTGGAGCTGAGAAGGCAGGTGAAGGCCAGGTTGTGAGACACACTAAGTGTCATGCTAGCAAGCTTGGACCTGTGGGGTTATGGAAGATATCAGAGGTTGTTGAGCACAGGAGTGAAGACTCTAGAGTGATCTTCCGAAACACTTATAGTGGATTTCTTATAAACACCATATAGTTGTGTCTTGTTTTTTTTTAATCCACTTTGTCAGCCTGCCCTTTAATTGTTATATTTACACCACTTCTATTTAAAGTGGTTATTGACATAGCTGGATTAATAACTATTGCATTTGTAACTGTTTTCTATGTGTTGTTCTTGTTCTTTGGTGCTTTAAAAAAATCTTCCCCTCTTTTTCTGCCTTCTCTGATGTTAACTGAGCATTTTATGTGATTCTATTTTATCTCTTAGCATATCAATTATACTTATTTTTTTAAAGTTCTTATTGTTTGCCCCAGAGTTTACAATATGTACTTACAACTAATCAAAGTCCACATTCAGATAACACTATACCGCTTCACAGGTAGTGCAGGTGCCTTACCACAGAGTATTCGTAAGTCCTCACTCCCCTCCCTTGTAACATTGCTGCCATTAATTTCACTTAGAGTGACTTTCAAAACATAAATCTGAACCAAAGTGAGTGATGAACTGTAGTGAGACAAAAATAATCTGAGAATACTTCAAAATCTTGGAGGCAAGAACTGCTATGTGGTAGATTGTTTGCAAACATGGCTAAAAATAATTCTACCCTGTACTGTGCCCCTTTGCAATGTGACTTTACCACTTCTCGTCAATAAAGAAGTGGCATTTATTTCTCCACCCCTGGAATATGGGCTTGACCACATGACACTGACCAATGAGTCATCAGCAAATGTTCCGCAAGCAGGACTTGCAAAGTGCTTGTGCATTGGAGCTTGGCCTCTTGTTACTGGTACATAAAATCTGAATGTCATCCCTGTGTAGGGCCATGCTTAGTTCTGCTACAAAGAAACCAAGAAACCTTTACTTCTGCATGTTCTGCATTGTGGTCTGGGAAGCTCATACCTGTTGCTTTTGCAGGAAAGTCACATCTTCCGGCCACTGGCCCCTCTGGGACTGCACTCAGCTGCCAGTGAGTCAGCCCCTATCCATCACAGGCTCATTAGCTACTGTGTCCGTTTTCTGGACACTGCCGGCAGACAGCCCTCTGTTCACTGGTCTTTTAATAGCATTAGGAAAACCCTGGCTCCAGTCACTCCTCTGGTCCTTCATATGCATGAACATTCACCAACCTGCCCATTTTATTAAGAAACAGCCAAGATGCAGTATGCTATCCACCCTCCCACCGCCACACACACTTTAAATAGAAAATAGGCAGGAGCCAGAAGATTTATGACCCATGATTTGGAATGCAGGAGAGAGCACAAAGGAGCACGGAGATGTCCTTGGAGTTCAGACCAGTGGAAGTCGGTCCCATCGTGGTGCAAGGCCGCTCACCAGGTACGGCCTCCATCACTCACACCCGGTCAGATGCGCCACCCGCTGTCCCCAGCTCCGTCTCTCTGCTCATTCCTGTAAGCTACTGGTGGCAGCAGCACTTAATCACCACATTGCCATGTATAAAAATTTAAGGAGTCTGCTGTCTCCAAGAAATGAATCCCAGATCATTTTAGAATCTTTCCTCCCCCATTTTTATTATTTCTTTCTTCTCATTCATCAGCCCTAATTTCACCAAGGGGGCTTCCTTTGGGTGTTCTGAGAAATCTTAATGCAGGGTTAAAGTATTGCTCAGTGTGCCCCCGAAAAAGGACAGCTGGAACCACCCAGTGTAGAAGCCCTCCCTGCCCATTTGATGAGTGTGGACGGCTGCTTGCTTGAAGGGTCTTGGGCCCTTCAAAGCCACTTTGCAATCCTGGACCTGGTTTCCCACTGTTTTGCCCAATGTCCTTTTGGAGCAGCAAGCAGGCTTTCCTGGAAGAGGCAAGGAATGAGAGGACCCCAGTTCCGATCTCACCCCACTGCCTCAGCCCAGGTATGCCACATCTTCAGAACCTCTGCATTCCAAGGAATGAAGGGCCTTGCCTTGTTTCACCTGTACAGCTCAGTCTCGTGATAGGCGAGACCGTTCTGAACCATCTCTCAGAGTACCTTACATTGCTGGAGAGGAGTGGTGGTGAGGCGGTGGGCAGGGGATCGGGTAACCAGGTCTTCACTGGCAAGAGTCAAAATGACGATTGTGTTGGGGCCTGGACACTATAATAGCTGATGGCCACATAAAGCCAACCAGGGGACAGCGTGGCATGGTGTCAGAAACATGGCCTGGGGTGCAGATGGGCTGGTTCGATTAGCTACATGGCTTTGACCAAGTCACTTGGCCTTGCTGATGCTCAGTTTTTACATCTGTAAAATAAGGATTGTTATCAGGCTTAAAGGGAATATTAACTGGAAAGCTGTTGTTATGTACACACTGAGCCAAAAAGAGCAGAAACAGTTGATACTGTTGTTATTACTGTGCTTATAATAAAACTATTACTATTATTATTAATGCTGGAGACACCAATTCTGAATGGGGACAGTGTGTGAGCCTGTGCTCACAGGCAGCAACCTAGAGCCAGGGCTACAGGGGCTCAGGGGCAGTGGCTTGGGATGGGGCAGGGCCAGATCTCAAGGCCATACTCTACCGGGCTTTCCATCTGGCCCAGCCTGAGTGTTACCCCCTTCTGCTCCTTTCCCAGGCAGTAATCCCATCCCTGGATTCCTGGCAACCTCTCAGTCATTTGCCTCAGTTTACTTGCACACGTATTTGACAGGAAATGGATGGCAGGGTTTTACTGTGGAGGGCTGTGGGGTCCCCTCCTATGCCACAGGGTCAACAGATGATCTTTAGGTTATAGATGACTTTGGCAGTTCCCCAAAGGGTTTCTCACTGCCGTGGCCTTTTGTCAGAGAGCATAGTCTTTTGTGTTTATGGGTGGAGCTTTTGCCCTCTGAGAGTAGCAGCTCCTACCAATGTGCACAGCATTCTCATAAAGAAAGAAACCAATAAACCAAATCAAACAACCATTCCCAGAATTGCTGGGGCAGGAGGAGGCGCAGGCTCCATTCATTAACAAAACCAGTCCTGGCTATTATCTTTAATACGTGGACTGAATCTTTATTGCGTTTTAATCTGCTCCATTCATTCTTTGTGGGCCAATGATTTGATTCAGAAACCAGAGCAACAATTTCAGGACTGTAATTTGTTGACAAGGTACTGGTTCTTAAAAATTCCCCCGTATTCTTGTTCCAGGACTATGGAAAGAACATCTGTTCTAAAAGTCTAGGGATCTAAGTTCCAATTCTAATTTAGCCACTAACTATGTGGATGATTACAGGGAAGGCATCCAAAGGTATCTTTGTTTGGGTTTTTTCTCAAGGCAGACCCTGAAATAAGCACCTGTGTTCAGGGAGTTTATTGGGAGGGGTAAGGGAGTAGGGTGAGTGGGACAGGGAAGGAGAAAATACAAGAATGGATGTGGTAACTGGAGAACTGGGGCTCAGTTCTGCTGGGGCCTGTCTGAGAAACCATGCTGAACACACTTAGAATTGTCCCAGTGCAGGCTGGGGTGGCTGGAACATACACCCATCGACTCTCAGCATCCCCATTTGAGGGTTGCTCCAGGAATATCAATGCCTCCAAACTTCAGTTGTGCCTGCTTGTGACACAGCAAGCTCTCATGGCACTGGAGAAAGTTTCAGGTAGAGAAGGTGGCAGCTGTCATGCAGGAACTGTCTCCCACAGCTGCAGATTAACTCAGGTGGCTGAGGGGATATGGGGTGGGGCATAGTGTCTGCTGCAAGGGTTAGCCCATTGTGTGGGGTGGGACATACTGGAGCGGGCTGAATTGTATTGTATTGCTTAGAACATGCTGTATGTAGGATATAATCTATGTTCCCAATATAAACTTGATGGCCTTTGGCTCAGCATCCTGACCTGTAAGGTGATTAGCAAGGTTGCTGCTGCAGAGGTGGCTGATAGAACCTGATATCCACTTTCCCCTTCTCCCTCAGTAACAGAATTTCTAGCTGGGCACACAGTCACACAGGAAACAGACTACGCTTCTCAACCACTTCTGAAGATGGGTGTGGCCATGCATTCAGATCAGGCTAACGGGGTGTAACTGGAATTACAGCATGGTGACTTCTGGGAATCGTCCTGTAAAACAGTGGGTGCTGCGCTTTGCCCTTCCTTCCTTTCTCTTGATCCCTTCTTATGGCTCTTATGGCTGGGATGGGGTGTGAGAGCCATCAGCTTGGACCGCGAGGGGAAGACCACACCTGGTGGCACTGCAGGGAGCCAGAAGGAGCCTGGGTCCCTGAAGACTTTGTTCCTTAGCCCCCAACTAGAAGCTCCAGCCTTTTACTAGAGAGAGAGAGGAATAATCTTTTATCTTGTCTGAGCCACGAGGCTTTGAGTCTCTTGTTACTAACAGACTAACTTAATCCTAAAGGATATAGTCCTTCACAGTTCTAATACTTTCCCCTGAATTCAATGTTTGTTTTCTCTCTTTTTTTTTTTTTTTTTTTTTGAGGTGGAGTCTTGCTCTGTCGCCCAGGCTGGAGTGCAGTAGCGCGATCTCGGCTCACTGCAAGCTCCGCCACCCGGGTTCACGCCATTCTCCTGCCTCAGCCTCCCGAGTAGCTGGGACTACAGGCGCCCGCTACCATGCCTGGCTAATTTTTTGTATATTTAGTAGAGATGGGGTTTCACCATGTTGGCCAGGATGGTCTGGATCTCTTGACCTCGTGATCCACCTGCCTTGGCCTCCCAAAACACTGGGATTACAGGCATGAGCCACTGCAGCCGGCTGTTTGTTTTCTTTTGAAATAACTGGAGGAAAGGACTAGAAATCCTTGCTGGCCTCCCCTGCCCCTCTTTGGTGGGGGGTAGGGGGTGGTGGCTGGGGAATGGCAGCTACAGCACCTTCCCATGCACGGATGAGCTTCCATGCAGTCCCAGCCAGCCTGCCTTCTAAAATATTTGAACTCCTTGGGCTTCACCTGGGGCTGCAGCTCCACTGTCACAAAAGCCACCAGCCCCCAAGCACCTTTGCTGTTTGGAGGAGTCATTATTTTTGTGCCCCATGTGCTGCTGAGACAATCTTGTCCCAGTGCTCTAGGTGGGTGGAGCAGATGCTGCGGTTCCCCAGGCCCATCTTGGTGTCCCATGCTGCCCGGGGACACTCCCTACATGCTGACAGCTGCCTCCTCCAGTGCCTGCATCCTCTTTCTCTTCACAGGAGGCTTCATCTTGCACCACAGGAGTTTGCTCAGCCTGCGTGTTTGCACCTCCAGGGACAGCTGTCAACCGGGGGCTCTGCAGTTAGACATCCGACCTTCTGTCCCTGTGGGACAGTTCTGAGGTGCATTCTGCACAGTTCCTCAGAGGATCCCTCTAAGGGTGGAGCCCTAGTTGCCCACCGTGGAGACCCACTCACTAACACACTCCCTTCCCTGGATTCCCCTCCACAAAAAACACATGTACACCCAAGTTCTCATCTCAGAGGCTGCTTTTGGGGCAATTGGACTTCCATGAACTCTGCAGCCTAGAGAGGTCCAAAGACCTCCCCAGAATCTCCACTAATTCCTAGGGACCTTTAGGTTTCTGTGTTCTTGGCTCATCCATCC